>NC_000020.11:43890476-44193506 GCF_000001405.40 Homo sapiens | reverse complement strand
ACAGAGTCTTGCTCTGTCACCCAGGCTGGAGTGCAGTGGCACGATCTCAGCTCAGTGCAACCTCCACCTCCCGGGTTCAAGCAATTTTTGTGTCTCAGCCTCCCAGGTAGCTGGGATCACAGGTGTGCACCACCATGTCTGGCTAATTTTTTTGTATGTTTAGTAGGGACAGAGTTTTGCCACTTTGGCCAGTCTGGTCTCAAACTCCTGACCTCAGGCAGTCTGCCCACCTTGCCCTCCAAAAGTGCTGGGATTACAGGCATGAGCCACCATGCCCAGCCGAGACTTAACCTTTTGAAAGAGCACTGGCTACTATGTGCAGACTAAGGGAAGGCAAGGAGGACAGTTAGGAAGCTACTTCAGTGAGTCAGGCAATGGGTTTGGTGGCTTGGGCACTTGGCAGTGCAGGAGATAATATGTGTTCTGGAAGGTTTTTTTTGTTTTTGTTTTTGTTTTTGTTTTTTTTTTTAGACAGAGTCTCGCTCTGTTGCTCAGGCTGGAGTGCAGTGGCGCGATCTCAGCTCATTGCAGTCTCCACCTCCCTGTTCAAGCAATTCTCCTGCCTCAGCCTCCTGAGTAACTGGGACTACAGGTGCATGCCACCATGCCTGGCTAATTTTTGTATTTTTAGTAGAGATGGGGTTTCGCCATGTTGGCCAGGCTGGTCTCGAACTCCCGACCTCATGATCCACCTGCCTCTGCCTCCCAGAGTGTTGGGATTACAGGTGTGAGCCACCGTGCCCAGCCTGTTCTGGAATTATTTTAATCTAAATCCCTTCAGGGATTTGCCGATGGACTGGATTTAAGGTGTGAGAGAAAGACAGGAATTAAGGTTGACTCCAAAGGTTTTAATAAGTTTGGAGTCGGCTGGAGGGACAAATTTGCAAGTGGAAATTGAGAGTTTCATTTGTTCTTGTCAAATCTGAGATGCTCGTGAGATATTTAGAAATGTTGAGTAGGTGGCTGGATGTCTGACTGAAGATCAGGAGAGTGGTGCAACCTGGGGATGCAGACTTCGAAGTCATCGGTAGAGGGAGGTTATGCAAAGCCATGTGACTAGAGACCTCCTCAGAAATGAATGTAGATAAAGAAGCCAGAGAACGAAGGTTTGGGACATTCCCAAGGTACAGAACTCAGGGGGATGAGGAGGAACCAGTAAGGCAGGAGCAGAACCGAGAGAGATTCTAGAAGCCAGTTGAAAAAGGATTTCAGAAGGGGGTCATCAGCTGCTAGATGCTGGGAAGACCAGGAGCAGCCACTATGTGCAGGCACTGGGTAGACACAGGTGAGCTGCAATATCTACTGTACAGCAGGTGCTCAGGTTTTTTAATAATTTAAGTTCTGAGGTACATGTTCAGGGCATGCAGGTTTGTTACATAGGTAAGCACGTGCCGTGGTGGTTTGCTGCACCTGTCAGCCCATCACCTAGGTATTAAGCCTGTTAAGCCCCATATGCATTAGCGATTTATCCTGGTGCTCTCTCTCTTCCTGTTCCCCCACCCTACCCACAGGCCCCATTGTTCCCCTGTCTGTGTCCATGTGTTTCCATTGTTCCGCTCCCACTTATAAGTGAGAACGTGTTTGGTTTTCTGTTCCTGTGTTAGTTTGCTGAGAATAATGGCTTCCAGCTCCATCCGTGCCCCTGCAAAGGACATGATCTCATTCCTTTTTATGGCTGCGTAGTATTCCATGGTATATATGTACCACATTTTCTTTACCCAGTCTATCATTGATGGACATTTGGGTTGATTCACTGATCATTAGAGAAATGCAAATCAAAACCAGAATGAGAAACCACCTCATACCGGTCAAAATGGCAATTATTAAAAAGTCAAGAAACAAAAGATGCTGGTAAGGCTGTGGAGAAATAGGGATGCTTTTATACTTTTGGTGGGAATGTAAGTTACTTCAACCCTTGTGGAAGATATTATGGCGATTCCTCAAAGACCTAGAACCAGAAATACCATTTGACCCAGCAGTCGCATTACTGATTTATATTCCTTTGGGAATGGGTTTGGTGGCTTGGGCACTTGGCAGTGCCCAAGGAATATATATTTATATTCCTTTGGGAATATAAATCATTCTATTATAAAGATACATGCACACCTATGTTCACTGCAGCACTATCCACTGTTTTTTGGAAAGAAGAAAATCCTTGCTTTAAACAACTCATAGTTTGGGGGAGGAGACAGCATGTGGGAAGGGCACTAGCTCAGCCAGGACACCTGCCTGGAAAGGCTTCCTGGACGGTGAGGCTCGCTCTGCTGAGCCTTCCATGGCTAAGAAGAACTCCAGTGGATTTCTGGGTGCAGTCCTTCTCCTTGTTCCGGATTTCCAGTTCTCTCCCTTTGAGGTTCCCAGAGAAGCAGTCAAGCTTGAGAAGTTGAGCAGGAAATAGAGGGAGAAAGTGACCAGGGAACAGAACTAGGGAGTGGGAAGAGATCTGAGATGAAGAGAGGGAATAGGCTAGCTACCGTTAAAACCAGTTTATAATTATTTCAAGTTTATTTTATTTTTTATTTTTATTTATTTATTTTTGAGATGGAGTCTCACTCTCGCCCAGGCTGGAGTGCAGTGGCACAATCTCGGCTCACTGCAACCTCTGCCTCCTGGGTTCAAGTGATTCTCCTGCCTCAGCGCCCCCAGTAGCTGGGATTACAGGCAGGTGCCACCACACCCGTCTAATTTTTGTATTTTTAGTAGAGACAGGGTTTCGCCATGTTGGCCAGGCTGGTCTCGAACCCCTGACCTCAGATAGTCCGCCTACCTTGGCCTCTCAAAGTGCTAGGATTACAGGCGTGAGCCACCGTGCCCGGCCTATTTATTTTTAAATTATTATTTATTTATTTATTTATTTATTTTTTTGAGAGAGGATCTTGCTCCATCACTCAGGCTGGAGTGCAGTGGTGTGATCATGGCTCCCTGCAGCCTCGATCTCCCAGCCTTAAGCGATCCTCCTGCCTCAGCCTTCTGAGTAGCTGGGACCACAGGCATGCACCACCATGCCCGGCTAATATTTCAAGTTTAGTAAATTCCACTGGATTTGAAGAACTTGGTTTTTCTGAGGAAAGTCCGTTGTAATGCACATAACGCCACAAGAGGTCTCCCTTTCCCTGAAATGCACTGGTTTAAAAGGCGGGACAAATGGTAGCTTGTCAGAAAGCTCTGGGCAGGTAAGGCCAGTACCAAATTTGGCAAAGAATCTTACTTAAACTTTTACAAAGTCAAAGTATCCCTTTACCAGTAACTTCGTTTTGCAGTTTAAAACATGAGAATAAGGAGTGCTTCGATGTCAAGATATTTAATATTTAGGAGGGGTTCTCTCTTCCCTCTTTGAGGACTATTTTATTAAGCCTGAAAAGTAATTTAGTATGTAAGAGTAACTCTCATAAGAGCTAACACTGATTATATGTGTAATGTGTTCTGAGCCTTTTTACAGTATTAACTGTGTAATCCTCACCCAGTTAGATAAGGTAGATACTGTTATTCTTGATACCAATAATCCTCTGAGGTAGGGACTTTTACAGATGAATAATTTGCAGTTTAGAGAAATTAACAATTGGTCCAAGGTCACACAGCTTGTGAGGGGCAGGACTGGGATTTGAAGACATATCTAACTCCAAAACTACTGGATTCATGAATAAATGGATTCATGAATTTTTATGTTATTAAACAGTATCTTAATTTGAAATTTTACCTTGGTTTTGTTGTTGTTGTTGTTTTCTATCTATTTATTTATTTTTTGAAACAGGGTTGCCAGGCTGGAGTGCAGTGGCACAAATATGGCTCATTGCAGCCTCCAACTCCTTGACTCAGCGATCCTCCTTGCCTCAACTTCCCATGTAGCTGGGACCACAGATGTGTATCACCACACCTGGCTAATTAAAAAAAAAAATTTTTAATTGTAGAGGCGGGGTCTCACTGTGTTGTCCAGGCTGGTCTCAAACACCTGGGCTCAAGCAATCCTCCAGCCTTGGCCTCCCAAAGTGCTGGGATTACAGGTGTGAGCCACTATAACAAGCACTTACAGTGTTTTTAACCAGAGATGAAAATCAGATTCATCTGAGGAGCTTTTAAAAGAATTCGACTGCCCAAGTCTTCTCCCAGGACAATCTAATTCTGTAGGTCTCGGGTGGGGCTCTCGGATCTCTTTATGTTTTTAAGTCTGTAAGTGATTCTTATGTGTAGTAACCCTGGGTAGACAGCTACCCTAGGGAGCTGCTATGGATGAACAGTGGTTAAATTCCCATAGGTAGAACACCCTGCTAAGATGTAGCAATGGCTGCCTGGCATAAACATATGATTACGGTATTGAATCTGCAGCTCAAACTCCCCTAGCTTCCAGTTTGAGATGCTCTTCCCTTGACAGCAGAGCTAGAAAGAAGTTTGTGATTCTCCAAAGACCTAGTGAGAAGTGGCGAAAGCAGAACTCCCTGGGAGTAGCCCTGAGATGTTCTTAGAAGTGAATTGTGCAAGCAGGCTGTCAGTCAGCCTGGCCAGGGCTCACACCTAACCACCCAGAGGAAACAGTTTTTATCCACTACGTGCTCCCTGTCAGCTTGGCAAACAGACGGTGACAGTGAGCCCAAGAGGCTGGGTGCCTCTACCTGGTGGTGAAACGCAGATATAGAAGGGGCTCTTGAAGGTCAGCGGCTGTGACCAAGGATGGAACCAAGTCCTAAGAACAGGTAACCCACTGGAAGGAAAGCAGGGAACACTTTTTACCCACTCCCCAAACAGGAACAAGACTTCCGCAGTGACTTCACGTGGCCTAAGTTATCATGGGGTTTGGAAATATGTCAGATAAGTTCAAAGTCAGATAATTGTCTAATGTTCTCTAGTACCTTCTGTGCTTAGTTCTCTCTTTCTCTTCTGTCCCCATCTTCACACACACACTCACACACACACACTCACACATGGAAACACACACACTCTTACCACACACACATACAAACACACACACTCTTACCACACACACTCACACAAACACACACTTACCACACACACACAAACACACACACTCTTACCACACACACTCACATACACTCACACACACTCTCTCACACTCTCACAGACACACGTTCACACACACGCACAGACACACACACACACAGATCTTCCTAGTCTTGGTGGCTCTTACCTTTCCCAGAATTCCTCTATACTCCCATTAACCTTGGGCTTAGCTGGGATTTACAATCATTAGCTCTGGCCACAGCTTCTTGCCATGGAGATTTATTTGTTCTTTTTACTGGAGTTTGGTGGGAACCTGAGTGGCTGGGAATCCACCCAGGCCCTTCTCTCCTGGCCCTGCCCCAAGAGCTTTCTGAAGTCTGGCCTCACAGGCTCCTAGGACACTAGAGCAAAAGACAGCTCAGAAAGGGAAATTTTAAAAAATCATGACCCTTGAGAATTTCTGAGAGGACCTCATTACAACACAACCCTGTGTTGACAGGAAGGGGACTCCTTTGACCTTCAGGGTCTGCTGGGTCTGCGGCAGGGGGCAGGGAGGGCGCCGAGGCATCAAGGGGTGGGGAGAGGAAGCTAGCGGGACGCCCAGTCTGTGTCTCAGGCAGAGAGGAGGGCAGGCTCCTCTCCCTTCTCTTTGCCCTTCAGGAGAAAGAGAAAGGGAATAGATGGTTGCTTCTTGCACCAAGTTCTCCCCGGCTTCCAGGGGTGGAGGGAGCTCAGGGTGGTGAGTGAGCACTGGACTGAGATTCTGTGTATCTTCCAGACCCTGTTTCCACAGCCTCCCCTCTCTTTCTGACTTCCCTCCTCTGCTTTCGGAAGCACATGTGAAACTGTCTCCATTCCTTTCTCTTTAGGTCACTGGATTCCTTGATGGGGCTGGCAGTGGTGCTGTAACCCCAGGTCCCCTTAGGGCATGTGAGTGGTGATGGGGCTGAGATCTGCCAACCTCCTCGCTCTGGGGGATTTTCAGTGTTCCAGGACTGGGTGTTCTGCTGGTCTCCCTCTCCCCTCCCTTCCCCGATTCCCCGGTGCCCTCCCTGCGCGCAGACCCAGGGGACTCTGAGAATGGAAGGGAGCTCTCATTCCCGGGAGGAAAAGACACCAGGTTCCCTGGGCTGCCTGCACTCAGTTCTCAGCCTCCTTCCTCATGCCTCCAGCCACTGCCCGGGTCTGCGGCACGGGCGCGATTTGAAATACCCCTCCTTCCCGCTTTGAAGAAGGCTGGGCTGGCTGGGGGTTATTTTGGGAGCAGCTTCTGAGATCCAATGGCCTTGTTAGGGCAACACTGACCTTTCCGTCCCAGAAGGAGGGCAGGATTGGAGAAGGGGGCGGGGCAGCGGCGGGGAGACCGACAGCCCCGCACACCCACTGGGGTGGAGAAGGGGGCCAGCGGGCTGCGGGAATTCAGCCTCCGGCGGGGGCTGCCACCGAGGGGAATTTCCCCTCTTTGAAAAGGCTGGGGACCCCTCCACCCCACCCTTTCACTGGGCTTCTTAAAGAGATCACACCGTTTTCCCTTGGACTTCTTGGAAGGCAGACTTGGGACGCTTTGTGGGGACTTTGAACCTTTCCTTCCTGCTTTCTTTCCAGCAGGCAGCCTTGCTCTGGCTGGTGGAGTCGGGGCTCCCGGGCATGGCACTGACTAGCCGACCCGGTGCTGACTTGGCGCCGGGGCTCTTTCAGCCTCTGCTGGCATCCTGCTTCCCCCCTCCTGGGGTGCAGTGGTGAGTCTGGGGGCCTGCCCCCGAGGGCACTGGAGGAGTGTTGCAGGCATCACCCACGCCCTCTGCACCCACGCTGGAGGACGGGGAGGTTGTCAGGGGCTATGATGAGATGAGTGGGGGCCGCTTCGACTTTGATGATGGAGGGGCGTACTGCGGGGGCTGGGAGGGGGGAAAGGCCCATGGGCATGGACTGTGCACAGGCCCCAAGGGCCAGGGCGAATACTCTGGCTCCTGGAACTTTGGCTTTGAGGTGGCAGGTGTCTACACCTGGCCCAGCGGAAACACCTTTGAGGGATACTGGAGCCAGGGCAAACGGCATGGGCTGGGCATAGAGACCAAGGGGCGCTGGCTCTACAAGGGCGAGTGGACACATGGCTTCAAGGGACGCTACGGAATCCGGCAGAGCTCAAGCAGCGGTGCCAAGTATGAGGGCACCTGGAACAATGGCCTGCAAGACGGCTATGGCACCGAGACCTATGCTGATGGAGGTGAGGCCAGCTGGGGGCCCGCAGAGGTGGGGTGGAGCCAGGGAGGGTGAGAAACCCTGGTGGAGGGTGGGAAAGGCGACCGGCAATTGGCACAGAATCAGATGGGCTAGGAAGTGATTTGCTGTGTGGTTTTGGGCAAGCTGCTCTACCTTTCTGAGCTTCCATTTTCTTGTAGTAAAGATGGAGCTAATAAAGGGGTTATTGAGAGGATTAGTGGCAGTGCTTAGTACAAAGCCTGCCATGTAAGTGCACACTCAACACACAATAAAATATAACTACTACCATTAGCATGTTCGGTATGCCCCAACATAAACAGCCATGGAATATACTCTAGCAGAATTAGGGTCTAGTCTTAACTTTGCCATGAAAATTATTTTCAAGCAATAGATCATGAGGAGTATTCATCCACCCACCCATCCATCCATCCACCCATCCAACTATCCACTCATCATCTATCCACACACCAATCCACCCACCCGTCCATCCATCCATTCATCCATCCACCCACCTGCCTGCCCATCCATCCATCTACCCACCCACGCATTCATGCTTCCACCCAACCATTCATCTACCCATCCAGCCATTCATACATCTACCTGCCCATCCACCCATCCATCTTTCCATCCATCCATCCATCCATCCATCCATCCATCCATCTATGATCCATCCATGGATTCTTTTTTTTTTTTTCCAAGACAAGTTCTCGTTCTGTTGCCCAGGCTGGAGTGTTGTGGCATGATCTCGGCTCTTTGCAGCCTTGATCTCCCAGGATCAAGTGGTCCACCAACCTCAGCTTCCCTAGTAATTGGGACTACAGGTGTGCACCACCATGCCTGGCTAATTTTTGTATTATTATTTTTTTTTTTGTAGAGACAGGGCTTTTCCATATTGCCCAGACTGGTCTCAAACTTCGGAGCTCAAGCAATCTGCCTGTCTCGGCCTCCCAAATTGCTGGGATTACAGGTGTGGGACACTGTGCCGGGCCTACATTCCTTTTGTGTTTCCTTTTTTAAATTTTTTAAAGATAGGTCTTGCTTTGTTGCTCAGGCTGAAGTGCGGTGGCACAATCACAGCTCACTGCAACCTTGAACTCCTGGGCTCAAGCAATCCTCCCATCTTGGCCTCCTGAGTAGCTGGAACTACAAGGCACATGCCACCAAGCCTAGCTAATTAATTGTTTTTTCTTTTTTTGTAGAGATGGGGTCTTACTATGTGGCCCAGGCTGGTCTCAAACTCCTGGGCTCAAGCAATTCTTGGACTCCGTGGCTCACGCCTGTAATCTCAGCACTTTGGGAAGCTGTGGTGGGAGGATCACTTGAGGCCAGGAGTTCAACACCAGCCTGGGCAATCTAGCAAGATCCCCATTTTTACAAAACGAAAAATCGAAAAACAAAGATAGGCATGCAGACAAACAGTTATACACATTATACACAAGTATGTACAGATACTGTTGCAGAAAGGAGAATTTAGATTTGAGGAGGTCAGGAAATACTTTAAATGGAGCTGACGCCTGAGCTTGGTCTCGACAGGACAGTTACGTTTGTGAGGGTGGGCATGGGGCAGAGAGAAGAGTGAAGACAAAGGCTCAGAAGCATGAGGGTAGCAGTGGGTTAAAGAATCAGAGAGGAGTTTTCTGTGGCAAAACAGCCCTGTGGAGTGGCAGAGCAGATGTCATTACCTAGTCCACAGGGTGTACATGGACATATCACTTAGCTAAGCCAGTTTCCTCATCTGTGAAAAGGGACACTTTAGAATATCAGTACTGCTCAAAATGTGGACGGTGGACGGGCAGCATCAGCACCATTGATCCACCAGTTAGAAATGCAAATTCAGTGGCCCACCCAGACCTTCTCATCAGAATCTCTGAGTGTGTGTCCAAACACTGCTTTCACAAGTGTATCAGGCAATTTTTATAACATCAAAGTTTAAAAAGTTGCTTTAAATTAGGGCCTAGCAAACCATAGGTCGTGGGCCGAACTAGCCTGCTGTCAGTTCTGCACAGCTTATAAGCTGAGAATGATGGAAAAAAAGAAGAAGAAGAAGAAGAAGAAGAACACTTTTTGACATGTGAAATTATTTGAAAGCCCCTACGTAACATCCTCAATTTTGCTTCTTGTCCTGCAAAACCCAAAGTATTTACTATCTGACTTCTTTTGTTTGTTTGTTTTTTGAGACAGGGTCTTACTCTGTCGCCCAGGCTGGAGTGCAGTGGCACAATCTCAGCTCACTGCAAGCTCTGCCTTCCAGGTTCAAGTGATTCTCCTACATCAGCCTCCCAAGTAGCTGGGACAGGCACCCACCACCTCACCTGGCTAATTTTTTTTTTTTTAATTTTTTGGTAGAAATGGGATTTTGCCACGTTGGCCAGGCTGGTCTTGAACTCCTGACCTCAAGTGATCCACCTGCCTTGGACTCCCAAAGTGCTGGGATTACAGGTGTGAACCATCACACCCCGCCCTACCTGACTCTTTCCAGCGAAAGTTTGCTGGCTGCAGTTTTGAATCATCACTCAAACTCTTTCTGACGCAGGATAATTCCATGGAGTCTTCCTAATGAGCTGCATTGGAAAGAGGAACTGACACAGATAACTCAAAACTGGCTAATTTTTACAAATGACATTTGGCATCAGAAGGCATTCATAGGACATTATATTCGTCACTAGTGTCTCCTCTTTTTGACAGTGGCCAGGAAGTGTGGGACTGGGGCTGGGATCAGGGTAGCTGGGGCAGGAAAAGGCATCAGCTAGCCCAGGGAGCAAGGTTTGCTGAAGCCGAGGCCCCTGGGCATGTTGAGAGCAGCCTCAGATGCAGGATAGATTTGCATCTGAGCTGCCAGTTGGTGGGTGTCTGGGTGAGGGCCTGCCCTCGAGACCGTGTTTGGAAGTTAACGAGGTCGCTGGAGTTTGTGCAGGTGCCTATGGCTGCTACCCGGCACTGGCTGGGGACTGAACAGCCCTGAGCACAGATTCTGGCTCCACAACTTGCTAGTTGGGTGACCTTGAACTGTTTTCTGAGCCTCTTGAATCTAGTGCAATTCAGTTCAGCAGATGTTTATGCCAGGCACAGTGCTAGGCACTGGAGACACAGCAGAAAGCAAGCCTCAGTTTCTCTGGCTAAAAATGGAGATAATCCTTGAGTGCTTATACAGCATCAGTTACCTATGCACAGTGGTGCACTGTAGGCATGCGTAGAATGTCTGTTCCCATCCCTCTTCTCTTCAAACCAAGGTGTGTGTATGTGTGTGTGCATGTGTGTCTGTGTGTGCACGTGTCTGTGTGTGTGTGTATTTATGTGTGCGTGTGTATGTGTGTGTTTTGGGTCTGGATGTGAGTCACAGGACACAAATCTCTGGGTCAAAATGAGCATAGGAAACCATAGGCCCATCTCCCAATGTGTCTAAAAGAGGAAAACCTATTCATTCATTCATTCATTCATGCAACCAGTACTACTGAGCACCTGCTCTGTTCCAGGAACTGCTTTACAGCAAGTTTTAGGGTGGGGGCAGCGAGCAAGACAAGGTCCTCAAGGAGCTCCCTGTCCAGTGGAAAAACATAAACTAGAAAACAAACATACATGTAATCTCCAAAAGTTACAAGTGTTATGGAAAAAACTAACAGAGGCGGAAGAGGAAGGTGTTCTTAGATGGAGTCGTCTCAGAAGGAGGATGGAGGAGCCTGTAGAGGAAGTAGGTCCCTCAGGCAGAGGGAATCCTGTTGCAAAGGCCCCGAGGCAGTGCTGGGCTTGGCGGGTTTGAAGAACAGCAAGAATGCCAGAGTGAGCGAGGGGTGCAGACATCGTGGCCTGGGCTGGATCACACAGGCTTTGCAGGTCCTGGGTTTTATCCCAGGTGTGCCCAGGAGCTCTTCAGGCCAGGTGACCAGAAGCCCTGCTGCCTTGGTTTGTCAGAGCCCCAGACTTCTCCCAGATGAGATGACCCCACATCCAGCGGCCCTGGAAACCTCACAGATTCTCTTTCCCAAGCCACACACGAGGTGTAACTCTCCAAAATTAGACGTGGCCACTGCTTCGGAAAATCTCTTTAATCAACCTGTCATCAGTCCCCTGAGGGTTTGTTAAGGATCTGCACTCACCCTTTGCCCCGACGTGGGTATCACTGAGGGGGATGTGGACAAATAAGATCCTGTGATTAGGAACGGCTGGGAGTCAGGCAGCCCTGGGTCATTCTCCTGGCCCTGCCACATTATTTAAACTCACCAAACCTTAATTTCCTTGTCTATAAAATGGACCTATCCTAATCTCTCAAAAGACTTCTCCTGGGATGAATGAGTACTTAGTAAATGGTGGTTGCTCTTATTACTATTACCTATTATTAATTCATCCAGTAAATATTTATTTAGGGACTCCGATGCAGCTAGCCCCGCGCTACACCTGCGGCGTAGGAATAAGCAGAAGGGAAACGCTCCCTGTCTTCACAGCAAATCTAACAGGAAATTGTCCTGCTGTTCTGTGTTGGGTGCTAGGCAGGGACAGACAGGGGAGTAACAAAGCCAGAGTGGGCAGCTGACCAGACGCAGGCATTCAGGGAGGCTTCCTGAAGTCAGCTGCAAGCCAAGCCCCGACATATGTGCAGGAGTGAGCCAGGTGACGAGGGCGGAGGGAGACTCCAGGACGAGAGGACAGAGCATGCAAAAGCTGGGAGGTCCAAAACTTGCCATCCAGCTAGGAGATAAAGCTGAAACTTGCATTTTATCCTCAAAGGTTCAGAAGTCTTCTTCACTGCCCTCCTTTTCTTGCAGTCAAATGCTACAAAGGAAACAGCAGTCTTCCAAACTGGAGAGGACAACGCATTAGTGGATGGTGAAGTCAATTCAGTGGGTCACGACCTGCATTTTTCAAAAGGAAAGAACAGAACAGAATAGAAAAGTATCGGAGTATTTCACAGAGAATAAGATAAAGTATTATTTTCTGAAAGATTTATTCAGTTGGCGAGATACACATATATATGCACACACACAATGTGTGAGAGTTCGTGTGTGTTTAAAAGTGTCTGCATGTATGTGTGTTTTGCAATGTAAAGTGTGTTTCTTACTGCAAGTCATGGTCCAAAAAGTTTGACACTCATTGTTCTAAGGTGACTTGACTTGGCGTCTTCTTCAAAGCCCTGTCATTCCCATCTCGCCGACCCCTCCCTGTCCTCTAGGCTTTCTCTTTGGTCTGAGGATAAGCTCTCCAGCTCTCGCATGGGAAGGGGAAGGTGGGGCTGGTGCAGGAGCTCTGGCCTCCCAAACCCTGTTGTAAGCTGCTTGGCACCCCTCCCCCTCCTATAGCCCTCATTCCTCCCCTGGCCATATATAGCAAAGCTAAAAACAGCTGCTGACTTAAAGCATCCGCACATGCCCCAGCCCTGAAAGAGTTATGTGCCTGTTGCGTGGCTGGCTGGCTGTTCCCACCGAGACACTCGCGGACTCTGGACCTCCTAGAGTCCTTAGTGCTTGTTATTTTCTGAGGTTCTTGGTCCTGGGGCCCCTGCGTTGGCCTCAGAGACCCATAAATACCCTGAAACTTCAGGCGTGATGTGAACATACGTGCAAGACTATCTGTGTTTTTCTGGGAGGCATTTTCTCACATAGTCTCAGATTCTCCAAGTCATCTCTGGCTCAAATAAGTTCCAGAACCACTGATGACTTTATTAATCCCACCCCAAAATGTGCACTGGAAGAATCAAGCCCAAAGTTGACTTTTTTCCATAAAGCTAATAAAAATAATAACAGTAAGGCCAAGGTGGGCAGATTGCTGGAGCCAGGAGTTCAAGACCAGCCTGGGCAACATGGTGAAACCCCATCTCTACAAAAAAGAAAAATACAAAAATTAGCTGGACATGGTGGCACATGCCTATAGTCCCAACTACTTGAGAGGCTAAGGTGGGAGGATCGCTTGAGCCCGGGAGGTCGAGGCTGCAGTGAGCCATGATCACGCTACTGCACTCCAGGCTATGCAACAGAATGAGACACTGTGTCAAAAAAAAATAAAATAAATATAATAATAATAAAGATAGTTAATATTTTTGGAGTGCTTACTAAGTCCCAGGCACCATTCCTAGCACTTGAGGTACTTGAGGTATGTTATGTTACTTATTTATTTATTTTTTGAGACGGAATTCCGCTCTTGTCACCCAGGCTGGGGTACAATGGCGCAATCTTGGCTCACTGTAACCTCTGCCTCCTGGATTCAAGCAATTCTCCTGCCTCAGCCTCCTCAGTAGCTGTGACTACAGGCATGTGCCACCATGCCCAGCTAACTTTTTGTTTTAGTAGAGACGGGATTTCACCATTTTGGCCAGGCTAGTCTTGAGCTCCTGACCTCAGGTGATCCCCCTGCCTTGGCCTCCCAAAGTGCTGGGATTACAGGGGTGAGCCACTGCACCCAGCCTGTTGTATTGTTTAAACCTTCACACAACAACCTCATGGAGAAGTAGTTACGGCTCCTGTTTTACATATGAGGAAACTGACATGGAGATCATGCAAGTACCTCACTCAAGGTCGTCCAGCTAATAAGAAGCAGAGATGCAATTTGATAATAATAAGTGATCATTAAACATTTTGTAATATAAATAAGTATTTTAAATAATAAATGGTAAACAATGATACAGACTAGGACATGCTTCATAATTCGTGAGACCCAGTGCAAAATGAAAATGTGGACCCCTTCTTTAAAATCATTAAGAATTTTAAGATGGGGACAACAGAGCATTAACCCAGACGCAGGGCCCTTCTGAGTGCTGGGTCCTACGAGACTGCATGGTTCCAGCACCCATGAAGCTGGCCTTGACAATAGTAATAACTGTGCCTGGCTACTAGTTAATATGCCTTTACTATGTACCAGACTCCGGCTAAAAGTCTTATGGGCACTGTATCACTTGGGTTACCTCATAACCCTCTCATCTACTACCCTAGTGGCTTGTAAACTGTTATAATTGCAATCCCACTATAAGATATGTGTTTTATTCCTTCCCTGGCAGTGAATGCAAAAAAATATGTATTTTACATTGTAATTCTATACCTATACACATCTAAAAAGAATGTAAAATTGAAACAAACCGTCATGGAACAAGATTTCCCTTCCTAGGTGCAATGCTTGCTATTTTCTCTTTTATTCTATTTTGTTGAGAGAATTAAATGAGGCCCTGATCCATGTAAAGCTCTTAGAACAGGGTATGGCATGTGTTAGTGCTTTTATTACTACTACTACTACTATTATTGTTACATGCTGAAAAGTTGAGACTTTATGTTTAATTATGACGATTGGGTCAAAAACCCAAGCTTCTGCGCTCTGGATCCAGTTTTCTTTCTTCTGCTCAAAGCTTATGACTTCAGCTAATTTTAGTCCAATTGACTCTGAACACGGGAGTTACGTGATTTTGCCAGGCTGGAGGACTGAGCAGTAAGTACCTGGTATCACATTCTCTGGGCCTGTGATACATGTTCCTTGCAGAGATAAGCTTGAAGGAACTTAACTTCCATATTTATTTATTTATTTGCATAATAGAATATCTTTTCTGTTGATCAGTTTGTCTATCTTTATGCCAATGTCATGCTGCCTTGGTTACTGTAGCTTTATATTGTCATAAAATCAGAGTAAATTCTTCAACTTTGCTCTTCCTGTTCAAAATTGGATTATTCTGGATCATTTCCATTTTAAAACCAGCTTCTTCAGCCTGGGCAACAGAGTGAGACCCTGTCTCAAAAACAAAAACAAAACAAAACAAACAAAGAAAAGAAAACCAGCCTCTTGATTTCTGAAAAAGGCCTGCTGGGATTTTGATGAAGACTGTATTAAATCTATAGATCAGTTTGAGAGAATGGACATCTTATTAGCAGTGAGGCTTCCAACCCGTGAACATGGTATATATCCCTATTTGTTTAGGTTTTCTTTAATTTCACGCAGCAATGTTTTAGAGAATTCAATGTCTTACACATCTTTTGTTAATTTTATCCCTAGATATTTTATTTTCTGTGCTATTGTAAACGGCATTTAACATTTTATTTTTTCAATTGTTCACTGCTAGTTTATAGAAATACAACTATTTTTGTATATTGACTTTGAATTCTTTTACCTTGCTCAGTTAATTTCTTAGTTCTAGTGGATCTTTTTGTTTTTGTTTTTCAGGTGAAAAGGAATCTCTTTTAACTTAAAATAGTTTGACTGTTATTGAAAATCAAGTGTAGAGGCCCTGAGAGAATCTGATATTACTAAAGGAAGACATGTGATATTTAAGCAACTGAGACTTAGAGTAGGCAGATCTGGGTTCAAATCCCAGCTGTGCCGGTTCTTAACCATATGAACCTGGGTGCACCATGTAACCTCCCTGAGCTTCTGTTTCCTTTTTTCCTTTAGGGATGTGTTAAAATCGCCCTCAGAATATGGTCGAGACAATGAAACAAGACAATGAAGCACTGAGCATCATGCCTGGCACATAGGAAATGCCAAAATATATATTCCCGTATTTCCTTCACATTCCAAAGGGTGAATTAATTCAGGATGGCCTGAACCATAGCTGTCACTGTCTTCGGGAGGATATTTGAGGACAAAAACGAGTTTTTGACTTTGGAACAGTAAATAAGACAAGACTTTGATTCGCTTAGTTCTGCCTTGAGTCCTGCCAGTGTAGATGGAATCCATGCCAGACATGATTCCATTTCGAATGTAGAATCAGCATAATTTAACCTCATCTTGGAAATCTCATGTCCCAGTTCACAGCCAGGCATCAGCGTGACAGTCAGCTGAGCTGCTGTCTTGGCAGCTTCTGGGCATTCTATGGAGACCCCAGGAGAGCACAGCAGACCCTTAGCAGAACAGAAAAGCGGACCGTATTAGTCTTTCCTGTCCACGGCCTTGTTTTCAGTGATTCATGTGCCCGATTGGCCAAATCTCTGCAGACGTGCCCCTGTCCGAGGCCAGGCTTCTGGGATTCATCGAGCTTGCTTGTTTCCGGGACCTGCTAATTCCGTGCCCAGCAGCTGTTCCCCGGAGCAGGCCCTGCCCTCCACACCCTCATGAGGAATGCCGAGTCTCATTTTCTGAGGGCCCTGGTTGAGGGTGGGGTGTGGGGCGAGGGGGACAGGGTTGCTTCCTGCCATAGACTTCCTGCCTTGGAGGGTTATCCTTGTTCTCACCTATCCCTTCCCGAGCTGAAGCCACAGAGTAGGAGAGAAGTTAGGGCTGGCACACCTCCCTCCCGTGTAACTTTCACTCCCTGCTTAAAGGGAACTGATGAGAGTTGCCTGGCACAGATCTGTGCCTGGCAGAATCCACAGAGCAGCCCAGGTGTGCTAGGAACTCCAGAGTGACCCCTGCTCCAGGCCAGGAATGAGCACCTTGTGCCTGGAGGTCTTCCTGCCACTGCTGGCTGCCCATTGCTGTGGATGGGGTAGAGCTGGAGTCACACATGGAGGCTGGACAGCTGCATGCAGCCTGCAGGGGACACTCTGGATGGCATGTACCATGTTTTTATTATTTCTATTTTTAATTAAATTGGAATCCTTTATGGATACCTTTTTTTTCTTTTTCTTTTTTTTAACAGGGTCTTGCTCTGTCACCCAGGCTGGAGTGCAATGGTACAATCACGGCTCACTGCAGCCTCGACCTCCTGGGCTCAAGTGATCCTCCCACCCCAGCCTGCAAGTACCTAGGATTACAGGCACACATCACCATGCCTGGCTAATTTTTTTGTAGAGACGGGGTTTCTCCATGTTGCCCTGGCTGGTCTCAAACTTCTGAGCCCGAGCCATCCTCCTGCCTCAGCTTCCCAAATTGCTGGGATTATAGGCATGAGTCACTGTGCCCGGCCTATGGCTACCTTTTAACAAAGTGATCAAATTTAACATCATCAGTGACAGACAAACCTACAGTATGTACCCTTGATGGGATGTACAGAGAAGGCCAGCGCTTTAAGAGGCCAAGGCAGGAGGATTGCTTGAGCCCAGGAGTTCAAGACCAGCCTGGGCAACACAGTGAGACCCTATCTCTAAAAAAAAAAAAAAAAAAAAAAGACAGATAGGATCTGACCCATTTGATGAGATTCTTTTAGCTCTTGTGTTGAGAAAAGGCTGTTTTGGGAAAATAGGTATTAGGTGAGGGGAGGTGGCATGGAGACCTGGTAGTGAGTTTATTACATTATGACTGGTGAGAAGATGGTGGTTTGCACCACTACCTTGTAGTAGCAGAGGTGGTGAGAAGACACATTTTGAAGCAAAACTTATAGACTGGATAGGATTGAGAGAAAGAGGAGTTAAAGATGGTCCCAAGGCTTTTGCCTGAACCATGGAAGGATGGTGTTGCCATGAACTGAGATGGGGTGAGGGTTTGAGGAGGAAGGGTCAGGAGTTCAGTACTGGACACCATGGGTGAGAGATGCCTGTTGGAAGTGTCCATGGGCATTGGGTTTCTGGGCAGGCCTGTGCACAGGTAGGTGGGTCTCCTTTTAGACCCTCTCCCCTTGACCTTTCTTGCCTTCTGCACACACAATCATTTCTGCTCTCCAAGGCCCTTAGGGTTGCTGAGCTGACCCAAGGCCTGGAAATGGGCCTTTTCCCCAGGCCACAGGCTCCAGGGCTGTCAGCACCCAGGAGATGCCTCCTGGTTAATCCCCTGCTTCTGGGGGTGAGCCACGGGGCATCATCTGGGGCAGCAGCCTCTGGATGTAGGGGTGGTGGAGCCTTGCGGGCTCAGGGACTTGTCATCCACCCGCTGCAACCTGACCCTGCTCCTGGGAGCTGGTCCCAAATGCCGCCAGCTCCTCCGCTTCGGGTTGTCTGTTGGTGATCCCAGGAAACCAGAGACTATGGAGATTTGATGGACAGCGGCATTTGGAAGCCATGGGAAGGGACTTTGGTGCCAGCCTTGCAGGCGAGCCAGAGAGCAAGGCCTTGGGATTGTTACGGGAAAAATGTAACGCAGTCTAAATGCTCACCGAAGGGACTGTTAATTTATGAGACCATGCGATGAAGTACAACAGGACTTTAAAAAGACAGAGGTGGACCCACCTATATTCATACAGAAAGAAATCTAAGCCATTATAAGTGAACAAAAGCCATTTGGCAAATATTTATTGAGTGCCTGCTAGGTGCTAGGTAGTGTTCTCAGAGATGGGGTCAGTGGCAGACTGGTGAACAGCTAATCTTTTAGTCTATTTGTGATCAGTATACAGTTGCAAATTGGCAGGAAAAGGCCTAGAAGGATCTAAATCATTAACAGAAGTTACCCTGGGGAGACCGGACAAAGGTGTTTTCTTTTATATACTCTTCTCTTGTTTGGATTTTTTTTGCAATGAGCATATGACTTTTAAAATTTTGTTTTCTTTTTTTTTAATTTGAGACAGGGTCTCACTCTGTTACCCAGACTGGAGTGCAGGAGGGATCTTGGCCCACCGCAACCTCCACCCCTGCACGGGGGGCTCAAGCAATCCTCCCATGTCAGCCTCCTGAGTAGCTGGGACCACAGACGTGCACCACCACAACCGGCTACTTTTTTGTAGTTTCAGTAGAGACAGGGGTTGACCAGGCTGGTCTTGAACTCCTGAGCTCAAGAGATCCACCCACCTCAGCTTCCCAAAGTGCTGGGATTACAGCCCTGAGCCACCACACCTGGCTTACTGCAACCTCCGCTTCTTGGGTTCAAGCGATTCTCCTGCCTCAGCCTCCCGAGTAGCTGGGATTACAGGCAAGCGCCACCACACCTGGCTAATTTTTGTATTTTTAGTAGAGACGGGGTTTCACCATGTTGGACAGGCTGGTCGCGAACTCCTGACCTCAAGTGATCTGCCTGCCTTGGCCTCCCAAAGTGCTGGGATTGCAGGCGTGAGCCACTGCACCTGGCCCAACTTTTGCAATTTTTAAAAAGTGCTTCCTCCATACAAACAGTATTTACATGTAGACGTAATAAGGAGCCCTCAGGATGCAAAAAGGGTTGGGGGTGGGGGTGTCTAAGCACAGTTTTCCAGAATGTAGCCTCAGAATCCTGGATGGCCTCCCTTTGTTTCTCCCTACTCTGGGTACTCAGCTTTTCAATGCAAGGCAGCATTGAAAGAGCAATTGAGGCAAGGGACCTGTTCTTCAGTCCCAGCTGAGCTACTCCTGGGCTGTGTGGCCTTGGGCAGGTCCCTCTACCTCTCTGAGCCTAAGCTTCCTTCCCCGTATAATGAAGGAATAAGACTACACTTACCCATGAAGGTAAGCAGATTTTCTCACGCACAACACTGGCTAATTGGGTGTGGCTACCTGCGGAAGTGGTGAGTGGGGACTGTAGGCTATAGTGCTACTCAGCCTCATGACCCATTAGCAATGTCAGTTGTGGACACAGGATGGGGAATAAGTGGCCTATGTGATGGATTACTTATGGGCTTGGACTAGAAGATCTTATCATCGTCTGATGAATTGTTTGTTTGTTTGTTTGTTTTGAGTCGGAGTCTCTCTCAGTCGCCCAGGCTGGAGTGCAGTGGTACGATCTCGGCTAACTGCAACCTCCGTCTCCTGGGTTCAAGCAATTCTCTGCCTCAGCCTCCTGAGTAGCTGGGATTACAGGCATGCGCCACCACGCCAGGCTAATTTTTGTGTTTTTAGTAGAGACAGGATTTTGCCATGTTGGCCAGGATGGTCTTGAACTCCTGACCTCGTGACCCACCCACCTTGGCCTCCCAAAGTGCTAGGATTACAGGTGTAAGCCACAGCACCCAGCCTTTGTTTGTTTGTTGTATGGATAAAATTAACTTATTAGGACAATGGTATTATCGTAGAGGAAGAGTTTAATAAATGTAGGGCTAGTCAAGTGGGAAGATGGGGGTTTATTATTTAAATTTATGTCTCTGAAAGTTTGGAAGGTAGCATTTTTTAAGGATAGTTTGGCGGGCAGGGGGCTAGGGAGAGGGAAATGTTGATTGGTTGGATTGGGGATGAAATTATAGGAAGTCGAAGCTGGCTTTTTTATACTGAGGCAGTTTCGGGGTGGGGGTTATAGGACTGGTTGAATTAGTTTTTTGCTATGAGTCACAGGTCTGGGTAGAATCGTCAGAATGTAAAAGTTCAAAAAATATTTTAAAGGCCAATTTTAGGTTTTGACAGTAGTGATGTTATCTATAGGAGTCGCTGGGGAGGTTACAAGTTCTGTAACCTCTGGCTATATTTCTCTGGAGTCATAATTTTATAAAGGCAGTTTTGGTCACTGAGTAAAGAGGGGGTTAGTTTCAAGAAAGGACTGTTAATTATTTTTGTCTTAAACTATTAACTCAATTTTTGAATAGTTAGTTTGGTCTATGTCCAGGCATGAGTGAAGACAGTTAGCTTGTGAGGTTAGAAGTAAGATGGAGTCAGTTATATCGATTTTTTTTACTGTTAAATATTTTTATGTCAGATTTTTTTCACTGTCATAAGTTTTATAAAAGCGGTTTTAATCTCCAAGCTCCACTCCAGCTGTGACCTTCTCAGGATTGAAATATTCTCACTTGCACCACAGTTGAGGTTGTCTATGGCTGTGTGGCACATTTGCAATAGAAACCTGAGAGCTCATATTAAATATGGGTTATTGAGCTGGGCTTGGTGGCTCCTGTCTGTGATTGCAACACTTTGGGAGGTTGAGACAGGAGGATTGCTTGAGTCCAGGAGTTCAAGAGCAGCCTGGGCAACATAGCGAGACCACATCTCTACAAAAAATAAAATTAGCCAGCATGATGGTATGCACCTGTGGTCCCAGTTACTTGGGAGGCTGAGGTGGGAGGATCACTTTAGCCCAGGAGGTTGAGGCTGCAATGAGCTGTGATTGTGCCACTGCACTCCAGCTTGGATTACAGAGTGAGACTCTGTCTCGAAACGAAACAAAACAAAACAAAACAAAAAATATTTATATATACACACATACAGGTTACTAGAGCCAGCTCCTACTGGCTCATGAGAGCTCAGGAACTTTGCAGTCATGGTGGGGGTATTTACACAGTGGAAACTGACTAATAGTACAAACTGAGGTTGGTTGGTTGGTTTGTCCTAAAGAGCTGGTTTGCTACTATATCCTGACTATTGTACTAATATGAAATGCCCCTTTTTCCTTCTCACCCCAATTTAGGGTGATCAGCCATCTCAATTTGCCTGAAACTGCCCGGTATTAGCACTGAAAGTTCCACATCCCAGGAAACCTCTCAGACATAGGCAAACTGGGATGACTGGTCACCCTACAGTCTTTTCCCATGAAGTGAAAGGAGCCAACCTTTGTTGAGAGCCCGAGATCTCTGCTAGATAAACCATGTAATACAGCAACCTTGCAAAGGAAACTTGCTATGCTCACTTTACTGAGAGGAGACAGACTCAAAGAGACCTTATTCAAAGCCTGTGCTTATTAATGCATTTGACAGTATCTGTTGAATGTCTTCCATGTGTGAGTCCCTGCATGGAGTGCTGGGGATGCTGTGGTGGGCGAGTCAGACCTGTCCCTGCCCCCAAGTGCATGTATCTTAACAGCAGAGACCGGCATCTAACAATTACTTAAATACAAAATGTGATACATATTTTGAAGGAAAAATAGAAGAATTTATGAACTGATAACAGGGAAACCTGGTCTGGTCTGATAATCAGAGAAGGCGTCCTTGAGGAAGTGATGTTTGAGCTGAGATATGCAGGATGAATAGAGGTAAACTGGGTGACAGGGGAGGCCGCACAGGCAGGCAGAAGGGACAGCAAATGCAAAGGCTTGGAGGTGGGACCTGAGCATGCTGTGTTCCAGAAAAGGCTGGAGCACAGACTCAGAGAGAGAGAGTGGGGTGGACGAGGCTGGAGAGATTGGCAAAGCCCAGATCATGAGGGTTTTGTGGGTCACAGTGAGGAGCTTGAACTTCATCCTTCTAGTAGATTCTAGGCTACCCCTTCAGACACTCCTTAGGACCAGGGACACATTCCCCGAGCTGCCAGGAGTGTTAGCAGCTGACAGATCCTGGCTGGGTATTTCTCTCCAACAAAGGGAGCTGCCTCCTTCACATCTAATGACTGTAATGACCTGGCCCCCTTGCTTTGATTTTGGGCAACGCTGAAGGGCTATACCAGCTTAAATCCCCCTGGGATCAGTTGAATATTCTGTTGCAGATGTTCAGCTTCCTCCACTGCCAAATCCTGCTTCCTTCCTTACACGTGCTCTTCCTGAGAGCACTCCCCGCTAAATCTCCCACACATCATCTCAGCTTCAGAATCTTTTCCCTAGGGATCCTGACCTGAGACACTCCTCAAGGCACTGGGAAGTTACTGCAGGGTTTTGAGATGGGGAGTAACCTGCTGAGAGTTGCATCTTATGAAGAAGATGAGTGGCAGCAGCAAAGGGTCAACTGAAGTGGGGGGCAGGGAGGATACTACTGTCATCATCGAGGGAGAAAAGGATGTGGCTTGGACTAGACAGATAGGGTGGAGACCAAGAGAATTAAGGAGTATCGCAGTGCGTCATCATGAGAGTCATTTAAATTCTTAGTTTCAGTTTTTCCAATTGTAACATCGAAATGATGATGCCTGTATCTGTTAGGATACTTTCTTATCTATTCATTTTAACAATATATTGAGCAAAATTAAAGAGATATTCAGAGTCAGGTCTATCTGAAGACCATGTGATTTCCATTATTCTTTGCTACCTCCAAAGCTGTCTTAGCCCTGGCTTACTTTCTCTGGGATGCTGGGTCCATAGTCTTTATCAAGGTGGGTTAGAGCCAAGCTATGAGTCCCTTATAATCAGGAGCATCTGTGTGGTGTCTGTGGCATGGGCATGTGTGCTGACCACAGTGAGCATTTCTGGTTCACCTGGTCTGATCTTGGTATGCTTGGACAAGAGCCATTAACCCCTGGACTCTCTGATGCTCACTCTGTATCTGCCATGCTCCATCTTAAACACTGTCTGAAATTTGTTGATGACACTTCTATGGGCCACCCAAAGATCTTATGCCAACATCTGGTACTATGTGAGAGGACTTGGAGAAGGATCAGCGATGGCTGGTAGACAAAACAGGCAAGATAAAGACAAGAGAGCTGCCATGGGAAGTAAGAAGTGATAAATGTCTTGGGCAATGAGAATTTGGAGGAAGGAAGGTGGTTCCCTGAAGGAGGTGGTTTGAAACTGGGCTATGAAGGATTTGGGAAGACAAGGCTGAGAAAGTGACTTGGAACCAGGTCATGAAGGAACTGGACTATCAGGTAAGGACTTCTATAGGCAATGGGGACTCCTAGAAAGGAGCTAGTCCTCGTTCCTTCTCTCCATCTCTGTTCAGTTCTCCAGTGTGTTAGTCTGCTTTCTGTTACTTATAACAGAATACCTGAAACTGTGTAGTTTATAAGAAACAAAATGTATTTCCTAGAGTTCTGGAGGCTAGGCAGTCCAAGGTCAAGGGGTCATATCAGGAGTGGCATTCTTACTGGTGGAGACTCTCTGCAGAGTCCCAAGGTGGCACAGGGTGTCATGTGATGAGAGGGCCGAGTGTGCTAGCTCAGATCTCTCTTCCTCTTCTTATAAAGCCACCAGCCCCACTCCCATAACCAATTAAACCATGAATCCATGAGTGGATTAATCACCTCTTAAAGGCCCCACCTCTCAATACTGCCACATTGGGGATTAAGTTTCAATTTGAGCTTTTTAGGGGGACAAACATTAAACCGTAGCACCGAGGCACACTGATCTTCCAACCTCAGATAGTTCCCTGGAAATAGGAAGGTGTCACTGGCCAGATGGGATGGTGTTCTCAGTGTCCATTCTGTATTTGGAGGCAGAATCCTGGTCTGGCCCATATGTCTCTTTGATGTCTCAAACTGGATTCTGGATCTCCCAGCTTTTCCTTGGTGTCTTAGTCAATTTTGTGTTGCTGTAAAAGAATACCTGAGGGCCAGGCGTGGTGGCTCATGCCTGTAATCCCAGCACTTTGGGAGGCCAAGGCAGGCGGATCATGAGGTCAGGAGTTCGAGACTAGCCTGGCCAATACAGTGAAAAACCCCGTCTCTACTAAAACTACAAAAAATTAGCTGGGCATGGTGGCAGGAACCTGTAGTCCCAGCTACTTGGGAGGCTGAGGCAGGAGAATTGCTTAAACCCAGGAGGCGGTGGTTGCAGTGAGCCAAGATCACACTACTGCACTCCAGCCTGGGCAACAGAGAAAGACTCTATCTCAAAAAAAAAAAAAAAAAAAAATACCCAAGGCCAGGTAATTTACAAAGAAAAAAGGTTTATTTGATTAACGATTCTGGTGGCTGGAAAGTTCAAGGTGGAGCATCTACCTCTGATAAGGGCCTCAGGCTGCTTCCACTCATGGCAGAAGGTGAAGGGGAGCTGGTGTGTGCAGAGATCACATGGCAAGAGTGGAAGCAAGAGTGAGAGTGAAAAGGTGCCAGGCTCTTTGTAACAACCAGCTCTTGTGGGAATTAACAGAGCAGAAACTCACTCACCCCCAAGGGAGGGCATTAATCTATTCATGAGGGATCTGCCCCCATGACCCAAACACCTCCCATTAGTCCCCACCTCCAACACTGAGGATAACATTTCAACATGAAGTTTGGAGGGGACAAACATCTGAACCATAGCACTTGCATTTCCGAAATGGTCACGCTTTCTTCAGAGCTGAGATTTGGGTGAGAATTTTGGAACTTTTAACTTGTAAGGGAAGTTCTCATATTCTTAGAGGTGAAAGCACTAGTCAGGACGCTTGGCTGTGATTGCCAACAACTGCCACATTGTGTTAATATGAGCAAGTCATTAAAATTCTTAGTTTCGGCTTTTCCAACTGTAAAATCAAAATGATGTTACCTGTATCCATTAAGATACTCTTTTGTCTGCAGGTCAAGGAAAACCCTAACTCCAAATGACTTAAACCAGAACTTTCTAATGGAAGTATAATATGAACTATGTATGTAACTTAAAAATTTTTAGTAGCCATATTTAAAAAGGTGAAACCAATTTTAATAATACATTTTATTTAACTCATTATCCACAATATTTTTTTTGTGTGTAAACAATATACAATCATTAATGAGATATTTTCCATTCTTTTTGTGTGAATTTTTAAAAATTCTGGAATATTCAAAATCTGAGTATTCCAGAGCACAAACATGCTTTCTTACAAACAACTTACAAACCGGGCAGAAAATTGGAGCTGGTCTCATTTTCTTCCTGAGCTCTCTCTGTCTTCTGTGTGGCTCCTTTTCATCTTTCCAGTTAATCCTTTCTGGGCAAAGACTCTGACCTGTCAAAAATCTAGGGTTTATTGAACACTTACTATATCCTAGGCACTGAGCTAGCTGCCTCACACACAGTTTATTTAATCTTCAACCCACCCTCCCCACTCCCTGCCACTCAAGACCTGGGGCATCACCTCTCATCTGGACTGCTGCCATGGCTGCATTTATTTCTGTGATTGGTTAATTATATTTAGTCTATCCCTGGCACAAGACTCTGAGCCCCTTGCTGGCAGCGATCATGTCCACTTAGTTCACGGCTGTATCCCAGCACCTAGCTAGAAGAATGCATGGTCTTCATCTAGCTTGTCAAATGCAAAGGGTTGTATGAACAACCAGATGAAGAAGGTATCATGATTTCCATTTTACAGAATGACAAACTGAGGCTCCGCAGGCTTAAATAGTTTATGCATGTCTTAGAACTATTCAACGTCAGAGTTTAGACTTAAATCCCTGTTATTCTATACTCACCAGAAGAGCAACTGCAAGGAGAAGGCTATATTTAGGTTTTATTAATTTCGGGAGTCCTATCGGGGGGACAGGACCGTATTTTTGCCATGGTTATGGCCTTCACCAGCATTTTACATGTACACCAATAACTCCCAGGGCTTGAACTGCTGAATCTGGACCTGAACACCCTTGGCAGCCAGTGCTGTCCACTACTGAGCACCTACTGCATGCCGAGTCATGAGGGAAAAAAGATGGGTTTCCTGCCTCTCAAAGGACATAAGAGTGTCATTCAGGAAAAGACTTGAAAATTCATCGGATGCTTACCGAGGATTTCCTTGGGCCTGGGAACTGTGCTAGATGCCAGGAGCTTAGCATCTTAGCAAGAATAAGGTAGACAAAGCTTCCTCCCTCTTGGAAGGCAAAGACAAGCAGGGGAGGCTTCTGGTGAACAAATGGTCATGATAATTATTCAATGGCACCTGTGGAAAGTGCTAAGAAAAATGGATGACATGATAACATGTGGCTGTTTCCAGCAGCACTCAGGGAATGGGGCTCAAGAAATCTTCCTGGATGAAATCACGTTTAAGCCAAAGCTAGAACTGTCAATAGAAGTTGGCCAGGGGAAGAGGGAAGAGAAGAGCATGTGAAGAAATGGGGAAAGCTTGTGCAAAGGCCCCAAGGTGGGAAGGCGAGTGTGAGTGGTGAGCAGTCCAAGATGAGGCAGGGGAGGTGGCAGGGGCGGCCCCTGCCAGGTTTTGTGGGCTGTTGGGGATCTCCCCCGTTTCCTTTGGGACAGTGGGAAGCCCTGCAGGGTTTACAAAGCTCAGTGAGGAGGCAGTCCAAAGGGTATCGGAGGAGGCCCTTCCTTCTGCAGACGGCCCCTCTCAGCCAGATGGCCATGGGCAGCGGCCTCCCTCTCTCCCTCTGTGGATGCATTCTTCCTGTCTCCAGGGAGAACTGTCCTGTCTTGGAGGGAGTTGGAGTGGGGGTGGCCTCAGGAGTCGGTTTTTCCCCTTCCCAGGGCCCTGTCACTCCCAGCCTCCCCTGGGTGTCTGTGCCTCTTGCCACTTGCTTGTAAGTTTCCTAATATAGCCTGACTGTTTCCTTCCCAACTGGTGGCCAAGAGCTGCTCTCCTGTTGCAATCTCAGTTTTTCTTGGGCTTAAAGGGACTACATCAGCCCATCTCATGCCAAACTGAAGCTAAAGGTAGGTTGGTTGATTTAATTTCATAAAGTTGTCCAACCCAGAGATTAGATGTCTTGTCTCTTTCTCCCAGTTTACCATCTTCTCTGCTCTCTGCCTGTTCACTTTTCCCTTTCATTTTTAAAAATTTCTTCTGAGAAGTAGAGGAGCATAGCCAGACACGGATGTGAGTTTGGCTCTGGCATATTTATTAGCTGTGTCATCTTGGATGAGTCCTTTGTCCTTGATGGGCCTTAGTTTTTTCTGATCTGTAAAACAGGAACCATAAAATACCTCCCCGGAGCTGTCATTTCCACAGAGCTGTTTGCAGATGGACAAAACAGAAAGAAGAGAATAAACAGTTACGGAATGCCTGCTGTTCATTCATGCATTCATTCATCCAACACATATTTACTGAGTACCTATTTGGCACAGTTCGAGGCACTGAGGATACCACAGTGAACAAAAAAAGAAAAGAATCCTTGCCTTTAAGGAGCTCGCATGCCAGTGAGGGGGGATGGTCAATAACACAAGAAAAAGCAAAATGTATGTTGCACTAGATATGCTCTAGGAAAAATAAAGCAAGGAAGGGAGATAGAAGACCTTGGGCACGGGTTGAATCGTAAGTAGGGTGGCCACGGGTGGCTTCACTGAGAAGATGACATTTGAGTAAAGGCTTGAAGACGGCAAGAGGGTGAGCCATGTAGGTATCTGGAGGAAGGGCATTACAGGTAGAGGGAACAGCAATACCAAGGCCCTGAGGTGGTTCCATGGCCCCTGTGCAGCAGCAAAGCAGTCTTCGTGGCTAGAGTGCAGTGAGGGAAAGGGGAGGATGGCGGGAGAGGAGCACAGAGGAGTGAATGGGGATGAGGTCAGGTAGGGCCTGTGGGTCACTAAGGACTTCAGCTTTTCTTCTGAGTGAGAAGGGTCAGTGCAGTGTCGTAATCTGACTTAACACATGTGAACAAAATCCCTCTGATTGCTGTGTTAGGGATGGATAGAGGGGCAAGAGTGGAATCAGGAGACCAGTATGGCAGTCACTATGAAAATCCAGGTGAGAGAGAACGGTGGCACAGACCACTCTCTAGTCGAAGTGGAGGTGGTGAGAAGCGGCTGGATTCTGGATCCATTTGGAAAGTAGAGCTGATGACTTTCCTGATAGATATTTGCAGAATGCTATGCTGGGTTGTTTTTTTTGTTTTTTTTTTTCCTGAAAAGCTTCTTTACAATTTATTTATTTACATTACAAAAACCAACTGTATCAAGGTGTAATTTCCATATGATAAAATGCATTTGAAATGTACAGGTGTGACAGATGTACACGCTTGTGTAAACCATCAGCACAATTCAAATGCAGAACATTTGGCTGGGCGCAGTAGCTCACACCTGCAATCCCAACACTTTGGGAGGCAAGGTGGGTGGATCACCTGAGGTCAGGAGTTTGAGACCAGCCTGGCCAACATGATGAAACCCCATCTCTACTAAAAATGCAAAAATTAGCTGGGGGTGGTGGCACACACCTGTAATCCCAGCTACTCAGAAGGCTGAGGCAGGAGAATCGCTTGAACCCAGGAGGCGGAGGTTGCAGCGAGCCAAGATTGCAACATTGCACTCCAGCCTGGGTGACAAGAGCAAAACTCCATCCCCCGACCTCCAAAAAAAAAAAAAAAAAAGGTGCAGAACATTTCCATCAACTCAGGAAGTTTCCCTGTGCCCTTTTGCATTCTATTCCTTCCACACCCAGCCCCTGGCAACCACAGATCCACTTTCTGGCACTATAGGTTTGTTTGTTTGTTTGTTTGTTTGTTTGTTTGTTTGTTTGTTTGTTTTTTGAGGCTTTCATGTAACTGGAGTCACACAGCTTTCATCTCTAGCTTTGTTCACTTAGCATGTTTTGGAGACCCATTCATGTGTTGTGTGTAACAGCAGCCTGCTCTCTTTTCTTGCACTTTTCTAGCACTTCTCTTTTCTAGCACACTCTCTTTTCTAGCACTTCACTGTGTTAGTTTATCCATGTACCAGCTGACTGACATTTGAATTGTTTCCATTTTTTGTTGTCTTATTTTTAATCCTCAAAAGACCCCTGGAAAGTGGGTATTACTTTTCCATTTTCCAGACAAAAAAACTAAGATCAAAAGAAGGAACTTGCCCAAGGTTCCCCAGCTTAGATGATATTTGAAGCCAGGATGACTCCACATTCCATTCTGTCCTCAGCCTCCATCCAATGGGATCACATGTGAATGAGCTTGGGAAATGCGACCTGTTGGTTTCCCATCTATCCAACTTCCCATTTTTCATCAGCTATACCACATTCCCATTTCTCTGTTCATTGCACCTGTCATACAATCCCATTTTCCACTTCCTTAGCTTAAGTTGGATCTTAGTTCAAATCCCAGTTCTGCTCCTTTCTCACTGTGTGACTTTGGGCAAGTCACATAACTTCTCTGAACATCAACCTACCTATGAAATAGAGGTCATATTTGCATCTTCCTCTATGAGATCATGCCCAATGCTTTCTTCTCCATTTCTGTCTCTCTCCATTTCTCTTTAGCCCTTTTATTGCTGATATTCCATGATCCTTGGTTTTTTGAGGCTGGTCATTGAAGGGAACAGAGCCCAGGTGTCTCTCCCTCCTGGCTGTTCTTTCTTGCTGTCCAGAGGGGCTGGAAGCACTAGGGACCTTTTCCAACAGAATAAACAGGAATTGATGGTGGTAAAGCCCAAGGATCAGTTGTTTTCTTTTAAAGTTTCACTGGTGCTTCTAATGCACACCAGGATTAAGAGCCATGGGCTCGCAGCATACACTCTGGCATCAGACAGGCTTAGGCTTGGATCCCATTTCCTTGGTCAAATTGCTTAACCTCTCAGATCACCAGCATCCTCCTGGAAATTCGCATTATCATGGGACTCACCTCACAGGACTGTTGAGAGGTTTAGTGAGCCCCTGGCATTGTACATGATCCTTAATGGGGGTTCTTGATCCTTAATGGGGGCTCTTCATGCAGAAGAGGTAGGATGGGGTAGAAGTGGGATCCTGAGCTCAATGTGCTGGGAGGGACCAGGCAGTGTGGAAGCATCTAGATGTGCCCTCCTTCGCCTCCAAAGTTACAGTGCACCAATTCCTAGAAGCTCAGCATCTCAGAGTTAGATCAAGCCTTGGAGAGCTCTTCACCCAACACATCATTGACAGGCAGACAATGGAGGTGTTAAGAAAAGGAATTGCCAAGGTCACCCAATGAGATGGAATTTTTGAACAGGTTTAGTCAGTCAGCCATTTTGCAGATATTAACGGAGCACCTCTGTGTACCAGGCACTGTTCCAGGTTCTGGAATCCATCCAAGAACAAAATAGAAAAGATCCCTGCCCTCATGGAGCTTCCATTTTAGCAGAGGGAGAAAAGCAATTAATGTAATAAATAAGTCATATGGTATGTTAGAAGGTGATACGTGCTATGGGAAAAATAAGGAAAAGTAGATAAGTGAGCAGGGTGGTGGGGGTGCAGGCAGATTGCAATTTTGGAAAAAATTTTGTGGGTTCATAATGGATGTATATATTAAATATTTATGGGGTATATGAGATGTTTTGATAAAGGCACGCAATGTGAAATAAGCAGATTGCAGTTTTAAACAGGGTGGTGTATTCATCAGCGTTCTCTAGAGGGACAGATCTAATAGGATGTGTGTGTGTGTGTGTGTGTGTGTGTGTGTGTGTGTATATATATATATATATATATATATATATATATATATATATATGGAAGTTTATTAAGGAGTATTAACTCACACGATCACAGGGTCCCACAATGGGCTGTCCACAAGCTGAGCAGCAAGGAAGCCAGTCCGAGTCCCAAAGCTGAAGAACTTGGAGTCTGATGTTCGAGGGCAGGAAGCATCCAGCAGCATGGGAGGAAGATGTAGGCTGGGAGGCTAAGCCAGTCTAGGCTTTTCACATTTTTCTGCCTGCTTTATATTTGCTGGCAGCTGCTTAGAAGGTGCCCATCCAGATTAAGGGTGAGTCCACCTTCCCCAGCCCACTGACTCAAATGTTAATCTCCTTTGGCAACACCCTCACAGATACACCCAGGATCGATACTTTGCATCCTTCAATCCAATCAAGCTAATACTCAGTATTAACCATCACAGGGGGTCAGAGTAGGTCTCATTGAGCAAAGACTTGAAGGATATCTGGAGGAAAAGAGTTCCAGGAAGAGGGAAGAGCAGTGCAACAGCAGATCTGCTGGGGTGAGTTTAGGAGTCCCATCCTTGGTTGTCTACTCAGCCATCTTGCTCCTGGACATTTATTAGCAGGAAGACCTTTTGGTTTTTGTTAACTAGGGAGAATGTATCAGCTTGTGTTTAAAACAAAGAAGCCTCAGAATTTCTGCCTTCGGTGCAGTGAACGTTATGTATCAGGTACCGTTCTACATGGTGGAGGTACAAAGACGAAGGCAGAGAACTGCCTTTCAGCAGCACTGCTGTGGGAAAGAAAGACCAGGACTGTGGCCCAGGTGTGTGTGTGGGGTGAGTGAGGGCAGATGTGAGCTGGAGGTGGCTGTGTACCATCTGAGGGAACACAAATTTCCAAGGTGACATCTGGAGCTACCGAAGGGAGAGGGAGGGGTTGGGGATATATTTGGGGAGGTCAGCAGGACATAAATGGCAGTTTAAAAACACTAGATGTGCAGTCATCTAGAGAGAATAGGAGAAGGTTTTTGGATGAGCCCTGGGGAGAACTACATGTCAGGATGGGGGTGAAGGATGAAGTTATTTTGGCAGCTGTGTATCAGCTTGTCATACAACTCAGGTGACCTCACACGTGAGCACAACTTTGTAGAATCACAGTATCACACACATATCTTTGCTTTCAGAGTTTTTCGGAGACATTAACTCATTTAAACCTCAAAAAAAAACCCTAGGAGGTAAGAGGCAGTTATTACCTCTGGCAGATAAGGAAGCTAAGGTACAGGGAGGTTAAGTCAGTTGCCCAAGGTCACACAGCTAGTAAGGGCAGAGGCAGGATCTGGACCCAGGGAGCCTGGCTCTGGAGTTTGTGCTCTGAACCACTACTCCCTGCTGCCTCTCCACACACATAAGACTTGGATGGCTGCTAACATAAGGCATCTTAATCCCAGGAGCTCATGGACTTGTGTACATGCAGGGCCTAAGTTGCCGACACCTTGTACACACCACTAGCCTTCCTCCATATGGTTTCATACGGTCTCAGTGTCTCGGTTTCACTGATGCCCATCACCTCACACACTCAGCCTGGAGTGCTACATATTACTTTGTTCTTTGGCACTCTGATAGCCTTGCACACTCAGAACCTCATACACATCCATAATGTCAACTCCGTGAGATCTCAGGCACTCACCCCACTGTGCACACACTACCCTGCACACTCATGATTTGTGTGTGTGTGTGTATGTGTGACAGGGTCTCAGTCTGTAGCCCAGGCTGGAGTGCAGTGGCACAATCATGGCTCACTGCAGCCTCGACCTCCCGGGCTCAGGTGATCCTCCCACCTCAGCCTCTCTAGTAGCTGGGACCACAGGTGCATGCCACCACGCCTGACTAATTTTTTTGTAGAGAGAGGTTTCACCATGTTGCCCAGGTTGGTCTTGAACTCCTGAGCTCAAGCGATCCATCCGCCTCCACCTTCCCAAGTGCTGGGATTACAGGCGTGAGCCACCTGCCCCCACCTCATGATCTCATATAGTCAAAAGACACCGATATGCACGCCCACAAGTGTCTTGTACGCACGATCTTGCACAAATACACACACAAGCCCATGCTCTCCAACATTTGCACTACCATGCGAACTCACTAGCTTATCCGTTCACGACTTGTGACCTTGCCATGTTCCCACCAACGTATTCCTACCATCGTGCAAGCTCCTCCTGGCTCACCCACTCGTGTTATTGCACACTCGAGTAGACTCAAACACTCATAGCACTGTGCACCCTGACCCTCAGACGGCCTTGCGCCTCTCGGTCCCACCCCGCCTTGCCCACTCCCGCCCTTGCCCTCCCAGGCCACCGTGCACACGCGGGGACCCGTCGTGCCGCCTACTGACGCGCCCTCTCCTCGCCCGCAGGGACGTACCAAGGCCAGTTCACCAACGGCATGCGCCATGGCTACGGAGTACGCCAGAGCGTGCCCTACGGGATGGCCGTGGTGGTGCGCTCGCCGCTGCGCACGTCGCTGTCGTCCCTGCGCAGCGAGCACAGCAACGGCACGGTGGCCCCGGACTCTCCCGCCTCGCCGGCCTCCGACGGCCCCGCGCTGCCCTCGCCCGCCATCCCGCGTGGCGGCTTCGCGCTCAGCCTCCTGGCCAATGCCGAGGCGGCCGCGCGGGCGCCCAAGGGCGGCGGCCTCTTCCAGCGGGGCGCGCTGCTGGGCAAGCTGCGGCGCGCAGAGTCGCGCACGTCCGTGGGTAGCCAGCGCAGCCGTGTCAGCTTCCTTAAGAGCGACCTCAGCTCGGGCGCCAGCGACGCCGCGTCCACCGCCAGCCTGGGAGAGGCCGCCGAGGGCGCCGACGAGGCCGCACCCTTCGAGGCCGATATCGACGCCACCACCACCGAGACCTACATGGGCGAGTGGAAGAACGACAAACGCTCGGGCTTCGGCGTGAGCGAACGCTCCAGTGGCCTCCGCTACGAGGGCGAGTGGCTGGACAACCTGCGCCACGGCTATGGCTGCACCACGCTGCCCGACGGCCACCGCGAGGAGGGCAAGTACCGCCACAACGTGCTGGTCAAGGACACCAAGCGCCGCATGCTGCAGCTCAAGAGCAACAAGGTCCGCCAGAAAGTGGAGCACAGTGTGGAGGGTGCCCAGCGCGCCGCTGCTATCGCGCGCCAGAAGGCCGAGATTGCCGCCTCCAGGTAGGACAGCGGTGGGGGTGGGAAGGGGTCGCCTCCCCTCGGAGAAGGGGGTCCTGGGGCAGGGCAACCTAGGAGGCCCTGTCTCCAAGCCTGATTCTGCTTCTTTTACCCCCATCACCTTCAGGGGTTAATTGGAGGCTCTTCGGGAGCTGGTGGCTCCTGTTCACTCACCCATCCATCCATCACTCAGTTACACCCAGCCCTTCCACTGACTTAACCCTACCACTCACCCAACCTTTCTAATATCCACCTGAACAGCCATCTCTCCAGTCATCCACTCCATTCCCCTACCCATTCCACTTCCTGTTTACCCACCCAGTCATCCAGTCATCCATCTATCCACACAACCTCGCAGTCAACCACCCAAACATCCATCCAAATCCACCCAATTCCTTCATTGACTAACTTCTCTAACACTCACTGAACAACCCCTCCACCCACACACCCACCTCCAGTCCCACATCACACCTGAACATCCACCTGAACAACAGCCTAACATCTACCTGAACAACCACCCATTCACTCAAAGATTTACTTATCTATTCCATGCAACCTACCCAATTTTTCATCCTTTTACCTACTCAACCAGCTCATCACCCATCCATTCATCGACTCAACCACCCGTCCAACTACCCAGATGCCCATTCAAACATACAGATACCCTTTCAACCACTCACCCGTCCCCTCACCCACCAATCACCTGCATTCACTCAGCTGCTTCCAGCTGCCCAGCCACCCATCTTAACATCCAGCCACGCATCCATTCACTCAAGTACTTCCATTTATCCACCCAGCGACACTTCTGTTCATTAAAACAACATCCACTCCCACCCACCCGCCTGGTCATCCAGCTACCCAGCCAGCCACCTCTATCACTCAACCAAACTTCTATTCATTCAACCTCCCCCACCTATCCATCTACCCATGCGTCCATCCACCCTCCCATCTACTAAACACCCACCCTATCATCTACATTCAAACCCCTTTAAGTCTTCTCATTGTGCTTCAGATAAAGTTCTAATGTTGTCTCCAAACATTTATGGCACCTACTAGGTACAAGGCAATTTTAAGTGGTTCACAAATATGGACTCACTCAGTCCCTTTAACAACCTTATGATAGGTACTGTGTTTATTTCTGTTTTGCAGATGAGCTAAGTGAGGCTCAGAGAGATAAGGTGACTTGTCCAAAATCACTCAGTTAGTGAGTGGCCTTTTCTAATCAGGTTCCCACCCTCCTACCCAGCCTTATTTTTTGTCATTCTTTCCCTGAGCCTGGAGTTTTCTTCCCTCTGTGCTAGTTCTTCCTTCTTTAGTTCCTCCTGCCACAGAGCTTTTGTTCATACTGGTTCCTTTGCCACTCACTTAACCTCTACTCCTCCTTCAGGGCTCAGGTCAAGCCTGACTCCCTTAGAGAGCGGATGAGGTCCACCGGCAGCTGCCGTTCTGTCCTTAGAGCGCGCCACAGGTGCAGCTTTACATGACTTACATGATTTGTTTTTAACCCACCACTTAAATAGGATTCTCTATGTGCCAGTCACTGTTCTGAGGTCTTTACCTATATTAACTCATTTACTCTTACAAGATCCTGAAAAGGTAGATACTGTTCTTATTCTCATTTTGCAAATTTGGGGTGGGGTACAGCAGCAGTGGGGTACCCCTTTCAACCTTTTCAACCCAGCAAAAGTGGGGTACAGGAGCAGGGACAGCAGCAGTGTGGTCTGGCAGGAGGGTGGTAAAAGGCAATCGCCTGTCCTGGGGCTGCAGCAATCCTCCTGAGGATGTAAATGGCCTGGCAGGAGACTGGGCACATGGTCTTCAGAGTTAAGCAGGCCTAGGGCCAAATCCTGGCCTTGCCATTTTTTTAGCTCGTTGATGTGGGCAGATCAGTTGGCCTGTCTGAGTGTCAGTTTCTCCATCTGTGGCACCGCCATTTCTTAGTTGTATGTCCTTGGCCAGATCCATTTTCTTCTCTAATCTCAATGATCTCATCTATAAAGACAAGTTGGTCTAAGGGTTAGGAACGACAGTGCAGGTCAGGTGGCTCACAATCCTATTGTGAGGTGAGTTCCCCAGGAAGCAGACTTAGAGATGAAGATTAACATGCAGGAAATGTACAGGGAGCACCCTCTGGATCAACACTTGTGGGGAAGGGAAGAAGGCCGGACTGGGCGGTGGGAGACATTGGGTTGCAATACAGTCTCAACAAAGCCTCAGCCAACCATAAGGGATGCTCTGCAGTGGAGATGACCTTCAAGGTCATCGCAAGTTGGGATGAGGGAGCTGGATCTTTTATACTCTCCTCATTTGTATGCAGGCTACCCTCCAGAAGGAGGCTTGACTAGGGCTGGACAGCTCTCTTCAGCCAAGGGCAATCCCTGGAGAGGGCTGACAGCTGGCAACTCTCTGAGTAGCTGGGAGTGGGAGAAATAAGTCCTTCAGTCCTGAAGGGGAATCTGGGTAGCCCATCAGAGTCACCACTACAGTGTCGGACACCAGACATGGCTTGAAAAATATGACTAGTCATTGTCATCGTACAATGAATTCATTTTACAGACATGGAAACTGAGGCCCAGGGAATGAATGTAACATGCCCAAGACTACCTGGCAAGCAAGTGGGAGAACCCAAGCATCAGCCTCTAGCTTTCTGATTCAAAAACTTTAGCACATCTTGCTAATGCTAAACTTTGTAAACTTTACACTGCTATAAGTGTGTGAGCCGTTGGCATCACTGAAGGGGACAGAAGGTATGGGTGATTTTCTTAAAACATCTTGGTTAGAGGCAACTATAGTTTGAATGTTTATCCCCTCCAAAACTCATGTCGAAATTTAATTGTCATTGTAACATTAAGACGTGGGAACTTTGGGAGGTGATTAGTTCTGAGACTAATCTTTGAGAGGTGATTAATCCTCATGGGTGGGATTAAATCCCTTATAAAATGGTGAGTTTGACCCCTTTTTGTCTCTTGGCACTCCCGCCTTCTGCTGTGTGAGGATCCAACCTTCCTCCCCTCTGGAGAATGTAGTGTGCGAAGTGCCATTTTGGAGGAAGACAATGGCCTCACCAGAGACTGAACCCACTGGTGCCTTGACCTTGGACTTCCCCTACAAATGACCCGGTCCCAGGTATTCTGTTAAAGTGGCACAGATGGTCTAAGACAGGCAGGACCAGGCTTATGACCAGGTGCTCATATAATTTATTGTCTAAACCTGAACACTTCTGTGAGTAAAAGGGAGCACTTTTTAAAAATAAAACTTTTAGGTGGGAATAATTTTAGATTTACAGAAAAGTTCCAAAAAGAATACAAAGAGTTTCCATACACTCTACCCATTTTCCCCTATTGTTAACTTCTTACGTTATCATAATACATTTGTCAAGACCAACATGGCACACGACTCTTCACTGAACTCCAGACTTTATTTGCATTTCACTAGTTTTTCCATCAATGTCTTCTTCCTGCTTCAGGATTTCCTGAAGGATCATACACTGCATTTAGTTGTCAGATCTCCTTGGTTCCCTTTGGTCTGTGATAGTTTCTGATTCTTTGCTTTTTTTGTGTGTCCTTGACAGTTTTTTTTTTTTTTGAGGCAGGGTCTCACTGTGTTGCCCAGGCTGGAGTGCAGTGGTGCCATCTTGGCTCACTGCAACCTCCATCTCCTGGATTCAAGTGATTCTTGTGCCTCAGTCACCAAAGTAGCTGGGACCACAGGTGTGCGCCACCACACCTGGCTAATTTTTGTATTTTTAATAGAGATGGGGTTTTGCCATATTGGCCAGACTATTCTCGAACTCCTGGACTCAAGTGATCCTCTTGCTTTGGCCTCCCAAAGTGCTCGTATTACAGGTGTGAGCCACCACGCCCAGCCCAACAGTTTTGAGGAGTACTGGTGAGATAGTTTATAGAGTGTCCCTCAATTTGGGTTTGTCTGATATGTTTCTTATAAACTGAGGATGTTAACTTTGATCACTTGGCTAAGGTGGGTCAGCCAGGTTTCTCTGATGTACAGTTACTATTTCCTCTTTTCCCGCTCCATCCTTTGGAATTCAGACACTCAGTGCAGCCCACACTCAAGAGGGAGAAGGGTCTGGAATTCAGGCACACCTTTTGGAGGGGGGAATATCTACCTATATTATTTAAAATTCCTCTGTATGGAAGATTTGCTCCTTCTTCCAAAGGGAACATTTTAAATAATTACACTAAATATATCTGGTTATGACAAGTGTAAGCTCGGACTGTCCTGGAACACCCTGGGCCACTTAGGCAGAGCACAGCAGGAAGGAGCTTAGGTTCTTGATTCAGAAGACCATGAATTGGAACCCCAGCTCTTCTTCTGAAGAGCTGTGTGACCTTGCCCAAGTTGCTTCACCACTCTGACCCTGGGATCCTCTTTCCTCATAGGGTGGTTAGAAGGAGTATGCGAGCTAATGCCTGTAAAATGCCTGGCACAGGGCAGCCAGCATAAAGACAATCATTGCTATGATCTAACAACATTTGATTTTAAAGGTGAGGAAGTGGAAGTCTGGGGAGAAGGAGGGATGCCCCCTTATTTTCCTTGCCCTCCTGGTCCTTCCTGCCAATGCCTGTGCCCCTGCATGTGGAGGTTTTGAGCTCCCACCGAGAAGGCTGCCAGGCCCACAGCCGGGAAGTGAGCCTGGGGACTGAGAAGCTGGGATCCAGCCTCTTGCATGAGGTGCTGCTGTGGGATTGGATTCCTTGTGTGTCTGGGGCAGGAGTCCTGCGTGCCCATGGAGATGTTGCCATGGGTGGAGGTGGCTGCCTGGATGGGTTTCAAGCTCAGACTGAATTTCCAATTAAGGGAATTTTGGGGTCAGGAGGAAAAGCAGGATTGTGGCCATCTTCCGCAGGGACTCTCCCCATCCCTGGGGCTTCATGAGTAATTTGGCTGTGGAGAGACAGAAAGCATCCCCAGCAGCCACAGCCTCTTCACACCCAGGCAGGCCCGGGCTTTCTCTCCATTGTGGCTTCCAGCTCCTCCCTCCGGGCTCATGTGGAATTTGTCAGCCCGGAGGCTACGATCAGGACATCTTTTCTAAGAGAAGGGAGAAAGATGAGACAGCTCTTCCCTGTAAAATGAGCTATGGATTGAAAAAGATTCTAGACCTGGGCTGTCCAGTATGGTAGCCACTTGCCATACATGGCTACTGGGCACTTGGAATGTGGCTGGTCCAAATGGAGATGCGCTGTAAATGTGAAACATCCTGGATTTCAAATACTTAGTATGAAAAGAATGTAAAGTAACCTATTAATCATTTTTAAAATATTGATTACATATTGAAATGGTTACATTTTAGATACATCAGCTTTGACAAAATACATTATTAAAATTAATTGCACTGTTTCTTTTTACTTTTTTGAATGTGGCTACTAGAACATTTAACATTACAATGTGATACATGTTATATTTATTGGACAGTGTTGCTGTAGACCCATTCAGGCCCTCAGAGTAGTCCCAACCCTGTCACTGAGCAGTTGGGGAGACTGAGGTGCAGAAAAGGATACAGATATACTCACAGCCACAAAGCGATCGAGAGGGAACTAGATTTATGTCTTCTGATTTTGTAGCTAAGAACTCTTTTGTGATGCCTTTTAAGGTCATAGATACTGGATTGTGGAGGGAAGCTGGTATGTTTGGGGAGGCGCCTAAAGTTTTCAGGTTGTCATGCCAACACCCTGACAAATGCTTGTTTTCTGGAAGGAGCACAGTGAGTGTTAAGAGTAAGGCTTAGACTCAGCCCCTTGCTTGCTATATCTTTTCTTCCCGCCAGACCTCAAATTTCTAACTTCTAGAAGACGCACCTCAAAGAGTTTTCACAAGGTTGAAGCAGAGCCTCTATACGAAGGGTATATACACACGCCACAGGGCTGACAAGCAGGAAGTAGTCTGTAAGCATCAGCTGCCATTGCTGTTGTCTAGTCTTCCTGCTGTTGTGCCCCCGTGGCAGAGGCAGGGCATGGCCCTGAGTTCTCAGTTGTCCTAGGGTGTGAGGTTTGGAGCATCTCAGGTTTTGTACCAGGGTGGCATCTGTCTGTCTTCTATCCCCTCAGCCCCCCACCTCCATCTCCTCCCCATGCTGGCTCTGGAAACTCCGAAGCTGATCATAGCTTAGAGTTGGTTTTTTGAGTTGCTGGGAGCTGAATTTCTCTGGTGAGCAGGAACCTATGTAGTCCATGGGCAGTGGCATTGGATGGACCTAGGTTTGAATCTGGCTTCAGCCTCTTATAAACTGTGTGACCTTAGGCAAGTTACCTCACCCCTCTGGGCTCACTTTCCTGTTTAATCAAATGGGAATTATATTACCTCCTCCCTGAAAGTAATGCTGCAGAGAGTAAAAGAAGTAGCTCATGTAAAGGGCCGGTGCTTGGAAAGCATGCAAGGAGGTGTAAGCTGTTATTATCAATCCTGTGTCATTCTGTACTAACCCAAGAATGAAATTGCCCCAAGGGAAGGCCCTGTCTTCTCTCTCAGTCCCTACAACTGTGCTTCCCAAATGTTCATCTTCTGCAGGCCCCAGTCCCAGTTTTTGTTACCTTCACACACCATCTCTACTTACTGTCTTAATCTTCATCTTTGAATCAACTTACTTAAAAATACGTAAGTACATTTATTGAAAAGGAAGACTTTCTAATCACTATTGAAAATGCGAAATCAATATCACAGCAAGTTCTGAAAACAGAACAATGCTATTCAAGTTCCACATCAAACTATTGATGCCCAAAGGCACTGAGCCTAAAGTTTGTTTTCTTTTTGTTTAAAAGAGAAACTGGCAAGAGATTTACTGGTATGAAAGAGCCGTAGGCACCCACGGAGGCCTTTTCCTTAACTAATGAGCAAAATGGACTTGGTGTCACTTCAGGCTGTGATTCTGCACTGCCAACACTCATTTCCACACCATGGGGGACACAGGTCACCAGAGGGAAGAGGGCCTGACACTGGACCAGGTCTCAGGGAGGGTCTTGGTAATTGCCCATCTTTGAGCCTGCTTATTTAATTTTTATTTAATATGCATTCATCTAGTCCTTATTTCTGGGAACCGGGCATGATTTTAAGTACCTTACATGTATTAACTTTTTTTCCCCCTTTTTTGTGGAGAACAGGGTCTTGCTATATTGCCCAGGTAGGTCTCGAACTCCTTGGCTCAAGCTATCCTCCTGCCTTAGTCTCCCTAAGAGCTGGGATTACAGATGTGAGCTACCGTGCCCAGTGGGGATATATTAATTTACTTAATCCTCAAAACAACCCTGTGAGGAAGGTACTGTTATTCTCATTTTACAGATGAAAAAACTGAGGCACAGACAGGTTAAGTTTCTCAAACAGGTTGCACAGCTGAGTCATGGCAGAGCTGGGAGTTGAAGCCAGGTGACCTGGTTCTAGAATGCTCTTAACCACGATCTGACCTTCGGTTGGTTTTCCTTCACAAACTTTAAGAAGCACTTACCCTGTGCCAGGCTTGTGCCAGGGCGCTGGACACCCAGTGGTGAATCAGTGTGGGCAGCGTCCTCTGGAGACCCCCACGTTGAGGGCGAAGCCATGCAGGGATTGGACAGTTGGTGGTGGAGAGGGAGGAAGGAGATGAAATTGATGGGGTCCAACAGAAAGAGCAACTAGCTGTCCCAGAGGAGGTCTGGGAAAGCTCCCTGCAGGGGCCACCTCTGGTTGGGAGTCTGCCAGGTGGAAAAGAGAGAGAAAGGTCGTTCCAGGTAGAGGAACTAGCATGTGCAAAGACATGAAGGTAGGAATGTGCGTGATGTATTTTGGGAGCAATGAGTCATCCAGAATGCTGGAATGGGTGGGGAAAGATTAGAGATGAGGCCGAGAAGGCAGCCCAGGGCCAGGTTAGTACGGGCTTTGAATGCCTGGTGGAGTGAGAGTCTGACGTTACAAGCTAAAAGGTTCCAGGGGCCAGGCAGGCCGCAGGCTTGTGTCCTACTCACTAGAGGGTGGTGGGACCATGGGAACCAGGTCTCCCCGGTCTCTGCAAGCCCTCTTGGGGGAAGCTGCCCCTTCCTAGCTAATGGCTGCCCCAGAGAAACATGGATTTAATGTTAGCACAACTCTTGATTTTTCTTTCTGTTTTTTTTTTGAGACAGAGTCTTGCTCTGTCGCCCAGACTGGAGTGCAATGGCATGATCTCGGCTCGCTGCAACCTCCACCTCCCAGGTTCAAGCGATTCTCCTGCCTCAGCTTCCTAAGTAGCTGGGATTACAGGCATGTGCCACCACGCCCAGCCAATTTTTGTATTTTTAGTAGAGGAGGGGTTTGTCCATTTTGGCCAGGCTGGTCTCAAACCCCTGACCTCAGGTGATCCATGCGCTTCAACCTCCCACAGTGCTGGGATTACAGGCGTGAGCCACTGTGCCCAGCCAACTCTTGATTTTCCAAGATGAACTAGAGATTTGCATTTTGTTATAAAAATTTCCATTTTTTGACTTTTTATTATGGGAAAATATGAAACATATATATAAATAGAGAGAGTGATATAATGAACACGCAAGTACCCATTAACTGGATTTAATAATTATTAGCAATTTTTCCATATTTACTTTATCTTTTTGTTTTGTTTTGTTTTTGAGATAGGGTCTTGCTTTGTTGCCCAGGCTGGAGTGCAGTGTTGTCATGTCAGCTCACTGCAGCCTCCACCACCCAGGCTCAAGTGATCCTCCCATCTCAGCCTCCCAAGTAGCTGGGGCTACAGGTGCATGCCACTACAACTGGCTAATTAAAAAAATATATATTTGTAGAGACGAGGTCTTGCTATGTTGCCCAGGCTAGTCTTGAACTCCTGGCCTCAAGTGATCCACCCACCTAGGCCTCCCAAAGTGCTGGGATTACAGGCATGAGCCACCACACCTGGCCTGTATTTGTCTTTTTGTTGTTATTTATTGACTAGACTCTCAATTCTGTTCCAATGATCTATATACATCCATCCTTATGCCAGAGGCTGGTCTTGATTACTGTAGCTTTGTACTAAGTTTTGAAGTTGGGAAATGTGAGTCCTCTAATTTTGTTCTTCTTTTTCAAGATTATCTTGGATATTTTGAGTTCCTTGCATTTCCATATGGATTTTAGCCTCAGCTTGTCAATTTCTGCAGGGGAAAAAAAGGCCGCTGGGATTTTGTTAAACCTGTAGGTCAACTGGGGGAATATTGTCCTTTTAACAATTTTAAGTCTTCCAATCCATGAACATGGAGCACCTTTCAATTTATTTAAGTCTTTAACTTTTTTCAGTGATGCTTTATAGCTTTCAGTGTACAATTTTATACTTATTTTGCCAAATTTATTTCTAAATGTTTTATTCTTTTTGCTGCTACTTTAAGTAGAATTGTTTTTAAATTTTATTTTCAGGTTGGGAGCTGTGTCCTAAATCTCTTAGTCTAGAACCATCCTCCTCATTTTTTTTATGACATGACATCTTCTGGATTTGTCAGGCTGATTCCTTATGGTGCTGTTTAACTTGTTTCTCTCTTTCCTGTACTTCCTGTAAATTCTGTCTCAAATGGATTCAGATTAGATTTTTCTGGCATGAAAACTTAATAAATAGTTCTGTGTACTTCATATTGTATCACATCAGGGGGCATGTAATGTCCGGTTAGCATGAACTCTTCCAATTCTTTTTTTTTTTTTTTTTTTTTTTTTCCTCTGTCGCCCAGGCTGGAGTGCAGTGGATGATCTCGGCTCACTGCAACCTCTGCCTCCCAGGTTCAAACAATTCTCATGCCTCAGCCTCCCCAGTAGTTGGAATTACAGGCATGCGCCGCCACTCCTAGCTAATTTTTGTATTTTTAGTAGAGATGGGGTTTCGCCATGTTGGCCAGACTGGTCTCAAACTCCTGACCTCGAGTGACCCACTGCTTCGGCCTCCCAAAGTGCTGGGATTACAGGCATGAGCCACTGTGCCCTGCACAAAATCTTCCAGTTCTTAAGTACTCTGTATAACAAATTGGAGGACTTGATTTAGGAGCAGGGGTTGGGGGGAAGAGGGCAGAAGGAGGTGGGGAAGAAGAGGGCAGGGTCACAGGCAGTGGGATGGAGCAGCAGGGAAATGGGGAGGGAGGCCTAGCACACCTGTCACTAAACCCCAAAGCTCTCACATCCAGGCAGGAAAACTCACCAACGTGTGGCTACACACATGCACATGCACACATACACACACACGACAAATATTATGCAGGCGGAGAAATCATATATGTGTGCTATATGCTACCCTGCCCCGCTTTGTGAGTGGGTAGCCACGAGAGCTGGGAGCGGTCTGCCCAAATGTGTATGACCACACCTGGACCATGGCTCTTGTAGCGAGAGTATGGCAAGGGCTAGGCTGTAGGCTGGGCGTCAGTGAGGAGGCTAATGCAGGGATCTGGGGAGATGGTGGAGACATGAAACATGGCAGAGCCACTGGGGTGGGAAGGGAGGGCCTGGTGGCACCATCAGGAGGCTGGGCTTGGGCTTCCAGAAGCCTGGGGCATGGTTAGTCAAATTGTCCTTCTTGTGTTCTTTTTTTTTTTTAATTGGAGGAGGGAGAATGTTTTTTTTTTTTGAGACGGAGTCTTGCTCTGTTGCCAGGCTGGAGTGCAGTGGCGCCATCTCAGCTCACTGCAAGCTCCGCCTACCAGGTTCACGCCATTCTCCTGCCTCAGCCTCCCGAGTAGCTGGGACTATGGGCGCTCACCACCACACCCAGCTAATTGTTTTTGTATTTTTTTAGTAGAGACGGGGTTTCACCATGTTAGCCAGGATGGTCTCGATCTCCTGACCTCATGATCTACCCACCTCGGCCTCCCAAAGTGCTGGGATTACAGGCGTGAGCCACCACGCCCGGCCGATTGTTGATTTTTTTAATTGGAGGAAGGAGAGTGTTGAGGTGGCAGTCTGCCCGGTGTTGAATCAGGGGGCTTGCAGGTGTTCAGAGATGCCCACCTTAGATTGTGGGGGAGAAGGGAGGGGAAATACCCAGAACCCACACACAGAGAAGGGCAGTAACGAACCTAAGGCCACGCGGCAGCTCGGGTCGCCTTCGCCCAACACATTTCCCCTTTCTGCATCCAGGACGTTGTCAGCAGGTGGGAAAGAAACGAAGAACCCTTTGTTTCCTTTCCTTGTTTCCTCACCACACTCCCTTTCCTCATCTGTTAGGGGAAGGCCATTGTGTCAGAAACAGAGGCAGGCACGTAGAGCAGAAGGAGCACTGGAACGGGAGTCAGGAGACATGGGGGCTGACCCAGCCTCAGCATCCATTTCCAGTCCCACCACTCAGCCTCAGCTGTCTCGGGGAATCCCAGGAGATCTGGGATAATAATGGCCAACGCTATTGGATGACATTCATTGAGGACTTAATATGTGGCGGCCACTAAGTGCTCAGCTAAATTAACTCATCTAATTCTAACTTAGGCATATAGAGAGGTTTTTTTGTTTGTTTTTGTTGTTGTTGTTGCTGTTATTTGAGAGAAGGTCTCACTCTGTCACCAAGGCTGGAGTGCAGTGGTGTGATCTTGGCTCACCGCAACCTCTGCCTCCCGGGCCCAAGCAATTCTCCTACCTCAGCCTCCCGAGTCGCTGGGATTACAGGTGCGTGCCACTACCGCTGGCTAATTTTTGTATTTTTAGTAGAAACAAGGTTTCACCATGTTGGCCAGGCTGATCTTGAATTCCTGACCTCAAATGATCCACCCGCCTCGGCCTCCCAAAGTGCTGGAATTACAGGCATGAGCCACCATGCCCGGCCCTTGTGTTGTTTTTAACATGTCCTAAGTCATACAGCCAGTAAGTGACAGAGCTGAGATTCTGGACCCGAGTCGTATGTTCTGAGCCACCACCCTGTGCTGCTACTTCAGATACGGTGAGTTTCTTTCTCTTTCCTTTCTTCTTTTCTTACATTGTTCTAAACAACATATCTGTCGTTAAAATCCAAGGAAGATCTTACACACGCAAAATCCAAGGAAGGTCATACACGTACAAAATAAAAAAGTAATAAATCCCCTGTTCTACTTCCACCCGGGTTGCACCTCTGAAGTGACCGTTGTTTACAATTTGCTTATAGAATTCTTCTACTTACCTATTCTGGTTTTGTTCGTTTTTGTTTTTCATAACTAGGACTACCTACATAATGTTCTGGAACTTGCGTTTTTGATGTAATATGTTTTGAGATCTTTTTATGTTATGCATGTAGATTTATCTTCCTCCCTTTAGCAGCTGTATGCTAGTCCGTAGTGTGGAGGTACCATGATTCATTGAACCAGATCTCTTTTGATGGAGACTGAAAACATTTCATGTTTTCTTGATCACCAGTGAGGCCGCAGTGAACAGCCTTGGACCAATATCCTTGCTCACAGGGCTGATTAAAGGAATGGCCCAGCCAGGCAATGTATCCCATCAGGGACATTCAAGCAGCACTGGAATACATTGGGAATATAATGGCAATTCACGTGGGCCTTTGCAAGGGACTGACTCCTGACATTTACTGTCAAAATGTCAATTTGGTCAATTTGGTTCCTCTTGACAGGGTCCACAGTACCCCTGAGTGAATTCAGCAGAAATCCAGCCAACCCCATCTAGTGTCTCACCCCACCTCTCCAGTATATGTTCAACAAATATTTAAAGAATAATAATTGCAAAGGAGATGCAGATGACACTTTATGGGCTAAATTCCTAAAATTAGAATTTTGGGGTCAAAAAGAATGTGCATTTTAATTATTATCAGAACCCAAGTTAACATCCAAAAGGGTTGCAATTTATAACCCCCACAACAGTGTACATGAGCGCAGTCTTCCTCACACCCTTGCTGCTGGAGCTATGTGCTATCAGTCTTTTGCATCTTTGCCAAACTCAAAAAATTTTGAAGAAAATCTGGTGTTCCGTGAACCCAGTGGCCACCTTCAACACTCCTCCAAACAACTGCCCATATCCACAGAGGCTATGTCTGTCCTTTTTCTCAGTGTCTCTGGCTTACCTCCTGAGATGCCTGGATAGGTAGGAAGTTCCACTAAGAGAGACTGAATTCCCTGAGGATGGGCTTGAAGCATTGGAAAGGCCCCCGACCCCGGACTCCTGCCCTTCACCACATCCCTCCTTTGTGAATTACCAGATGGACAAAGTCCCTTTGTGCCCAGAAACTGAGGTGCAGGAGTGAATGGAATTTCCTGAGTTGTCAGAGCCGGATTCTCGAGACATACATGAGGCAGCTGTGACTGGAAGGCTGAGTGGTCTGGGCAGAGAGGGGAGCTTGCCTGGGTCCCAGGCAGCAAGGAGATGTTAGAACAATGGTGACCATGTGGGCCAGGGGCAGTGGCTCATGCCTGGAATCCCAGTACTCTGGGAGGCTGAGGAGGGCAGATCACAAGGTCAGGAGATCGAGACCATCCTGGCTAACACGGTGAAACCCTGTCTCTACTAAAAATACAAAAAATCAGCTGGGCGTGGCAGTGGGCGCCTGTAGTCCCAGCTGCTGGGGAGGCTGAGGCAGGAGAATGGCGTGAACCCGGGAGGCGGAGCTTGCAGTGAGCCGAGATGGCACCACTGCACTGTAGCCTGGGCAACCGAGTGAGACTCCATCTCAAAAAAAAAAAAAAAAGAACAATGGTGACCATGCATTTTGGGGAGCCAGGCCTTCCAACCTTGGAGTGTAGAGTACTAGAGAAAAGACCCAGCGTGCTTCCTTCAGTCTTCAGAAAAAGCTGGTCAGAGCTGGAAGGTGCCTTAGGAAAGAGGAGGCCCAACGTGCTCATTTTACAGATGAAAAAACTGAGGCCTACCAAAGGGCAGAGACCCAGCTAGGGTTGTGCAGGGAGTCGGGGTCAGAGCAGAGAGGAGTGTGGCTGGAAGGCAGGGTGAGGGAGGCTCTCGTGAAGCCTCAGTTGGCTTCTGGGTCACAATTAATAAATCAAATGAAAGAGGACAGAACTCCACAAAGTGGAAAGGAATGTTTTTATCTCCTCCACCTCTATAAACGGTGCTTAGGGCCTAGCTCCAGAGTGTTGCCAGCTTTACTTTTTTTTTTTTTTTTGAGATCGAGTTTCACTCTGTCGCTCAGGCTAGAGTGCAGTGGTGGAATCTCGACTTATTGCAGCCTCCTCCTCCCGCGTTCAAGCGATTCTCCTGCTGCAGCCTCCCGAGTAGCTGGGATTACAGGCACGCTACCACACCCAGCTAACTTTTGTATTTTTCGTAGAGACGGGGGTTTCACTATGTTGGCCAGGCTGGTCTTGGACTCTTGACCTCAGGTGATCCGCCCACCTCGGCCTCCCAAAGTGTTGGGATTACAGCCATGGGCCACCGCGCCTGGTCCAGCTTTACTTTTCAGCCCAAGTAGCAGAGTCAGAGAACATACAGGCCAGCAGCCTGCACCTTCGGGAGAAAAATCTCCCTCTCCCACAGATGCAAGTGTTTCCCCACAGTGAGACCAGTGCCTGGCCCTGCTCCTGGCTCTGAGCTGAGCCCCAGGGATTCGGATCAGTGCTGGAAGGGCCCAGACCAAGAGTGTTGATATAACGGTAAAAATGAGAATGCTAGTGGCTGCCCCAGGGTCAGTGAGTTCAGGCCAGGGTCAGGGCCTGGGCTCTAGTCCTGCACTCTCACTGGCCTCGTGGCTTTGGGCAAGCGGCTTTTCCCTAAGCTTCCTGTACCTCCATTTCTTCATCTCTAAGGTGGGGATCATGAGAGAACCTGCCCCGTGGGGCCTAGGAGAGGGTCATGTTGGTGTTGATAAATGTGCAGTGCTGGGAGCAGTGCCTGGCATGGACAGGGCATCTCTGAGTGCCCCCTTCTCACCACTGCCTGCCAGCCTCTACACTGAGTTCCCTTCTATGTCTCATTTCATGTAAACCTCACGAAGGAGGTGCTACTTATTATATTAGCCCTTTTCACAGATGAGAAAACCAGTCCAAACTCACACGAGAACTGACACAGCTGGGCTTCCGATTCTCTGAGCCAGACTCCACCATCTTCACCACGGTGGGGAGGGAAAGTCTCTCAGCTGCTCCCAGGCTGACACTCCGTGCCTAGACCTCGGTGCCTGGCCATGCTTTCGAATGGTAGAGCGACTGAGAGTGCAGGCTGGGGAAGCTGAGGAATCGAGGCTCAGATCCTGCTCTGTTACTTGCCCACCAAGTGTCCTTGGTCTTCCCTAAGCCTCCCTTTCCTCGTCTGTAGAATGGGGACAGTAACAGCCCTGTCCCCCCAAGGTTATGGTGAGGACAATACGAGGCGATGTTTGTAGAGGGCTTCATGTGGCCGTGGCATTTGGTGGGTGCTTGGTAAGGAGGGACCGTGGGCAGTTTCATCATCGTTCTTACCCGGAGCCCGAGATGAGTAGAACGTGGTGAGGCCAGCTGTCTCCTTTAAGCTTCATCCTTCCCCAAATGCCGCTTCTCTCCTCTGGGTTTCCAAAGCCCAGTCCAACTTCCACTTGACTTCCTAAGTCCATACCAGTGAGTCCCTGCCATTGGGAGTGGAGTTAAAAATAAAGCCCGTCTTTAAATCCTTCAAGTAAACACCCAACTCTCTAAAAATAACCCCTTTGCAACAGGTCTTCACAGCCAGGCAGGGCTTGAGGGATGGAACTTGGCGAGGCTGGTTCCCGAAGCCAGGCGTGACCCAAGCCTTGCCTCCATGCCACCCCTCCTTGCCTCTCGAGCCTCTGGTTCTTTGGGGAGTCAAGCACCCCCTCTTTGTCTCCATCCCCTATTTGTCTCTCTCTCTTCACTACCACCAGCCCAGTGCCGGCCACCAGCTCCTCTCACTGCCCCTCTGCAAGGGTCCCTCACTGCTTTTCATGCCTCCTCCTGCCACATACTCTTCTCCACACAATAGCCAGCATGAGCTTTAAAAAATGTCAGCCTGCATGTGCCATGCTGCCATACAAAACTCTCATGGGGCCCTCAGTTAAGGTTCCTGCAAAAGCAGAGCCTGAGACAAGGATTCAGGTGCAGATAGTTTACTGGTAGGTGATGCCAGGAGGGAGGAGCTGAGAGGGCGTGAGCGGGGAGCACGAGAAGGAAGAAGGACAGGCATTGCAGGTGTGTGTTATTGAGGCATCACTGCAGACCACGGGGACTGGATCCAGCTCAGACCTCAGTATCTGCAGCATTGTCCGTCTGAAGGATGGATGCGGGCTCCAGTGCCGCATTCACTGGGAGTTTCCCAAGCGGCAGAGGGTGAAGGGGCCTCCTGCAGCCTCAGAGCAGGCTCTGGGCAGGAATTGGACAGCTGTGCTTGCGTGGGACCCTGACAGTGCTGGGTGAGTCTGACCTTACATGGAGCTTGCCTCCACAGCTACGGGGGAAACTAGGGGTAGACACAGGAGCTGGGAGGCAGGCACCGGGGGTGTTGCTTTCAGGAGAAATTCCAGATTCCTTCCTTTGGCCCCCAAGTCCCTTCCTGTCTGGTTCCATTTACCCCACCGGCCTCATCTCATACCACTCTCCCCATCATTTGCCTTCAGCCATGTTTCCTTCAAAGGGCCGTTCTCTTTCCTGCCTGCAGTCCTTTGCACATGCTGTTCCATTTGTCCAAAATGCTTTTCCTTTACTCTCTCACGAACACCTGCTCTTTTCATCTGGCTTCACTCAGCTTGACTGTTTCTTCCTCAGAGGAGCTCTGAGCTCCCTTCTAGTCTGGGTTTCCTGTTTTATGTGCCCCCGGCTCCCCAGTCCCAGGTGCCAGCACCTGGCCTAGCACCCAGCAGGTATGTGTGACCCAGGAAGCCTGGTTGACTGACTAATATCAGGCCTTAAACACACTGTAATGGGAAGAACCCACAGCATGGGGCACCCTCCATGTTATTCATTTCAGCCTTGAAATACATACAACAAGGACTTATTGAGAGCCTGCTCTGTGCCAGGTAAAGTTTTAGGCTCTTGGGGAAGAAAACCTGAAGATCCAGCCTTCATGATGTTTGCCCTCCCGCTGGGGAGACAGACAGCACAACAGATGTACATAAAGACAGAGCCTGTGGTCGGGCAAGTTGCCTTTCAAAATATGTGGTCAGGGCTGGCCTCACTGAGGAAGGCCTCGTTGAAATTGAAGCAGAGACACGGAGCTGAAAGAGCTGGCCAGGGGGCTGCGTCAGGGGGAGCTGCCCGGGAGAGGGAGGGGCCAGGGAAGGCTCTGAGGTGGGCATGTGCTTGGCGTGCTCTGGGGACAGTGAGGAGCCCAGTGGGGCTGAAGTGGAGTGAGGGGGAGGACAGCAGTGCGAGAAAAGGCCGGAGAGAGCGTGGGGAGGCGGCGGGGATGGATGGCAATGTTGTACAATCTGGGAGCCACTAGCAACCTGTGGCCATTTAAGTTAACTGAAGTTAAAGAAAGGAAAAGTTTCCTTTCTCAGTCTCAGCAGCCACATATCAAGTGTTCGATAGCTGGGACAGCACAGATATAGAACATTTTCCTCATCCCTGAAAGTTCTATTGGGTGGTGGCTTCGGGGGCCTTGCAGGTCAGGGTAGGGCATATGCGCTTGCCCATACATAACTGGGCACACATCCTGGGGGCCTTTCCTCACCTCCCAAAGTGGGTATGATTAAAGCATGCAAGGCCATTTGGTCCAACCCCAGCCAATGTCAGAATGCCTTTCCCATCGTCCTGCCAAGTGGTCATTCAGTCACTGCGTCTGTCTCTCCAGGCATGGGGAGCTCGCCATCTCTTGAGATGGTCCAGCCCAGCTTTTGATAGATTTGCCTTTTGGATTTGCTAAAACCAGAAGGACTTTCTGCTTCTCTGTAGTTTCTACCCATGGGTCCTGGTGCTATCCTTGAGGATTGTGTAGTTAGAACTGTGCTCAGCTGCAGGTAATAGAAGCTGCCTGTGGCTGGGCATGGTGGCTCCTGCCTGTAATCCCAGCTCTTTGGGAGGCAGAGGCAGGAGGATTGCTTGAGGCCAGGAGTTCGAGACCAGCCTGGGCAACACAGTGAGACCCTGTCTCTACAAAAATAAAAATAAAAAAATAAAAATATTAGCTAGGCGTGGTAGCATGCACCTGTAGTCCCAGCTACACAGGAGGATCCCTTGAGCCCAGGAGTTCAAGGCTTCAGTGAGCTATGATCACACCACTGCACTCTAGCCTGGGCAACAGAGCAAGACCCTTTCTCTTAAAAAAAAAAAACTGCTTCTACTGCCTCACCCATTGGGCTTCTTTTTCTCACATGATGTGATCAGAGAGGCTGTGCTAGGCTGAATGGCAGCTCCATGATGCCCTCAGGGACCCGCCTCCATCTGCCTTTCCCTCCCTCTGTCCTTAGAGGGTGGCTTTTGTCCTCACACTCAGAAATAGCCACTGCACACCTAGCCTCACCTCTGCATTCCAGGCAGCGGAGGTCCAAATGCAACAGCTTCTCTCCATGCAGAAGTGAAGACCTTCCCCAGATGTAGAGAATGGGAAGGTGAATATTTTTAGCCGGATGCGTTGCTTCCCTGAACAAATTAGGCTTCCGTTAGTGGGAAAGAGGGAGAGAATGGATATTTGGTGAGCAGCTAGCAATGTCTGTCTCAACATCCTTGCAGAGGTTTGAAGACTGTGACCTTAATATCCCGAGTCTTCCCTGGTCACCACATCTCTAGCCCCTTCACTGCACCTCTGTTTTCATGTCTCCTCCTTCTCCATCTTTCAGATGGAGAGACAGAGGCACAAACATCATTCACGGTCAAGAGCACAGGCTTTGGGGTTAGATAACACTCGTTCCTTGGGCATGTCACTTTCCTGAGCCTCAGTTTCTCCAACGGTGGGAGGTGGTAGAAATTGATATAGTACTTACCACTGAGGGTAAAATGAGATATAACCTGTGTAAATACTGTACACCACAGTCATTCAATAGTGGCAGCTTAAAAAAATTATTCTACGATTACCCTTGCTTCAGTGATTCTTCTTGGTGTTATTGAAGGGTGAGATCTCGGTGGGGATCTCCCAGGTGTTTCCATAATCCCAGCGATCACCCCAGGGAGAACCTCTTTCCTTAGGCTGCTAGAGGACATGTGCCATAGGACCAGATAGGAGGGAGGGGCAGCGGTGGGAATGCGTTTTCAGAGCTACCTTTGGCCAAGCCGTATCCTTGTGGGGACCTATTGCATTGCTGCTGAAGTGCTTTTCCCATCAGCCCTGGCTTCGTGTGGCCCTGTCTGGCAAGGGGGTGCTCCTACAAAGTCATGGCAGCCTGGTGCCAAAACCATCATCCCATAGGACCTGCTGTAGCTTTGCCAGAAGCCTGGCCCAAGGGGTGGAGGCCCCTGGAGCTCTGACCCACCACGTGGAGGGTGGGAAATGCCACAGAGCAGGTTCTCTAGAAGGGATTTGTCAGAAGCTAAACTGGGGTGCCCCCTGGGCTCAGGCCTGCACAGTTTCTCCCTGACCACCCAGCTGGGATGGATATAAAGACAGGTGTCATGTTGCAGAAAGCCTGCCCTAAGAGGCCCTACTGGTGTTTTCCTTTATTAAAAAAAAATAAAATCTCGGCCAGGCGCAGTGGCTCATGCCTGTAATCCTAGCACTTTGGGAGGCCGAGGCGGGCAGATCACGAGGTCAGGAGATTGAGACCAGCCTGCCTAACACGGTGAAACCCCATCTCTACTAAAAATACAGAAAATTAGCTGGGCAAGGTGGCACGCGCCTGTAGTCCCAGCTACTCGGGAGGCTGAGGCAGGAGAATCACTTGAACCCAGGAGGCAGAGGTTGCAGTGAGCCAAGATTGCACCACTGCACTCCAGCCTGGGTGACAGAGTGAGACTCTGTATTAAAAAAAAAATCATACATTCATTTGGTTCAAAACCCAACAGTTAGAAAAGTATTACTATAAAGAGTCCATCTCCTTTTCCTGTCCCCATCTTGTTGCCACCTCCATAGGCAACTCTTGTTTGTAGTTTCTTTCCTTTCCTTCCAGTTACTTTCTATTAAGATGGAAAATATGAAATTGCTAATATTTGACCAGGTTTGGCCTATAAAATGGCAATTTCATACTGTTCAACCTAATATAAACAAATGTATAGATTCCTGTTCTTCTCTTTCTTACACAAAAAGTAGCATATTATACTGTAGCATATACATACTGTTTGGAATCTTGCTTTTTTTTCTTTGCTGTGTATATATTGGAGATCTATTCATGTTTTTCCAAGTACAGAACTTGATCAGTTTCTAAATGCTTGTGTAGAATTCCATTATATAGCTGTGCCACAATTTACTGAATCAGGTCCCCATTGTTGTACATGGATGTTTGGGTAGTTTCCAGATATTTGCTGTGTTAGATCAATATTTCCACCCATGGGTTGGTATATCTCTAGAATAAATTCCCCCAACTCGCAGTTGCTGGATCAAAGGCTCTCTGTGGTGGCTGTCCCATTTTATCTTCCCGTCCACATTGTTTTAGGGTGGGAAGGCCTCTGCCACTGACTTGCTGAATGACCCCGGGCAAGTCCCTGCCCCTCTGTGGTTCTCCATTTCCTGGAGCACTGAGCTCTCCTTGCCTTGTCCTTGGGGGGAAAAAAGCCGGCCCAGATTCACTTCCTTGCTTGGCCTTTCCCACGTCCCAGTCATGGGCAGCTATTGTTACTGTGGATCCTTTGGGAGATGACTTTAGCTCAGAGGGAGTCCAGGGCAGCCCAGTGAGGTCAGCATGGAAGAGCAAACAGGAGGACGAGGCGAGGCAAAGGCACAGCGGTGTGGCAGCTGGGGCAAGGCAGCGATTGCCAAATGCCAGTCACTGCCATACCTTCCTGAGCCGCGCCGTGTCCACATGCTGTCTGGATCCCCTTACTATTTAAAAAACATTTTAACTTTCTTAAATCTAAATTTATTCTTATAAAGAAACTTTAGATCATTACCATAAATACAAATCTAGTATTAGATTAGAAAAAGTTAGCCAAAAAAAAGAAAAAGAAGAAGAAAAAGAATACAGTGAAGCAAAATATCATTAAACCCCATCCCTCAGTTGCTTATTAAAATCTTGGCCAGGTGCAGTGGCTCATGCCTGTAATCCCAGCACTTTGAGGGGGCCAAGGCAGGAGAATTGCTTGAGGCCAGGAGTTTGAGACCAGCCTGGGCAATATGGTGAGAACCCATCTCTACAAAAAAATAAAAAAATTAGCTGGGTGTGGCAGTGCTCACCTGTAGTCCCAGGTGCTGTTCGGGAGACTGAGGCAGGAAGATAGCTTGAGCCCAGGAAGTTGAGGCTTCAGGGAGCCATGATCACACTACTGCACTCCAGCCTGGGCGAAAGAGCCAGACTCTGTCTAATAAAGCAAACAAACTCAGACTCAAGGCTGCTTGCTGCTGGGCTCTCAGTTAAAAAACAGCGTGTAAGAGACGCATTAAAGCTCACGCCTGTAATCCCAGCACTTTGGGATTACACTTTGGGAGGCACTTTGGGAAGCCAAGGTGGGCAGATCACGAGGTCAGGAGTTCGAGACCAGCCTGGCCAACATGGTGAAACCCCGTCTCTACTAAAAATACAAAAATTGGCCGGGCGTGGTGGCGGGCACCTGTAATCCCCGCTACTCAGGAGGCTGAGGCAGAAGAATTGCTTGAGCCCGGGAGGCAGAGGTTGTAATGAGCCGAGATCGCACCACTGCACTCCAGCCTGGGTGATAGGGCAAGACTCCGTCTCAAAAAAAAAAAAAAAAGGTCTTTTTAAATTTTTTCTCTTTTTACAGATGCACTTTCTACAGTGTTACTTAATGAATGGTCTGGTACCACCTATCATTCTTGGTCCTGCCAGTAGAAAGCATCCCATCCTTCAGAGACACTGGCCTGAAAGACAGATTTCTCCTCTCCCTCTTCCCAGTGTCAGAGAGAAGGAAAGCCAGTATTTAGAAGGACTTGTTCAAAATCCAGTCTTTGAAAGGGCAGGATTCAAAGACTTAGCCCAGTTGTGACTGCTATGATGGGATAAGGCAACGGGGTTGGAACCTCCTCTGGACCTCCAGTACCTGGCACGGTGCCTGGGGCCGAATCCGATCTCTGGAAGTGTGTTTTGAACAAAGGGATGCAGTTGTCCAGAGGAAGGCTGGGTTCGGCCCCGCCTGGTGGCTTCTTCCTCCCCTGTCCTTGTGACAGCAGGGTCGCCAGCCCCCAGGAGCAAATGGAGCTGCCTGGAATTCCTTCCCAGAGCTCCTTATCAGTTTTTAGAGCAGCCTGGGGTGGGGTGCGAGTGGGTGTCAGTGACACTGGGATCTGCTCTGGGAAAAGCTGGAATGCCCCAGCCGAGCCCCACCTGGGGAGGGGCGGGAGGCGGGGGAGGCCGCTGGGCTGGGAGGACTCAGCTGTCACATTCCTCCGGCTCACAGAAAGCTCTCCTGGGCGCCTTGTCCTTATTTAGGCAGGAGATGTCTGCTGACTGGGGCCTTGTAAGATGCCTTTGCAGGCCGGCTCCCGGGTGGGGTGGGGCGGGGCGGGGGCAGAGCACACCAAGAGCTAAGTCAGCAGGCTCCTGGGCAGGCGAGCCCCAGGGTGGGAGCCCAACCCTTGGGGAGAAAATCCGCTAAGTAGTGATAACAAAAAATAGCAGCTAACATTCATGGGGTACCTACTATGTGCTGGGCACAATGCTGAGCTGGTCTGTAAGTTCCAGAAGGCGAGTCTCTCCTGTTCACAATGGTACCCCAAGATTAGCCCAGGTTCTGGTACACATAATGTACACATATACTATATACTATATGCACATTCAGAATATCCAGAAGGGTTGCATCAGTCTGGGTTCTGGCAGGAAAGGGTCTATTAGGTGCCTAGTAAATCCTTGTCACAACTGAATGAATATACCCTTCACATGCCACAATTTACATAATCCTTACAAGAAGTAGCTACTAGTATAGCTAAGTGCTATTAGTAACCCATTTTACAGATGGGGAAACTGAGACTGGGAGAGGTTCCATGACTTGGCAAAGATCATGCAAGTTGGAAGTGAGGGAGCTGGGGTTTGAAACCAGGTTGTCTGACTCCAGTAGTAACTAATGCTTCCATCTTCTTATTTTGGTGTTAAGCCACAATAGGATTCCTGGCTTTCCTCTTCCCTGGCTGTGTGGATTTGACGGGTTATATAATCTTCTCACCTGCAAAGTGGGGATAGTGATACCTACTTTAGAGAATATTGTGAGAATTAATTAAGAAAACGCATGCAAGTGCCGGGCATCTAGTAGGTGCGCAGCAAGCATTGCCTATTCATAATGGTGATGTTGATGTTGATGATGATGATGGCGATGAGTCCCAGGGGATTCAGCATCCTCTTGCTGGGTTGCACCCAGGGAGCAGAATAGGCAAAGGGTGAGGCCATTTTCCAGCAGACTTCGTCCCCCTGCAGGAGCACGGTGACAGTCATGGCCCTCTGGAGAGGGTGGCAGGACCTTCATCCTGTCTGTGTTTCCTAAAGAGAAATGTTCACTACTCCTAGGCCATCTGAGGCCTCCAGGTTCCCCAAGCATGAGGCTGGAAGGGGTCTGGGGTAGGTTTTACCCTCTGTTCATCCATGGTACATGATCACATTTTTGTGTCAGCTCCATTGCCCAAGGCTTCCATGAAGCACCTCCTGTGGACCTGGACTAACTTGCCATCCCTTGCTGTCTGTGTACAGGTTGTCTTGGGCAAGTTATTGAAATGCTCAGAGTACTGGTTTTCTCATGTGTACACTGAGGGTGATAATGATAGTATTTCTCTCATAAGGCTGCTGTTCAGTAAAGTGACATGATATGTACAAGCACTTACAATGGGCCTGTCATGTAGTACCTAACCCTTCCAATATGTCTATAACAGAGTAACGATCACAATGACTAACTCTCAATGATTGAAAATTGAAAATGATCACACAGACTTCTCTGGGCCACAGTTTCCCCTTCTTGTTGCTGTGTTGATCTTAAAGGAGATGAGATGATTTCTAAGGGTCCGTCCAGCTCTGTGAGTCTCACAGTCAAGTATATGTGATTCATATAACAAAACGTTTGTCCAGCACATTCCTGGTGAGCCTAAATATTTTCAGATAAATAGTCCTGCTCTGTGCCAGCCTCTGTCTGGTGACAGGCACGCAGCAGCGAAGCTTCTGCCCCTTGTGGGACTCACAGACTAATCAGAGGAAGACAAAGTGACCTTGGAAGCGAAATGCAGGAGACGGTAGAGAGCTGGCAGTCAGGGTGAGCTACCCTGGGGAAGGGTCCTGAAGGATGAGTAGGAGTTCACCAGATAAAGAACCGAAAGATGGGGATGGAGACAAGAGTTCCCAGGAGAAGAAATTACCTATGTTTTCACCCCAGGCATAGAAACAATCGACAGGGCACATTTGAGGAACTGGAAGTTTCTGTCTGACTAGAAGGTTGAGTTTGGAGTCAGACCAGAGAGGTTGGCAGGAGCTAAGTCATGAAGTTACATGAAAGCATTTCCATGTCATCCTTCAGGCACTAGGAAAGGCACTGTGGGGTTTTAAGCAGAGGTTTAAGACCAAATTTTCTGGGGGTGGCCTCTGGGGAAGGTTTCTGGACTAGATGGGGCATAAGAAGGAACGTTTACATCCGGGGTTAGCATCTAGCTGGGCACCCCAGTAGGTATGGTCATGCCAATTGTTAAATATTGAAATAGTCTATACTGGTTTGTCACTAGCAGCCTCCCTGAGCCCCCCAGGCATCCCCCCTACCCCTCTTGGTATTCTGTCCACTTGGTCATTCCCAGCACCCAGCAGCTAAATGGTTAGCCACCTGGCACAGGTGGTTTTATATATATATATAAATATATATATTTTATATATATATATAAATATATATTAATATATATATAAATATATATATTTATATATATATTTATAATAAACATATATTTATGTATATTTATAAATATTTATATATATTTATAATAAATGTATATTTATGTATATTTATAAATATTTTTATATATTTATAATAAATATATCTTTATATATTTATAATAAATATATATTTATAATATATATTAATGTATATATATTTATAATATTTATAAATATATATTTATATATATTTATAATAAATATTTATATATTTATAATAAATATATATTTATTATATTTATAATAAATATATATTTATATATATTTATAATAAATATATATTTATTTATATATATTATAAATATATATTTATTTATATATATTTATTATAAATATATATTATTTATATATAATAAATATATATTATAAATATATATTTATATATATTTATAATAAATATATATTTATATATATTTATAATAAATATATATTTATTTATATATATTTATAATAAATATATATTTATTTATATATATTTATAATAAATATATATATTTATAATAAATATTTATTATATATTTATTATATATTTATAATAAATATTTATTATATTTATAATAAATATTTATATGTATATATAATAAATATTTATTTATATGTATTTATAATAAATATTTATATATATTTATAATAAATATATATTTATATATTTATAATAAATATTTATATATTTATAATAAATATTTATATATTTATAATAAATATTTATTTATATATTTATAATAAATATTTATTTATATATTTATAATAAATATATATTTATAATAAATATATATTTATATATTTATAATAAATATATATTTATATATAAATATATATTTATATATATTTATAATATATATATTTATATATATTTATAATAATATATATTTATATATTATAATATATATTTATTTATATATATTTATAATAAATATATATTTATATATTATAATGTATATTTATTTATATATATTTATAATAAATATATATTTATATATTATAATGTATATTTATTTATATATATTTATAATAAGTATATATTTATTTATATCGCCCCCTGCCTACATCTCAGTCATGCCTTCCAGCTCTAAGAAGGCATTGGAGAGCATCAGATGGAACAGGACCAGCCTGGGAAACTTAGGTTTTTAACCCAGGCCTTTCCCTCTTCTTGCTTGATAGGCAGGAGATTAGACTTGAATCTCCCCTAGGGCCATCCTGCCCTGACATAGAAGGGGAATAGACACCCAGCCCTCTCTGGCCTCTTGCTGGGGCCTCCAGTCAGTCGGCTGGGCACACTGGAAGCCAGTGAGCAAAGGTGCTGGTGATGCGGCTTAGCACAACCTTTGGAATCAGGTAGACTGCCGTTCCATCACAACCCAGAGCTTCCCTGCTGTGTGGCTGCCCCCAAAGGAGGCCTAGTTTCCCTATTCAGTGGACATAATAATACCTGCCTGCTAGGATTGTTGTAAGGAATAAATGAAACCATACTTCTAAAAGGTCTAGTACCAATAGATGTGAGATTTTAAAAATATTTATTTTGGAGTGATTATAATTTATGCACATTCAGAATATCCAGAAGGATCGTATTAGTGTGGGTCCTGGCAGGAAAGGGTCTATTGCAAGGGTTTAATTGGGGAGAGTTTAAAGAAGGTGCTGTTTGCAGAGATGTGGGCAGAAAAATTAACAAGGTATGTTAAGGCATCCAGGACCAGCAGCCATGGGAGCTGTTATACCCCAGGCCTGAAGGGGCAAGAGGTGGGGGACAGGGAAATGGTGTGATGACTGGAGCAGGGATGGGGACGGTGGGGGTGGGTGAGAGTTGCAGCTGTGGAGGGGGGTGGTGGGAGTGGGTGAGAGCTGCAGCTGTGGAGGGGGATGGTGGGGGTGGGTGAGAGCTATAGCTGTGGAGGGGCCCGGTGGGGGTGGGTGAGACCTGCAGGCGTGGAAGGGGGCGGTGGGAGTGGGTGAGAGCTGCAGGTGTGGAGGGGGGTGGTGGGGGTGGATGAGAGCTGCAGGTGTGGGGGGCGGTGGGGGTGGGAGAGCTGCAGATGTAGAGGGGGGCGGTGGGGGTGGGTGAGAGCTGCAGGTGTGGAGGGGGACGGTGGGGGTGGGTGAGAGCTGCAGGTGTGGAGGGGGACGGTGGGGGTGGGTGAGAGCTGCAGGTGTGGAGGGGGACGGTGGGGGTGGGTGAGAGCTGCAGGTGTGGAGGGGGACGGTGGGGGTGGGTGAGAGCTGCAGCTGTGGAGGAGACAGACAGGCAGGAAGAGGGAGAAGTGGAATAGATACCCAGCCCTCTCCGGCCTCGTGCTTGGGCCCTGAATTGACTGGGCGCACTGGAAGCCAGTGAGCAAGGGAGCTAGTGATGCAGGCTGTAGAGATGATCTCCCTGGGCAGAGCTGGGTAGGGAATGGATGGGGTGGGGCAAGGGGGGGAGATGGGGCCAAAGGAAAATAACCAGCCCAAATGTGTGTGTGTGTGTGTGTGTGTGTGTGTGTGTGTGTGTGTGTGTGTCTGTCTGTCTGCCTCCCTTCCACCTCATTCACAGTGGGCAACCTGTATTATAAGTTTCTTACCTATCTTTCCATAAATATTCTCTATATAGAAGAGCAAACAGGTTGTCTGTTTACACAAATGTTACATACAATAGAAATTCTTTTACACCTTGCTACCTGATTTAACATATCTTGGAATTCACTCTTTGTCATACACAAAGATCAATCTTATTCCTAGGATTGGCTACATAATACTCCTTCAAATGGCTATGCCATAATTTAGTTAACCAGCTCTGTACTGCTGGACTTGGCTTTGTTTCCAATCTTTTGCTATTACAGTGTTACAGTAAATACCGTGTAGCTCACAGGCTAATCAGAGAAAGGCAAAGTCACCTGGCAGCTAAGTGCAAGAGATGGTAAGAGCAGACAGCTGGCAGTTAGGGTAAGCTTTCCTGGGGTAGGGTCCTGAAGGATGAGTAGGAGTTCACCAGATAAAGAAGTGAATGATGGGTCTGGGGACAAAAGTTTCCAGAAGTCATTTGGGACTTGTACATGTGTCATTTTGTACAATTTGAGTATATCTGTTGATCACACTCCCAGAAGGGGAATCACTAGCACAAAAATATGTAGATGATGGATTTTTAAAGAAAAAAATGGTTGAACAATTAAATGATAAATGTCAGTATATGGAAACTGGAAAATTACTTAAGTGAATAAATTATAAAAGTATGGCAGGAACAGCTAACCCTTCGATAGTGCTTACTCTGTGCAAGGCACTGTTCTTAGACCTTTGTGGCCATTAACTCATTTAATTTTCATTACCCTATGATGTAGGCACTATTATTATCCCCATTGTGTTAGTTACCCATCACCGCATAACAAATTGTCCCCACATAGAGCAGCTTAAAACAACACACGTTTGTTGTCTTAACAGTTCTGCAGGTCGGGTATCAGGGTATAGCTGAGTCCTCTGGCTCAGGGTCTCTCTTGGGCTGCAGTCCAGGTATTGGCCAGGGCTGTGGTCTCATCTGAAAGCTCCACCAGGGAAATATCCATTTCTCAAACACGTGGTATTGGTAGGATCCAGTTTCTTGCAGCCTATTAGACTGAGGGGCTCAATTCCTCTCCAACATGGCAGCTTGCTTCAGCAAAGCCAGCAAGAGACTCTGGTGGCAAGAGAGAAGTCACAGTCTAAACGAATCATGGAAGTGACATCCCATGACTTTTGCATATTCTGTTCTTTAGATGCATGTCTCTAGGTCCAGCCCACACTCAGGGGGAAGGGATTACGCTAGGATGGGAATACAGGAGCCATATGAGAAATCTGCCTGACATCTCTTACTTTGAAGAAGAGAAAACCAATGCACAGAGGGACTAATTGACTTGTCTAGGTGAAAGCTAGTAAGTCAGGGATTCACACCCACATAGCATGACTTCAGATTCCATGCTATTAACCACCATGCCTCAAAAATGGAATCTTTATTGTGTTCACAGCCCTGATAAAAAATAGGTGTGTACACTGTGTTATAAATGGAGGCCCCCCAAAAAACGAAAAAATAATAGGTGTGCACCTGGACAGACAAGGAAGGCTCAAAAGCTAAAATAGCTATTGCATTAGCAAAGTGACGTCAGCGCACTGTTGCTTTAATGTAATGGTTTTTATAGTTTGTAAAATTTTAAAATCAGGCATAGATTTTTTGAAAAGGAAGTTTCCCCGTGTGGTTTTGGAGTGCTCTGTCAGCTCATGCAGTGAAAGCCTCTTTGCCAGCAGCTAGATCCAGGTTGAACTGCAGGGTCCACTACTCTGTTGGTTGGTGGAGGAGGAGCAAGGCCCGAGGTTCCCTCCCTGTCATTTCATTGGTTGCCAAAGTGCAGCCAGATCTCCGTCCTGCACAGTCAGCCAGGTGATGCCAGGCCCCAGAGAACCAGACTTTCTTGCAGATGTGAAGGATGTGGGGAACATGCTGGTAACCCAGCCCCAGGCCCTCTCAGACAGGCAGCAGGAATATCAGGAATATAAAACTCGGGGGCCTCTTGATATCCCTGGGGGACAAGACTGGGCTGAGGCAACCACAGCTGCTGGGCCCTGTAGAAAGTGGGCAGGAGCTGAAGCGGTGCAGCAGATGCAGGGGTCAGCAAAGGCTTTTGTGCCAGGGAGTCCTGGGTTTGGGCTCAAGCCAACTCTGGACTTACTAGCTATGAGCCATGGGCAAATGATTTTCTGAGCCTGCGTTTCTTCCGCTGTAAAGTGCATCATCTTGAGGATGACATGAGATCACACAGGTTGTTTTGTTTTGTTTTGTTTTGTTGCTGCAGTAACAAATTACTACAAACTCGGTGGCTTAAAACAATACAGATATATTCTTTTACAGTTCTGGAGGTCGGAAGTCTAAAGTCAGATTTCCTTCTGGAGGCTCAAAGGGGAGGATCTTTGTGCTTGTCTTTTCAACCCCTGCTGGCCCTCTGCATTCCTGAGCTTATGGCACCTTCCTCTGTCTTCAAAACACATCACTCCCATCTCTGCTCCCATCATCACATTGGCTTCTCCTCTTCTGTTATCAAATCTCCCTCTTATAAGGACACCTGTGGTTACATTTAGGGCCTTCCTGTCTAATCCAGGATGATCTATCTCAAGATCCTTTATTTAATCACACCTGCAAAGCCCTCTTTGCCATAGAAGGTAACATCCACGGGTTCCAGACACTAGGACCAAATATCTTTGGGGCCATTATTCATTGATGCCTTTGGCTGAGTGTCTGGCGCATAGTTAGCTCTCAGGAAGCAGCAATGGTTTTGTTTTTTTTGTTTTTTTTTTTTTTTTTGAGACAGCCTGGCTCTGTTGCCCAGGCCAGAGTGCAGTGGCGCAATCTCGGCTCACTGCAACCTTTGCCTCCTGGATTCAAGCAATTCTCCTGTCTCAGCCTCTCTAGTAGCTAGGATTACAGATGCGCACCACTGCGCCCAGCAAATTTTTGTATTTTTAGTAGAGACGAAGTTTCACCATGTTGGCCAGGCTGGTCTTGAACTCCTGACCTCAAGTGATCCACCTGCCTCTGCCTCCCAAAGTGCTGGGATTATAGGTGTGAGCCGCCGCGCCCGGCCGCTAAGCAGCAACACTTATTACTTTGCCCGGTCTTCTAGGCTGAGAGCTCACACACCCACTCCCTCACTAGAGGAGGCTTCACTCCAGCTGGAGGCTGGGGGATTTCAGTGGAGCTTCCAAGATGGAGAGGTTCTACATAGGGCCTGAGGGCTATCACAGCCCCCAACCTCAGAATCCCCAACACCACCCTTACTCCTCACCTCAACTAGAACAAATCTGCATCGAGCTTGCTGTGTGCCAGGCCCTGTTCCCAGTGCTTTCTGCTGGTCAGTTCTCTCTCTAATCCCCACAAGCTTATGAGATAGGGGCTCTTCATAACCTCGTTTTACAGATGGAAAAATCAAAGCACAGAGAATTTCAGTAAGTCACCAACAGTCATGCAGCTGTGTTCCTAACCAACTTGGAATACACTACCATGTTAACCGGGTACTGTGACATGCCCCTGTAATCTGAGTTATTTGGGAGGCTGAAGTGGGAGGATAACTTGAGCCCAGGAGTTCAAGGTTGCAGTGAGCTATGATTGCACCACTGCACCCAAGCCTGGGCAACAGAGCGAGACTCTGTATCTTTAAAAAAAAAATGTTAAAAAGAAAAAGACGAAAATATTAATAGCAATTTTTTATTTTTAAAAATGCTCATTTTCCAAAATTTTCTTTGAGGAAGCCATTTTATTTTTATAGTGCATACAATATGTCTTATATTAATATTTATAATATAAAAATAATAAAATACAAATTATGAACATGTCACCCACCCCATGGGCTTTCTCCTGCCCCATAGGCTTGTTCTGCACTCAAGACTTTTTACTTGGTCTTGTCTCTCTTAGCAGACTCTACAACCTTCAAGAGCAGGGGCCATGTCTGCCTTCATTATTACTTTGATTATAACGAGAATGAGCAAATGATCTAACCTCCCTGTGCCTCAGTTTCCTCATCTGTAAAGTGGTGGTAGTACCTACCTCAGAGGGTGGGATGAGCCCTTAGGTTATTTCCCATTTTTTCTTATTAGAAACAGTGTTTGTAGAAGTAAGTAGAAGAACTAAAACCATAAAATTCTTAGATGAAAATATGAGTAAATTTTTTTGACCTTGGATTAGGCAAAACCTTCTTAGCTATGACAAAAGCACAAGTGACAAAAGATAGCTAAATTGGACTCCATTAAAATAAAATAACTTTTGTACTTCAAAGGAAGAAAGTGAAAAGACAGCCCAGAGAATGGGAAAACTATTTGTAAATCATATATATGATAAGTGACTTGCATAAGAATATATAAAGAAATTTTACAACTCAATAATAAGAAGGAAAAAAATCCAATTAAAATCTGGCAACGGATCTGGATAGACATTTATCCTAAGAAGATATACAAGCAGCCGTGAAGCACATAGATGCTCAACATCCATTAGCCATCAGGGAAATGCAAATCAAAACCACAATGACATGGCACTTCCCAAACCTCTAGTATGGCAACAATCAAAACGAAGGATGGGCCGGGCGCGGTGGCTCACGCCTGTAATCCCAGCACTTTGGGAGGCTGAGGCGGGTGGATCACGAGGTCAGGAGATGAGACCATCCTGGCTAACATGATGAAACCCCGTCTCTACTAAAAAATACAAAAAAAAATCAGCCAGGCATGGTGTCGGGTGCCTGTAATCCCAGGTACTCGGGAGGCTGAGGCAGGAGAATCACTTGTACCCGGGAGGCAGAGGTTGCAGTGAGCTGAGATTGCGCCACTGCACTCCAGCCTGGGCGACAGAGCGAGACTCCGTTTCCAAAAAAAAAAAAAAAGAAGGATGATATCAAGTATTAGGGAGGATGTGGAGAAACTGGAACTCTCGTGTATTACCAATGGAACATAATATGATAATATGGTACAGCCATCTCAAGACCAGTTTGGCAGATCCTCAAAAAGTTAAACATAGAGTTACCACAGGACCCAGCAATTCTGCTCCTAGGTATATACTCAAGAGGAATAAAAACATGTCCACCCAAAAACCTGTACACAGATGTCCATAGCAGCATTATTCATAGTAACCAAAAAGTGGAAAGCACCCTAATGTCCATCAACTATTGAACAGGTAAACAAAATATGGTTTATCCACACAATGGAATATTAGTTAGCAATAAAAAGGAATGAAGTACTGATGCATGCTACAATGTGGGTGAACCCTGAAATGATGTTTAGATGACACATCCATATGTTGGCAAATGATAGAATTTTGGAAGTGAATGCTGGTCAGCATTGTTATAATAGTAACAGAAACAATAATGATAGCTAATATTTGTTACGTGCTCAGTTCATGCTAAGCACATTTGTGCTATCTCATTTCAGACTCCCAGTAATTTTGTGAGATTATCCCCCATTTCAGAGTTGAAGAAACTGAGGCCAGAGAGCAAAGGTCAGATATCTAGATGATGGTGCTACAAATTGGGCTTGAGTTTGTGCCCTTAACCTGTCTTGTGAGGGGCTTCCCAGGAGGGCACTGCCTGCCTCATTGACCACTGTCCATGTCTCTAGCACCCAGTTCTGGGCTCCACATAGCAGGGGCTCAGCACACATTTGCCGAATGAGAATGAATGGAGTCCTGGGTGGGGAGAGGAAGGTCCCATGGGTCAGGGCTCCCTGACTGCACCTGCATCCTTGGGGGCGGAGGGGGCTTTCTCCTAGGGAGTTCTCTGGGCCAGTGACTGGACACCCAGCTGTGGTCCTTCCTCTAGATTAGCCTGACCATGGTTGTTCTGGGGTAGATGGTCATGACCAGCCAGAGCTGGGGATGAGGGGCTATTTTGGGAGAGGGTAGGGCAGTGACATCGGAAGCATCCCCACCTCAGGAAGACGCTGGGCAGCATTTTCCCTGTAATCACCTGAGCATCCTCCAGAGAGGCTGGCAGTGGCCTGAGCCAGGGACCCTGATTATCTGCCCCCATCATCCAAACCTACCATGGGATTCCTGGGCTGAAGGATTTTTAAAATTATTATTATACTAAAGTGAACAATTCAGTGGCATTTAGGACATTCAGGATTTCTGTTTCAGTCCCCTTCAAAACACTGTGCCCCCTCCCCCCCTTCTTCCTTCCTTCCTCCCTTCCTTCCTTCCTTCCTTCCTCCCTCCCTCCCTCCCTCCCTCCCTCCCTCTCTCTTTTTCTTCTGATATAGGGTCTTGCTTTGTCACTCAGGCTGAAGTGCAGTGGCATAATCATAGCTCACTGCAGCCTTGACCTCCTGGGCTCAAGCAATCCTCCCACCTCAGCCTTCCAAGTAGCGGGGTCCATTAGCCACCATGCCTGGCTAATGTTTTTATTTTTATTTTTTGTAGAGACGGGGTCTCACTGTGTTGCCCAGGCTAAAACTGCACTTCTCATTTTATGTAACAAGCCCTTAGGTAGCACTTCCTGTGTTCTGAGCCACGTGACTGTAACTAATTTACTCCTCACATCATTCCTTGGAGACGCGTGCCCTTATTATTCCCATTTTACAGATGAGGAGACTGGGCTTAAGGTGATGAGGAGCAGAGCCAGGGTCTGCACCCGGGCAATCTGGCCAGAGTTACCGCCTCTTTGCCACTCCACCATGTGGTTTATAGACTTTGCTCTGAGCCCCTGCTCATCCATGGACTTCCAGAAATGTTGCCTGATTGACCTGGCAGGGCTGCATTGGGCTGCGAGCTCCCCAGGCGGCTGCTGGGTCCTATTCATTTCCATCCTTGGCCCCAGCACATGACGGACCTGGCTCAGAAGTGGTACCAGGAAGGCAGCAGCTTGGTGTCATGGGTAAGAGCTTGGGCAGGTTCACTTTCTAGTGTGTGACCTTGAGAACGTGCCTCCAGCTCTCTGAGGCCATATGTGTTTACACAGGAGGCCATGGCGTAAGGCTGGTCACACAGTGCTCAACAAATAACCAAGATTAATATTATTCATAATAATAGTAGAGGAGACATTCATTGAGTGAATACATTAGTACAGGGGTCGGCAGACTTTTGTAAAGGACTAGATGGTAAATATTGTGGTGTTTGTAGGTCATATGGTCTCTATGACAACTACTCTAGACAATATGAATGAGCATAGTTGTGTTTCAACAAAATTTTGTTTACAGGGACACAGATATCTGGATTTCATATAATTTTCATGTGTCACAAAATGTTACTTTTTTTTTTTTTTTTTTGAGCCAGAGTCTCACTCTGTCACCCAGGCTGGAGTTGGAGTACAGTGGTGCAATCTTGGCTCACTGCAACCTCTGCCTCCCAGATTCAAGTGATTCTCTGCCTCAGCCTTCTAAGTAGCTGGGACTACAGGTGCGCACCACCGTGCCCAGCTGATTTTTGTATTTTTTGGTAGAGACAGGGTTTCGGCATGTTGGCCAGGCTGGTCTTGATCTCCTAGTCTCAAGTGATCCACCCGCCTCAGCATCCCATAGTGCTGGGATTACATGCGTGAGCCACCATGCCTGGCCTTACTTTTTTTTTTTTCTAACCATTCAAATATATAAAAACCATTCATGGGTGGTACAAAAGCTGGCAGCAGGCTGGGTTTAGCCTACCACTGTCATCTGCTGACCCGTGCCCTGGAATGTAACCTCTGCAAGGGATTTTTGTTTCCTTTCTTTCTTTTTTACTTTTTTTTTTAAGATAGAGTTGGGATCTTGCTGTGTTGCCCAGGCTGGTCTCAAACTCCTGGCCTCAAGTGATCCTCCTGCCTCAGCCTTCCAAAGTGCTGGGATTACAGGTGTGAGCCACTGTGCCTGACCATACAAGGGATTTTTGGATGTTCAGTTTGCCTCTATGTCTTCAGTGCCCAGAAAAGTGCCTAGCACATAGTAGGCACTCCATAAAGTTGTATTAAATGAATGAACCAATACATACAGGTGGGTCTTAAACTGACTCTTTAAGGCCAGGATCGCGGCAGGAGGGGAGAGAGCCTTCCAGGTCGGGGAACAGCCTAAGCAAAGGCCTAGAGTCAGGGCAAGTCCGGTGAGGGTCCCCCTTTGGCCCCATAAAGCCACCAATGCCTAGTGGAGACAACTGGGAAACAACCAAGCAGTTATGGGCCTGGGAGGAGAGATGGGGAAAGGAGGCCAGGGTGGGGGCAGGTGCTTTTAGAAGTTGCTCTATTGGGTGAGAGCCCTGCTCCTATCCCAGAAACACCAGCCTTATTTTTAACCCTGCTGACGAAAGTTAATCCGAACGAAATCAAGAAGAGTCTCCCTGTTCCTCCCCCGGCCCCAGTGACTGCTCCCTTCCCCCAAGCAGGGTCAGAGCCATCCTCCAGACCCTCACCCAGAGGCATGGATCCAGAGATGGTGAGTGGTCAGCAGAGCAGGAATGCTTCCTGCATTTCCCCAGCAGGGCCTTGATTCAGGGAGGGACCCTGGTGCTAAAAGGAAAACATCCAAGGCTCCTAGGGGGTTGAGCAGTCTGGGAACAACTTCAAGATGGAGCTGGCTTTTCTCTCCGCCGAACACGTGCTTCTCAAACTTAAGTCAGAATCTGGAATATAAAACACAGATTCCTAGGCTCGTTCCCTTCAAATTCCGATGAGTCGGTCTGGGCAGAGCCCGAGAATTTGTATATCTGAGCTTCCGGGTGATGAAGATACTGGGTGGGGGTCACGGACTGCATTAGGAGAGGCACTGGCCTAGAAGCAATAGCCTCCCAGCCACAGTCATTCCGCCTGCCCTTCACCCCGTGAGCTGCTGGTATACCCCATCCAGACTGCCTTGGGCAAGGGTCTGGAGAGCCTCGAAGGCCATACTAAGTAGCTAGGGTTTTATTTTGAGCACAGTAGGAAGCCTTGCAAAGATTTGAAGCAAGGGGTGAGGCCACGGGTGTGTGGTTAAGCAAGCTCGCTGAGCCGCTGTGTGTAGGAGCAGCTGTAGGAGTGAGCCTGCAGGCAGGGGAGACCCATGGGAAGGGGTGCAGGAGGAGTGGCAGAGGGTTCTAAGAGTTATAAAGGGAGCCGGAGAGACCAGTGTTGGTGATTGATGGGCTGTGGATGTGGAAGGAGGTGGGGAGGGAGGGTGCTGAAGAACACCGGGATTCCTGGCCTGAAGGCTGGGATCAGAGATTGGGAGCATGGGACAGGGGAGAAGGGCTGATAGGATGCAGCGGGCCGGGTGGTTGGAGATGGACAGGGAGTATGCTTGCTTCCAGCACAGCAGCCCTCATTGCCCTGGGCTGTGTGGCCGCCCCTGTTCTGGCTGTGCACAGTGGGTCCCCCAGAATCTTCCAGGGCTGTGGGGAGAGGCTGCCTTTCCTGCCTGAGGAGTCCTCAACCCAGCTTCCAAAGGCACCAGAAAGTGGGCATCTTTCTGCTCACATGACCAAAAAAAGGGCATTTTCTCAGTTTGAAGGCTTGCCCAGCCCTTTCCCTCCTCCTCCCTCCTGGGGTTTCATGTGCCCAGAGAAGTGGCTCTAAAAAGTTTAGAACTTTGTCTCACACATACTCACGTGCAGGCAAAAATAAGCCTGGGGATATGCATGTAGCACACTCAGTTTTGATGTACAGATGTCATTCTCCTCCTCCTCTTTCACCACCGCCACCAACACCCCATCATCGTCATCATCAAGACCAAACACTTTCACGCGTTGCCTCTCACTTAGTTTTCACGGCAACTTCAGGAGGGGAGAATTACTATCTCCACTTTACAGATGAAGAAACTGAGGCACAGAGAGGTAAAGCCATGCATGCACCCAAGGTCCTAGACTCCCAGTGGGGTGAGGTGAGTGAGTAAGTGAGGGATCCAAGTGCAGGGTCCAATCCAGGCTTTATTTAAAATTTTCTTCATAGGTTGTTCATCAAGGATTTATTTTTGCATTAATTTAGACTTTTAAAATATTGCATTAAAATGTGATTCCTCTTGATCACTGAGTTTTTTGGCAACCCCATAAATTTTGCCCCTGAGGCGAGTGCCTCGGTCATCTCATTCTGTCCCTGGCCTTGGCAGAGCCCAAATTGGAATCCAGGCCTGTTAATTCTAAAACTGTGTGCTCTTAACTCTTCCCTAGGCTGTCTCCTTGCCCCTACATATGTGCACGCCTGCATGCGTGCCTTCAGCCATGTATTCATTCAGTAAGCATTACTATGGCAATATGGCATAGTGGAGAGGCAGGGGCTTGGACATCAGACAGCTCCAGGTTTAGAATCTTACTCTGCTGCTTGTTATTGAATGGAAATTGAGCCTGTGGTTAGGATACAGACTCTAGATCCCAGAATGCTTTGGTTTGAATCCTTACTCTGGTACTTACTAGCTATGTAAGCTTGGGTGAATTCTTTTTTTCTTTCTGAGATGCAGTCTTGCTCAGTTGCCCAGGCTGGAGTGCAATGGTGTGATAATAGCTCACTGCAGCCTCGATCTCCTGGGCTCAAGCAATCCCCCCGCTGACCTCAGCCTCCTGAGTAGCTGGGACTACAGGTGTGCGCCACCACACCTGGCTAATTTTTTTTTTTTAATTGTTAGTAGAGACAAGGTCTTGGTATGTTGCTTAGGCTGGTCTTGAACTCCTGAGCTCAAGTGATCTTCCTGCCTCAGCCTCCCAAAGTGCTGGGATTACAAGCACGAGCCACCATGCTGGCTTGGGTTCTTTAGAATACTCCTTTGCCTTGGATGTCTCCTCTGTAGAGAGGGATGATAGGAATAACATCTACCCTGTAGAGTTATTGGGGGGTTAAGTTAATTTCTGTAAAGCCCTTGGCATATACTAAGTGCTTTGTAAATGTTAACTCCTATTTTGTTTCCTTGAGCAAGACACCTTTCTGAACCTCAGTTTCCCCACCTGTGAAGTAGGGACCGGTAAACACTACCTCACTACCTCACAGTTTTGAGGTTTGTAAGGGATAAAAGCCCTGGTGCCTAGTAGAAGCTTAAGGGAATTTATCCCCCTTACCGTGCGCCCAGTTCTCTGCTGTAGACTGAGATAAAGACACACACACATCAGCTCCCCAGGGAATTAACTCATCTGTAGAGAGTGGACACTCTGACTTGGCTTTGCAGCTCCTCGAAGGCACAAAGCTCTTCCTCAGTCTCAGAGTCTTTGCACATGCCCTTCTGTCTACCTGGCTCATTGACCCGCCCACCTCTTAGGGGCCTAACGTATGTGTTTCTTCAAGTCTCAACTCAAATGTCAACTTCCTCAAGGAATCCTTTCCTGACCAGCCCACCTCCACCACCCATCAACATTAAGTCTTTCTGTCCTGCATTTTCATTGTATTCTCTACTCCTCCTTCACGGCATATTTCACAATTATAATTAGGTACTTTTTATTTAATTGCATTTTATTAAATAGTTTTTGTGTCTGTTTACTAGCCAGCTCCCTCATCTGACAGTAGCCTTTCTGGTCCACAGAGTCTCTGTCCTCAGTTCCTGGCCATGCTCAGCTCCTGGCACAGGCTCTGGCACATGCTCAGCTACTGGTATAGAGCAAGCTTGTCTAACCCTTGCCCATGGGCCCCATGCAGCCCAGGACAGCTTTGAATGTGGCCCAACACGAATTCGTAAACTCTATTAAAATGTTATGGGATTTTTTTTGTGATTTGTTTTTTTTAAGCTTATCAGCTATCGTTAGTGTTAGTGTATTTTCTGTGTGGTCCATGACAATTCTTCTTCTTCTGGCCCATGGAAGCCAAAAGATTGGACACCACTGCCCTAGAGTTACGTTGCCTGGGTTCAAAATCCCAGTTCCTGCACTTCAGGACTCTGTGACCTTGGGCAAATTGCTTAACCTGTTTGCACTTCAATTTTCTTTTCTGTAAAATAGGGATAATAATAACAGCACCAGCTTCCTAAGGCATTAGAATGAGCATATGAGATAATCTTCATAACTCCTTTAGAACCATGCCTGGCCCATTAGGAAATTGGACTGTTATTACTTTAGTAGGTACTTCTGTGAGTTAAGCTAAGCTGACAGCTGAAACAGACATCTCCCAAATCTCAGGTACTTAAGACAATGAATATTTAAAATTTGCTCCTGTCACGTGCAACTGTGGGGCTGTGGGAAGGGGCTTTGCTCCATGCAATCATTTATGGGCTCACATTTCTTAACTTGGAGTCCACAGGAGGGTCTGTGGATAGATTTCAGGGGTCCATGAACTTGGACGGTGTAGGTTAGATTCCCTAGAAGTAGAGCCTGAAGTGGGGATTCTTGTGTAAGTGATTTACTGAGGGAGGCTTTCAGGAGAGAGAAGAATGAGAGGCAGGATGGCGTAGGGAAGGAGATGAGCTGAGATGTGGTCTCAGCTGGAGACCTGCTTCAGCCAGTCCACCGGGGGCTCTGGAGCATGGATTGTACCTGCTGCAGCTGGAGTTCCTTCCTCTTGAGGCAAGAGGAGGCTGACCAGTACCAGTCATTGGTATGGGCTGCCTAGGTTTAGGGGTAGGCAGGGCAGGATTTTTTTTTTTTTTTTTTTTTTGAGATGGAGTCTCACCCTGTTGCCCAGGCTGGAATGCACTGGCGCAATCTCGGCTCACTGCAAGCTCCGCCTCCTGGGTTCATGCCATTCTCCTGCCTTAGCCTCCCGAGTACCTGGGACTACAGGCGCCCGCCACCATGCCCGGCTAATTTTTTGTATTTTTTAGTAGAGATGGGGTTTCACCATGTTAGCCAGGATGGTCTCCATCTCCTGACCTCGTGATCCGCCTGCCTTGGCCTCCCAAAGTGTTGGGATTACAGGCGTGAGCCACCGTGCCTGGCTGGCAGGGCAGTATTTTAACTTCTGGAACAAGGTGGCTTCTATGGGCTACAATTCTCTGGGGTAGTAAGGAGCCATTAGCAGCCAACACTCACATCAGCCGGGGGTAGGCACATTTGCCCAGTGAAGGGATCTGCATAGGGCACCAGAAGTACCCACTACAATGAGAAAAGCTACATCTGTATTTTTATTAACTCCAACTGAAATGTAGCCTTCTCTTCAATTATGGAAATAGGCAATAAACCATAATAGTAGTAGTAGCAGCTGTGACTTTGTCACCAATAGAAATCTCATATATTTTCATGTCATATTATATGTTGTAATTAGATATCCTTGAAATATCCTTTATGCTTATCTATACTTTAAAATTACAGTAGTTAACAGACCTGATATTTTGTTTAATGTGATTATAAAGATATAGATTATTATTTTACAAATGTGTTCTTTTAAATATTTTGGAAACAGTATGTCAAGTAACTGCATCCTTTTGTAATCCTATGTATATTATTATGCATTCAAAAACATTATTCTGAGAAGGGATCCATAGGCTTCACCACACTGCCAAAGGGATCTGTGACACAGAAGTTAAGTCCCTATTCTGGGGACTCAGCCTGCTCTGCATTCAACCAGCAATGCTGGGGAAAAAAGAGAGGGCACAGAAGTTTTTATGGGCCAAGCCTGGAAATAGCATACATGATGTCTTCCCATAATGCACTGGCCAGAACTCAGTCACCTGACCACACCTAACTGCAAGGGAGGTTGGGAAAGGTAGTCTATCTAAGTGCTCAGAAAGAAGAAGAAATGATCTGGAGAATGCATAGCAGTCTGGGCCATGAGGCTCAATAAATATTCATTGACTGCCTGCGTGAAAGAATGCTGTGTTTAGCATGTCTCTTTGTGGGTTGGGGAGAAGGGGCAGAAGGCTGGTTCTCTGGAAGGATCCTGAGTCTTCTGCCACATTGTCTCCATAGGACAAGCCACGCCAAGGCCAAAGCTGAGGCAGCGGAACAGGCCGCCCTGGCTGCCAACCAGGAGTCCAACATTGCTCGCACTTTGGCCAGGGAGCTGGCTCCGGACTTCTACCAGCCAGGTAGGGCCAGCCAGGGAAGGATGGGCAGGGTAGGGCTATCCCTAGGGTGGGCGCTTTTCTTTGCTTACTGGAATCTGAGATGCCCAAGTGGTTTCCTGGATGCCCGTGAGTCTCAGAAACTGGGGCATGGTGCAAATGTGGGATGGGATGATGCAGGGGTAGGTGGGGAGACACATCTCTGCCTTCATGCTGAGCTCGAGGGGAGGGCAGCAGAGTCACTCCAAGTGGTCTTTTCTCTCTGCTCTGAGCAGGGAAGACAGTTGGAGCTGGTGAAGCTTAGAGGAGAGAAGTCACTGGTGGATGAGAGGGAAAAATGGCTTCTTGCACTTGCCCAACAGTTTCAGTCAAGCATTGAGCACTGTCCATGTGTCAGGCACTGTACCAGGCTCTGGGGTTACATAAGTGGGTTCCAAAATCTAGGGGAGCAGAGAGTCACAAAAACAACAGAGCTAGGGGTACCATAAACAGACTCTGCATTCATTCAAACCCTGATTCCGCTGCTTCCCAGCTGTGAGACTTTGAGTGAGGTGTTTAACCTCTGTAAACCTCAGTTTCCTGATCTGTAAAATGGTAGTAAGAATGGTGCCTGCTTTTTTGTGCATGGATTAAATGCATGTAAGGTACATTCCCAGTCCTCAGTAAGCTCTCAGTGACTGTGGCTGTTGTTTCATGATTATGGTTCCATTTCACACAGCAGGATGAGCACTGTGCGGTTAGAATGGGAGAGGAGGGAGCTCACAGGAAGCAGTTAGGCAAGAGGAAGTGTTAGAGAAGGCTGCCCTCAGGAGAGGCCATTTGAGCTGAATCTTGCAGGCTGAACAAGAGTCTATCAAGTCAGTGGGTCTCAAATTTGACACAGATTGCTGGGTCCACCCCCAGAGTTTCTGATTCAGTAGGTCTCAGGTGGAGCCCATGAATGAATGTGCATTTCTAAGGATCAGGCGATGTGGATACTGCTAGTCTGAGACCACACTTTGAGAGCTGCTGTACCAGATAGCGCTGGGTGGGATGAGTGGAGGAGGTGCAAAGGCACAGAAACTCGGACAGAGCAGCATGCCAGGAAGCCACATCACAAAGTAGGCTGTGGGTCCTGAGAATCGAGGCTGCAGAGTAAGGAGGACCTCCCGGCCTTGGTAGAGATCTGGCACATGGATAGAGTGGTGGGAACCCCTGAGGGACAGAGATGGGGATTCTCTGCGATGAAGGTTTTGTTTTTTTGTTTTTTTTGAGACGGAGTCTCGCTCTGTCACCAGGCTGGAGTGCAGTGGCGCGATCTCAGCTCACTGCAACTTCCGACTCCCTGGTTCAAGCAATTCTCCTGCCTCGGCCTCCTGAGTAGCTGGGATTACAGGCACGCGCCACCATGCCCAGCTAATTTTTGTATTTTTAGTAGAGACAGCATTTCACTATGTTGGCCAGGATCGTCTCGATCTCCTGACCTTGTGATCCGCGCGCCTCGGCCTCCCAAAGTGCTGGGATTACAGGCGTGAGCCACCGCGCCCAGCCATGAAGGGTTTTTAAGTTAATGACATGATCAGATGTGTGTTTTCTAAACGTGATCCTGGCTGCAGAAAGGAGGCCAAAGGAGGCCTGATGAAAAACCTAGGAGCGAAAACCTATGCCTGGGAGGATCCCTCACTTCTGGTCACAGCGCTCCCCCTGCTGGTCTATGCCGGTGCGGGGCCCTGAGCTCCGCCTTTGACATGCATTTTCTCAATCCTTCCATTCGTATTTATAAAATAGGTATGATCAGGCCCATGTTTCAGATAAGGGAATGGAAAGAGACGCGTGCCAAAGTAAAGGGCATCGCCTCTGGAGCCAGACTGCTGGGTGCTAGTCCTGGCTCTGCCCTTCGACAGCTGTGTGTCTTTGGGCAAGTGATTTAACCTCTCAGAGCCTCCCTTTGAGGTTCACAGTAGCATCAACTTCATAGGGATACTACAGGGATTAGATGAGTTAATATTTGGAAAGTGCTTGGAACAGTGCCTGGCACTTGGTCAGTGCTATGTGAGTGCCGACTGAGCCCATGAATGAGGCTCGAGAGGTGAAGTGGCTGGCCCAGGATCACCCAACAGTGGTGCGGGGTTCGAGCCCAGCCTCCCTGTGTTGCCCTGGCAGGTCCGGAATATCAGAAGCGCCGGCTGCTGCAGGAGATCCTGGAGAACTCGGAGAGCCTGCTGGAGCCCCCCGACCGGGGCGCCGGCGCAGCGGGCCTCCCACAGCCGCCCCGCGAGAGCCCGCAGCTGCACGAGCGTGAGACCCCTCGGCCCGAGGGTGGCTCCCCGTCACCGGCCGGGACGCCCCCGCAGCCCAAGCGGCCCAGGCCCGGGGTGTCCAAGGACGGCCTGCTGAGCCCAGGCGCCTGGAACGGCGAGCCCAGCGGTGAGGGCAGCCGGTCAGTCACTCCGTCCGAGGGCGCGGGCCGCCGCAGCCCCGCGCGTCCAGCCACCGAGCGCATGGCCATCGAGGCTCTGCAGGCACCGCCTGCGCCGTCGCGGGAGCCGGAGGTGGCGCTTTACCAGGGCTACCACAGCTATGCTGTGCGCACCACGCCGCCCGAGCCCCCACCCTTTGAGGACCAGCCCGAGCCCGAGGTCTCCGGGTCCGAGTCCGCGCCCTCGTCCCCGGCCACCGCCCCGCTGCAGGCCCCCACGCTCCGAGGCCCCGAGCCTGCACGCGAGACCCCCGCCAAGCTGGAGCCCAAGCCCATCATCCCCAAAGCCGAGCCCAGGGCCAAGGCCCGCAAGACTGAGGCTCGAGGGCTGACCAAGGCGGGGGCCAAGAAGAAGGCGCGGAAGGAGGCCGCACTGGCGGCAGAGGCGGAGGTGGAGGTGGAAGAGGTGAGGCTGTCGGGCAAGGTGTGCCTAAGGTCGGGTTCCCTAGAGGTAGCAGGGCTTGAGGGAGGATTCAGGGGCAGGGGATTTGGGGGTTGCTGGGGTGCGAGAGACCGAAGCAGGATAGAGCAGGAGGAAATGCTGCAGGGCTGGGGATTAGGGGAGCATAGCCTTGGCTTGGTCCACAGAGGACGTTGGAGCGTAAATGGCCGCATGGAGTCCTCCTACCTTTGCACCTGGTATCCCATTGGCAGAGACAGTTCTCATGAGCAGGGGCAGCTGGGAGCCTGAGCAGCTGGAGGGTGGGTCCATTTGCCCAGTCAGGGGGGTTGGGCTGGGCACCAGCAGCATCTGCTACAAGGTGTAGCAGTGAGGGCTTCATGGAGGTGGAAGAAGGGCCCAACAGGATTTGGGTTATAGACCTCCTGACTTATGGGAGGCAGGGAGCTAGGAACGGCGGCAACAAAGACTGAAGCTGGGCTTTGGGGGACTGAAGAATGCGTCCCAAGGGGAATTAGCAGGATGCCTGGGTTCCAGGCCTGATTCACACACTATATGACTTGGGGCATGATCTTGTCCCTCCCTGGGTCCTGAGGGATTTGGTTATTTCTAAGAGTCCTTCCAGCTGTGATGGTCTGCCATCCAGGTGACAGGATACAGCAGTGAACAAAGCCGGCAATGCTCTTAGGAAGGTCCATCCAGAAGTTCCTGCTCTGTCCAGCCTTGCTGTGACCTGGGTGGGGGGTGTCTCCGAGGCCATGGGGACTCAGGAAGCCTCTCTCCACTGCTCCCAGGTCCCCAACACCATCCTCATCTGCATGGTGATCCTGCTGAACATCGGCCTGGCCATCCTCTTTGTTCACCTCCTGACCTGACCGTCGCTTACCAGGTGCAGCCAGCTGGCTGGAGGAGGGGTTGGGGGGCAGGAGCCCCTGGGGAGTTTTGAGCACCAGGGTGGTGGGAGGAGGGACCTACTCGGTACTTGGATGACAGTCCTGTGACTAATTGAGGCCCACCCACCTGCAGAAGCCAAGACCTAGAGTGTGATTTGATACCAGCGCACACACACACACACACACACACACACACACACACACACACACACTTACTTCATTAGCTTAGTGTTTGCAGAGCACCTGCTCTCTGTCAGGTGAGCACTGAGGGCTTCATTCACTCATTCATTTGGCCAACATGTACTGCTCTGCTGGGAGATGGGGATACAGCAGGGACTCACTCCTGCTCCAAGAATGGGGTGAACATAATGAAAGTAACCCTGAACTTAGAGCTCATTACAGAAAAGTCTTACCGTTCAAACACTGAGCACAACAGGTCTAGACTGAGCTCACCTGGGACGGTGGGACACTCATCTCCGTGCTCCCTTTCTCTCTTCCCCACTTCAGTCTTTAATCCCTTGGCACACCCAGCCTGCTCCTGTTCCTCTGCCCATTGGTTCCCTCTCAGTTTTTTCCCCATGATGGAGCTGGGGGCTGGGGTAAGTTCCCGTGAAGTGGAGTGGGCTGGGCTGGGCTGAAGGAGAGTGGCCCTCACTGCTCTCAAGGTGAAGCATCTACAAGACAAAATCTTCCCCCTGCTGGAACTAGCCTTCACAGCCTCAATCCCATGCTTGGCAATAATAACAGGGTTTCTGCCTTTTCCTCAGGCCCCCTTTTTTGATCCTAGCTTAGTTTGGGCTGGAGGTTCTTAATCAGCCCCAGGAAAGTCTATGCTGTCACCATGTAAACAGTCAATGACAATACCAGCCTGGTAAGTGCTGCCGTAGGGGTGAACACTTGAGCTCTGCAGGTTCCATGTTTCAACAGGGGCTCTGGGAATGCTTCCTGCAGGCACTGATTCCTTTAATGACCTGAAGGGTGAAAAGGAGTGAACCAGATGACAGTGGGGGAGGAAGAGGGAAGAGATGAGTGCAGCAGCAAAGGGAACAGCATGTGTAAATAAACAGGCAGGCAGCCAGGGCCAGGAGAGGCCTCGGGGACCCGTTTGTGACCTGCCGAGTATCAGAATCAAGGGACAGGGCTGTCTGGGGGGATGCAGAGGTGGGATCTTGCCCCAGAGAAGATGAGCCCCAAGGCTTGAGCCCTGCACCTGGCTTGGCGGCCCAGCCTCTGCCCTCCCTCCCTTGCCTGACCCTTTTGCTGTCTCTTTGCAGAGCCAGAAGTTCCTGCTGAGGACATGAGGACCCGTCTTTTTGCAGTGCCAGGCAGGGTGGCCAAAGAGGACTGGACTCTGGACCTGGAGCCCCGTGGTCCAGTTCACATTCACCCCACAAGAGTTTCAGGAGGCCTCCCACGGTGCCTGTGCTGGGTGGCGGTGGTGGTGCCAAGAGGAATGGAATGTCCTGGGCTCCTTCAGGAGCTCTCTACCCAGGGGCAAGGAGAGCCCAGAGAGAAGCGCCCTGGTCTCTTGAGCTTCCTGATCTGCTCCTGTCCCCCGCTCTCCTCCACTCCCTTGCCTTTCCCTAGGTTGTCCCCTCCCTGGGCTTTTGTGTGTTTTGGGAGATGTCACCTAACCAGGACATTGATATTCAATCCCATCCCCCTTCCTCCCACCCTGCCCCACTTTGATTTAATCCTTTGGCTGTGGGCTGAGGCCTCCCAGGGAAGCTGGGTGGGGTGGGTGTTGAGACCCCCTCAGACCAGCACAGAGACCTGTCCTTGTGCAGTCTGCACCCTGCACTCCCTCCCTTGCCTGTAGATGTTCTGGATGACAGTAGAGGAAATGGACAAGGTCAGTTTGAATATCCCAGAACACAGTGCTCTGTCTCCTCCCACCAGTCCAGTTAGCTTCCCTTCTGGACCAATAGACGAGGGGAGACCCCATGGATCCTCTGGCTGGGAAGCCACTGACCAGGTGGCCAGGGGGCAGGGTGGGAAGAGGGGTTAAGGTGCAGTGATGATGGCCTGTTTTGGAGTGTGTCTGAGACTGGGATTGCATTTGGGGTTTCCCGTGTGCTTGGGATGCTAGAGGGTCACCTGCAGGAGGCCTGGGGCCGGCGAGAAATCTCCTGTGATGCCCTGTGAAATGGCTTGTCTCCTCCCCCATCAGGGCCCACCGAAAGCTCAGGGGAGCACAGAAGCCCATGGAAGCCCAGGGAGATGTCCCTGGGGCAGACACTAAGGCAGGTGTTGAAGACAAGCTGCTTGTCAAGAAGCATTTCCCGGCAAGAGAGGGGCAAGTCTGGGGCTCCAACTGGGTACAGCCTGGGTGCAGTTATAAGCCCCTTTGGCTTACTTGGTAGAAGATGGCTACTTGGATGTACCTCACTTAAAGATGTTTTGTACCACACTAGGTCTCTGGGCCCTTGTGCTTCCTGTGGGTGGGGTGAGGGCCAAAGGCTATGGTTTCCTGCCTCCAGGAGAATGGAGAGAAAGGGCTTCCAGGCCCCTCCAAGCCTGGGGAAGGACGTGGCATCCAAGCTGAGCCAGAGGGAACTGCTGCTGTCCTCCCTTCATTTCTGTGGACCTTGGAGGCTTTGGCTTTGTGGCAGGGCCTCCCCAGGCAGCTCTGGGACCTAGGAGTTTGCTTCTGATAGGGTCAGCTTTCCCATTTCCCTTCAATGCTTGGGAACCTTCTCCCTTAGCTTCACACTTGCCGTTTCAAGCCCTGCTGGGACCTTGTGGCTTGGCTGGAATCCAGGACTGTATTTTCATGGAGAAGAACCTGCAGATTCTTCCATCCTCAGCTGGCCATGGCCCACAGCTCTGCATCTGCATCTGAGCTTCTCAAGACTCCTGGAGCATGAGGGGAATGGGGCGGGGCCACTGCTCTGTGCTGACGGGCTCCGTCTCGGAGATTCTTGTCCTGTTTTTTTTCTGTTGTTTTTTTTTGGCTGGTGCTGGGGACAAGCCTGTGCCTGCCAAAGCTCCCAGGCCAAGTTTGGGGGCTGGTGTTTGGGGTTGGGTTTGGGGTTCAGGATGCTGCAGTCTGTGCAATAATAAACCCGCATCTGCTCACGGGCTCTGGCTGGGCTGCAATGTGCTTGTGGGTCCAGGATGAGGGGCTGGCTCAAGGAGGGTGGGTGGGAAGAGGCTGGGGGACGTGGGTCCTTCCCATCTGTGTCCTTGTTCTCACGATCCTTGAGGGGCAGCTGAAGGGCTTCAGTTTGAGTGGGGGCTGAAAGACCATAGAGCTTCTACAGTGGAGTTTCTAAAGCAAACTTCCAGAAACTTCTATGAGTAGATGACAATAGAATCAAGAGCCTGCCCTTTGAGGTGGAGTCCCCCCAGCCTCCAATGCTAGCCCAGCCACTTTCTTCGCTTCTCTGAGCCTCAGTTTTCTCATCTATAAAATGGGGATAATTACAGAGCCTACCTCCTGGTAGTGAGGATTACATTAGATGTTGAGGCTGTAGAAAGCAGTGGAGAAATGGAGACGAGTGTTGTTATCACGCTATGGTGCTGTTAGCTCTGCTACAAGCCCTCTTGCGTTTTGGTAGAGGATCCCAGGGACCCCAAAGGGATGGAGGTGATTCAGATACCAGTTGTTTAGTCAGAATATCTCAATCAGTGGGGGAGCCTGAGGGGATCGCCACATTCCACAGAGGCTTAGAGCAGAGGGACTTGCCCAAGGTCACGCACACAGCAAGTTGGTGGCAGGAAAGCAGTTCTCTTGACTTTTTAGGAATAAGTACTGCCCATGAAGTTACTCTCACAGCCGGTGGTTCCCAGCGAGGGGGTTGGAGAAGAAGGTCCCTCAACCAACAGTAGGCTCGAGTTCAGGCACACCCTGTCCTCAGGAGCCTGGCTCCCCTACCCAACCCAGCCCTATCACTGATGGGCCATGTGCTCCCTCACTCCCTCTTTCTGTGCCTCAGTTTCCTCTTCTGCTGAGGAGACTCTAATCCCTGCCCCATGGTCTTCCTCATAGGCAATGCAGTTGTGAGGCTCAAATGAGATAGATTATGGTGATAAAGAGGTTTTAAGCTGGGCATGGTGGCTCACACCTATAATTCCAGCACGTTAGAGGAGGCTGAGGCAGGTGGATCACTTGAGGTCAGGAGTTTGAGACCAGCCTGGCCAACATGGCAAAACCCCATCTCTACTAAAAAAGAAAATACAAAAATTAGCCAAGTGTGGTGGCGCGTACCTGTAAACCCAGCTAGTTGGGAGACTGAGGCAGGAGAAGCACTTGAACCCTGGAGGCGGAGGTTGCAGTGAGCCAAGATCAAGCCACTGCACTCCAGCCTGGGTGACAGAGCAAGACTCCATCTGGAAAAAAAAAAAAACACAAAAGTTTTCAAAACTCTGGAATGATGCTGGGATTCCAGGAAGGATGGGCTTGGAGGAAGCACAGGAGGGGAGGTGGGAGTGGAAATGGGGAGGGAATTGTTATCTGTAGCCTTTGATAAAAACCCACAGAGGGAAAGCAGGTGGGCAGCCAGCCCAGTTGGCCGGTCTGCAGATGGGGTGTGTCTGTGTGTGTGTGTGTATGTGTGTGTGTTGGATGAGTTGGGGGCAGGGGTGGCTGTATTGAACTCACTTTGGATGGTGTGCAAAGGAGGCGGCTTCCTGAGCCCCAGGTTTGGAGACTCAGAGCCAGGTAGGGTTAGTCGGAGACAGCACCCCCTGTTGGCTCAAGGGTAGGACACAGCCAGGCCGATGCCTCCTCTTCTAATCTTGACCACAGGCAGCTCTAGGAAGTCTGATGGGTCTCCTGCCATGCCCGGAATGCATTTAAGGTGGTTTGTACCATGCATGAACTTAAAAGCAATGCTGGCCCACTGCCTTGAGGTCTCTGCAGGACTCTTCCAGGGCAGTGAAAGGGAGGGGACCTAGGAACCGTGGGAGTCAGATTTGGGATTCGGGCAAGAAGGGAAGTTTCATAATCTGATGGACCCACAGAAGACCTGGCTGTTCTGGGAGAGATGCAGGCCCAGATGATGACCTTTGGAGGTGCCATGCCTGAAAAACTGATATGAAGATGCTCTCCCCCAAATAAGTGACTCAGAATACAAATAATACCTAAACTGTAAAACATAAAACTTGCATGTATGCTGAAATTAAAATAGCTCTTAGGTTCTTGTTTTGTGCAAAACTCTGACTATGCCTATGGAGGCCAGTTCCCACTCCCTCACTCTCTCAGCCTGTCTTGCTGGTACACTCAATGGAGTCAGGTGGCCGTAGGTCAGGCCCTGTGCTAAGCCCTTCACCTCCTGTATGTGGTGGCAGAACAGCTGTGTGGTTCAGAACATGGTTGCTGGTTCAAATCTTGGCTCTGTCCCTTAACATCTAGAACTTTCTTACTTTTCTGGGGGTGATGAATACCATGTTACCTGCCTCTTCAGATAGAAAATATGAACACAGCACTTAGAACAATTCCCAGCATGGTGTGAGCAGATGGTAAATGCACTGCTATTTTCCATTCTTCGCAGTATCTCCATGGTGTAGGTATTCGTCCACCCATTTTGCAGATGAGGAAAATTGAGCCTTGGGGAGATGGAGTGATTGGTTCAAGGTATCACAGAGAGGGAAGGACAGAGCTGGGACTGAAACCCAGAGCTGTGCTCTTTTACAGAACCACACTGCTCCCACCATGAAAGAGTGAGCTTCCCATCACTGCAGATGAGCCAGCTGAGGGGAGATGCTAGTCAACAGGGATGTGGCAGGGGACATTTGTCTATTGGATATTAGTGGATGTGATGATTCAGAATTCCTGAAGGAGTTCAGGGAAGGAAGTTTCCTTCTTCTCTGAAGAAGCTTGAGGAAATAACTCCTTAGGTTGTCAGAGATGGAGGCACTCTAAGATATCAGCTCATCTGGCCCCCTGTTTTTCATATGGGGAAACAGGTCTGGAGAGAGTGTCGTGATTTGTAAGGATCACACAGCAAGTCAGTGACAGAGCCTGGACTGAGCGGGGAGTCATATTTTGTCCACAGACCAACTGCAGGTGAGACCCTCATGTACGGCAACAGATGCCAGGGCACCTCATGTGTCAGAACATTCACCATTCACTCCAGGCTGTCTTGACCAGGTGCCTACATTACAGTCACTTCTTCTTCCTCTTTTCTTTTTTTTTTTTTTTGAGACAGAGTCTCATTCTGTCACCCAGGCTGGAGTGCAATGGTATACAGTCACTTCTTAGTGACCTTTTAAAGCTATTTACATCTTGAGGCTGTAAAGTCAGCAATCTTGAGGCTGTAAAGTCAGCAAAGTCTGAGGGAACAATCTCCCCCTCTCCCTTCAGACCCCAGATACAAGTTTGGGGATCTCCAGGGCCACCATCAGTTCATACTGACTGGCTACAAACAAGGGGGTTCCTATGATTATCCTCATACTCAATAATTCACTAGAAAGACTCACAGAACTCACTGAAAGCTATTCTACTCAAGTCACATTGATTACAAGCAAAGAATGCGAATCAGAACCAGCCAAGGGAAAGGGACATAGGAAGGAATCTGGGAGGGTTCCAAATGCTAAACACCCGTGTCCTCGGTATCTGTTACCTTGCCAGCATTGATAAGTAACAGTATGACAAAGTATGGCCAACCAGGGAAGCTAACCAGTGCTTCAGTGTCCAGAGTTTTTATTGGGACTTCATTATGTAGAGGTGATTGATTGAATCATTTCCCACATGGTTGAACTTAACCTCCATACCCCTCCCCACACCCAAAGGTCAGGCTGACATCACATAGCCCAAAGCCCCAATCTTTTAACCCTGTGGTTGATTTTTCTGGCATGGCCAGCACTCACTATAAGCCATCTGGTTAGCATAAGCTGTGAGTTGTGGTCCCAGGAGCCCACCATGAATAACAAAGACACTCCTGTTAATCAGGATATCCTAAGGGTTTAGAAATTACTTCCTAGGAGCCAGGACAAAAATCAGACCTCTCCCTCAAGGCCCAGTTGCTAACTACACAACCCTGTATCTCTTCCTATCCACAGCTTCTCCACTAGACTGAGTTCCTTAAGAGAGGGGCTATCTGTGATTCATCTCTATATCCATGCATTAGTTAGTGTAAGCTTGGCTGAGGTAATTGACTCCACAGTTTATAATTGCTATACACCATATAAGTTTGTCATAGAATAGCTGTCCCTCATCATAATGATTCAGGGACCCAGGTTTTTTCCATCTGTGGTTCTACATATCCTAGGGCTTTTTTGGTCTCTGCATCTGCCAAAGGAAAAGGAAAGAGAGTATGGAGGATGGAATTTGCTTCCTAAAAACTTTCACCAGGAAAACAGCACACATCACTTCTGCTCATATTCCACTAGCCAGAGCTCAGTTGTTTGGCCTCAACTAGCTTCAAGGGAGGCTGGGAAATACGGACTACATGTGTCCTCAGGGAGAAGAGAAGGATGTGGGTTTTGGTAAACAGACAAGACAGTACAGCCTGTAGTACCATCCCCATTGTCCCACTTAGGTCTCGGGGCAGAGTAGACATTCAGTGAGTGCTTATTGAGGAAATGGATATGGTGGCCATAAGAGGCAGTATGGTTGGGGAGTGGGGATGGGTTGGGGCTTTGGAATTGGACAGACCTAGTTTCTAATCCTGGCTATATCACTTCTTTGCTGTATGTGGAAGATGCCATCACTGATTGGATTCTGCAGGAGCAGACACTGAGAGTCACCTAAGCTGCAAGATGTTTATTAGGGATCAAAACCTGTGAAAGGAAGGAGGAAAATGCAGAACAGGGCAGAGGAAGAAGTCTAACTTGATGCAGGCCTGACAAAGTCCAACCCAGTGGGAGCTCCAGAGCAAGGATTGCTTGTAGAGCATCTCCCATTGGGCTTTTATACCCCTCCCTTGCTCTGTTACTGGGTGATATGGTTTGGCTGTGTTCTCACCCAAATCTCATCTTAAATTCCCACCCACACGTTGTGGGAGGGACCCAGTGGGAGGTAATTGAATCATGGGGGCAAGCCTTTCCCGTGCCGTTCTCGTGGTAGTGAATAAGTCTCATGAGATCGATGATTTTAAAAAGAGGAGTTACTCTGCACAAGTTCCTCTCTTTGCCTGCTGCCATCTAGTAAGATGTGACTTGCTCCTCCTTGTCTTCCACCATGATTGTGAGGCTTCCCTAGCCACTTGGAACTGTGAGTCCCATTAAACCTTTCTTTTATAAATTGCCCAGTCTCAGGTATGTCTTTATCAGCAGCATGAAAACGAACTAATAAACTGGGTATGGGCTGCTCTGGGAAGGGCATGACCTTGGGTGAGACAGCTCTCTGAAGCTGGGGCAGACCCTGAAGGAACTGACAACTGGAAGTTGTCTGCTGACCACACTTCCCACTGCAGAGAAGCAAGTCCTTCTTGAAGGGATAAATGCATGATGCTTCTCTTTCTCTACCACATACCCAACAGCCATTCCTAACCCTGCTCCTATCTCTGCCTCCACTACAGAGGCGTGAGCAAAACTCATGATCAAAACTCATTTCCTAGCTTCCTTTGCATCTAGGAGTAGCCTTGTGATCCAGGAGACGTAATTGTCCACGAAACATAAGGGAAAGCTCACTTGGGGTTTCCTGAGAAAGACTTTCTTCTATGATAAAAGAAGAGATGAAAGCAAACAAAGTCTCTCTTGCTACCTTGGCTTTCCCCCTTATTCTTGCTTTTGGATGCAGGTTGGGGGTCGTGGGTGCTGATGCTTGGAGCTGTGGCAGCCATTTCACAACCATGAAAGGAAGGTCAAGAGAATTGCCAAGATGCCAACCCAGTTGATTCTGAAGCTACTGAATCAACTCTTGAACCATCTACAACCAGACTTCTTGTTAAGTAAACAATAACTGTTCTCAAGATTTAAGCCCCTCTTCATCAGGTTTTTTGTTACTTGGGGCCAAACACATTCTAACTGTTAAAATGTATGATCCAGGGCAGGTTACACAATGTCTCTTAAACTTCATGCTTTTGTTGAGATCTTTCTGACACACCAAAGCTCTTCCCATACCCCAGATGCTTCTCTACACAGGAGGTTTCCTGGCAGAGCATGGGTATGTGTGTGGGAATGGGGGAGTGGTGGATGAGGGGGGTGCAATTAATGTGGCCTTTGTACAGAGCCCATTACAAATGGGTGGGATTGGTTATGTGCACAAGGTGGTTTTTAGGTATGTGGATGAGGGGAAAAGGAGATCCCTGAGCCTCATCAGAAATATAAAAAGAAATTATAACATCATTTGAGATACATGAAAGTTAAGCAGAAAAGGGAGAGTGGAATGAAATTCTCAAAAAAGAAAGCAAGTGTAGTAGTGCAATATTGCTGTGATAATACTGCATGACAAGCAACCCTCACGATAACAACCATTTTTTTTCTTGCTCATAGATCTGTGGGTTGACTGTGTTGGCTCTGCTTCAGGCTAAGGGAAAGGTTCAGGTTTCCTCCAGTTGTTTCTCATGTTGGGACCAGTGCCAACGGAGCATGTTTATCTTACGGTGGATGGCAGAAGTGCAGGAATGAAAGCCTCTGCTCCTATCATGTCTGCTTAGATCCTATTGGCCAAATCAAGTCCCATGCCTGAGCCCAACAACAGTGGTGTGGGGGAAGTAAACTCTTCCAAATCTAGAGGCAGGTACTTACCACAAAAAAGTGGACATATGATTTCTTTTCTTTGAGACAGGGTCTTACTCTGTTGCCCAAGCTGGAGTGCAGTGTTACATCATAGCTCTTTGCAGCCTCAAATTCCTGGGCTCAAACTGTTCTCCCACCTCAGTCTCCCAAAGTGCTGCGATTACAGGCATGAGTCACCACACCTGGCCGTATTATTCTTTTATACGGAGTGAAGAATTGGGAATAAAATCCCAATCTACCACCGCAGGAGAAGTCACAGAGAAAAATACAGTCAGAGGAGGGGGTTCCTATGAGTGTCCAGTCTCCAGCCATGATGACATTATCCCTTCAGACTACCTGATCCTTTTGGGCTGCACTGATACTCACCAAGGACCCTCCCTCCAACTCCACTCATTATTTCATTTCACAAGTTCAGTTTTTTCCCCATGTTCTCTTCTTTCCTCATCTTTTCTTCCCCCCAATCCTATCTAATATCAGCCAGTAGAATTATCTTTCTTAGTATCTACTTGGATTGGGTCCCTATATCCAGGTAGAGACAGTGAGAAAAGCTAGTGATTACTCTTTTCTTAGACATGAACACCTGGACATTCCCCAGTTGGTGGTTTAACTTCTCCCTCTTTGTTCCTCCATTTATTTTTTAAAATATTTAAGGAAGTCAATGACTTACAGAACCTTTCATGGGCACTTGGATTAAAGAGATACAAGAGGCATAGTCCTTATACTCCAGGAAAGAAGACCTGGAATGTCTTACCTGATGGCCTGGCATTAAACATGCCAGGACAGAGGGATGTGCAGGAGGCTGTGAAAATACACAAAAGCATTGTGAGTTTGGAAGAGAGGGAATGGAGAGGACTCTGATTTTACCCCTACCTATCCTTCCAGGATGATTCCTGGCACACAGCTCTCTGTCTCAGACCCGTTAAATACAATTATTAGTGTGGTTATTGTTTATCTGCCTTTGCCAGTAGGCTGTAAACTCCGTGCACTTAGGGATGTGCCTATTTTGTTCATTTTTGTTGTCTTAGTCCTTTTGGGCTTCTGTAACACAATACCACAGCCTGGGTACCTTATAAACAACAATTTATTTCTCATGGTTTGGGAGTCTGAGAAGTCCAAGATCAAGGCACCAACAGATGTGATATCTGGGGAGGGACTGCTTTCTGGCTCTCAGATGGCACCTTCGCTCTGTGTCCTCACATGGTGGAAGGGGCAAGGCAGCTCTCTGTGGCCCCTTTCATAAGGGCACTAATCCCATTAATGAGGGTGAAACCCTCATGACCTAAGCACTCCCAAAAGCCCCACCTCCTAATATTGTCACATTGGCAATGAGGCTTCAACATATGAGTTTGAGGGGGACAGCAGCATTCAAACCATAGCACCTGGATTCCCAGGTTGTTACACAGCTCATTAATGGCTCATAATTGGCACCACTATGTTGTAAAAACTATTTTTTCCTGATTTCAATAAGAGTGAAAAGATCTCAAGGTGGTAGAAGGTAAGTGGCAGTACTTAACTTTCACAGACAAGGTGAGTGCAAGTTCTGTATGGGCAACGTGAACCAATAGCAATCAGAAGGTTTGACATGCAGGGATTTTTACCAGGAGCTAATCAATCCTGGTATCCTTGGGGAGATGAAATAGCTGGACCATCTGCTAAAGTATTACTGGACAAACTGTAGGTTTGATAGGCAAAAGTCTAACTTGAGTCACTGCAAAAGAAAGCCACGGCTTCATACCTAGTTCCCAGACCTAAATAAATTCACAGACCCAGAGAGCCTTGACTACAGAGGATGGACCTCACAATGACACCTTTGTTAGAGGACAAAGGTGTTCTTTCAGTTTTTTGAGGAATCTTCAAGGTGTTTTCCAAAAGGCTGTACTTATTTACATTCCCACCAAGAGTACACAAGGGTTCCCATCTCTTCACATCTTCACCAACACTTGTCACTCATCTGTTTGGTAATAGCCATTCCAACAGGTGTGAGGTGAAATCTCATTATGGTTTTAATGTGCATTTTCCTAATGATTAGAGATGTTGAGTATTTTGTCATGTATCTGTTGGGCAATTGTATCTAATCTTTAGTGAAATGCCTGTTCAGAACCTTTGCTCATTTTTAATTGGGTTATTTGTTTTCCTGCAGTTGAGTTTTTGAATTCCTTATATACTTTGGATATCAGCCCCTTTTCAGATTTATAGTTTGCAAATATTTTCTCTCAATTCATGGATTGTTTCTTCAGTCTGATAATTATTTCCTTTGTTATGTAGCCTGGAAGTTATGTAACCTAGAAGAAATGGATGACTTCCTAGAAGCATGTGACCTACAAAGATTGAATCTTTATGGGAAGTTTAAACATTAGTAATTCAACCTCTTTACTTTTTATAGGTCTACTTAGGTTATCTATTTCTTCTTGAGTCAGTTTTGGTAGTTTGTGTCTTTCTAGGAATTTGTCCTCCTCCACTCTTCTAGTGGACTTCTAGAATACAGATGCGATCATGCAGCTCTGTTGCTTACCTATGCCTTTTTTGGCTCTATATTTTCTGCAGCATTAATCTCCAAAATCAGGGGCAAGCAGTGCAAGGAATGCACAATATTGAATGTGAAAATAGATATTATTAATTTCTACATATGTATTATTGAAAAACAAATATGTTTAATATATTGCTAATATATTGAGAGTCATAATTGTGAATAAGCTTTAAAGGTATACAATTTCTTTCTTTACACTTTTATTTTAGGTTCAGAGGTACACATGTAGATTTGTTATATAGGTAAATTGCATGTCATGGGGGTTTGGTGTAGAGGTCGTTTCATCCCCCGGGTAATAAGCATAGGACCTGATATGTAATTTTTTTATCCTTACCCTCCTCCCAACTTCCACCCTCAGGTAGGCCCCAGCAACTCTTGCCCCCTCCTTTGTGTTCATGTGTATTCAATATTTGGCTCTTACTGATAAGTAAGAACACATGGTATTTGGTTTTCTGTTCCTGTGTTAAGTCTACTTAGATTAATGGCCTCCAGCTCCATCCATGTTGCTGCAAAGAACATAATCTTGTTCTTTTTTTTGGCTGTGTAGTATTCCATGGCATATAGGTATCACATTTTCTTTATCCAGTCTACCACTGATGGGCATTTAAGTTGATTCCATGTCTTTGCTATTGTGGATAGTGCTGCAATGAACATATATGTGCATGTGTCTTTATGGTAGAATGATTTATATATATGCCTTTGGGTATGTATCCAATAATAGGATTGCTGGGTTGAATAGTACTTCTGTTTTAAGTTCTTTGACAAGTCGCCAAACTGCTTTCCACAATGGCTGAACTAATTTACATTCCCACCAGCAGTGTATAAGTATTCTCTTTTCTCTGCAACCTCTCCAGCATCTGTTATTTTTTGACTTTTTAATAATAACCATTCTGATTGGTGTGAAATGGTATCTCATTGTGGTTTTGATTTACATTTCTCTAGTGATTAGTAATGGTGAGCATTTTTTCATATGCTTGCTGGCCATGTGTATGTCTTCTTTTGAAAAATGTTCATATCTTTTGCCCACTTTTTAACGGGGTTGTTTTTTGCTTGTTAATTTGTTTAAGTTCCGTATAGTTTCTGGATATTAGACTTTTGTTGGAGGTATAGTTTGCAGATATTTTCTCCCATTCTGTAGGTTTTCCATTTACTCTGTTGACAATATCTTTTTGCTGTACAGAGCTCTTTAGTTTGATTAGGTCCCATTTGTCAATTTCTGTTTTTGTTGCAATTGTTTTTGGAGTCTTCAACATGAAATCTTTGCGAGAAGCTATGTACAGAATGATATTTCCCAGGTTATCTTCCTGGGTTTTTATAGTTTTAGGTTTTACATTTAAGTCTTTAATCCATCTTGAGTTGATTTTTGTATACAGTGTAAGAAAGGGGTCCAGTTTCAATCTTTTGCATACGATTAGTCAGTTATTCCAGCACCATTTATTCAATAGGGAGTCCTTTCCCCATTACTTATTCTTTTAGTTTTGTGAGTAAACTCTTCTTTTCTTTCCCTCTGAAGTCTTGTCAGATTTTCTCCTAAGATTCAGTCTTCAGAATTTAAACAGAGCATGTGTCTAAGGTGAGTTCTTTAGGAATTAATCCAGTCCTGGAAACAACGTGCTCTTTCGGTGTCAAAATTTGAGACTTCCGGCCAGGTGCAGTGGCTCGTGCCTCTAATCCCAGCACTTTGGGAGGTGGGCAGATCACTTGAGGTCAGGAGTTCGAGACCAGCCTGACCAACATTGTGAAACCCTATCTCTACTAAAAATGTGAAAATTAGCCAGGTGCGGTGGCATATTACAGGTGGTGCACCTGTAAACCCAGCTACTTGGAAATCTGAGGCAGAAGTGCTTGAACCTGGAGGCAGAGGTTGCAGTGAACCGAGATTGCACCACTGCACTCCAGCCTGGGTAACAGAGCAAGACCCTGTCTCAAAAAAAAAAAAAAAAAAATCAGTCTTCAGCTCATTGAACTTATCCTCTCAAATAGGATTAATTGTCCAACTCTTCTAATTCTGTATTTCCCTGCAGCCTGGATTCTCGTGGGGTGTTTTGCACCTGCCTCCTAAATGTCCTCCCTTCCCCTGGTCTACCTGTTCTTTCATCCCTATGAGGAGATGTCCTATCACTTACTATACCATGATTCCCATTTATTCCAGTCCAACTATTGGATATTTCTTTTAATTTTTCAAACATTTTACTTCCAGAAAGTCATCAAACCCAAATTGCATTTTCTTGAAAGTTCTTATTTATTTGTTATTAAAGTTTTCTCATCTCTTCCACTAACTCTTTCACCTTCTTTAGGAGTTAATTGTACAAATTGCCTTTCTTTTTCCTTTTGCTTTTTTATGCCAGGGTAGTTAATAGTGGAGGTAGTGAAAACCAACCACTTAAAAACTAACAAGCAGACACTAAGTCTTTTAAATGCATGATAACATGTAATCCTATCAACGATATAATTAGACAGACACTATCATCATCCCTATTATGCAGATGAGGAAACTGGTGGCCAGAAAATTTACATGATTTACCCCGAGTAATTTACCGTGACTCCAGGGCCCACCCTTTTAACCTCCACCCTCCATCCTCTATCTCTTGGTGGTAGAGAGGGTAATTACCTCCTCTCGTAACTATTTTCCTTTGCTATTCCTGGCCACTAGGTTCTCTGAGCTTTCTTATAGGTCACGACATAAAAGTGTTGATCAGGGCAAACTAGCAGCGAGCAGAACGCCCTGTGAGTGCTTATCTAACAAGCTGGCAACTTGCAAATATATCTAATATTCAGGAAAACTTTGTAGCTGCATTTAAAAACTCTCCCAGCTGCAGAGATTTGAGTCCTGCCTGCTTCAGGTCCATGGTATTGAGCCAAATAACGCCACACTCAGCAGACAGAAGACAGCCCTTTGTGAATATCAGAGGCTGGCAAAACATGGCTGGTGGGCAAAATCTGGCCCGATGTCTGATTTGTTTTTTTTTTTGGTCTTTGAGCTAAGAACAGTTTTTACATATGTATGTATGTATGTATGTATGTATGTATGTATGTATGTATGTATTTTTGAAACAGAGTATCACTCTGTCACCCAGGCTGGAGTGCAGTGGTGGGATCTTGGCTCACTGCAACCTCCAGCTCCCGGGTTCAAGCACTTCTCCTGCCCCAGCCTCCTGAGTAGCTGGGATCACAGGCATGAGTCATCATGCCCAGATAATTTTTGTATTTTTAGTAAAGACAGGGTTTCACCATGTTGGCCAGGCTGGTCTCGAACTCCTGGCCTCAAGTGATCCGCCCACCTTGGCCTCCCAAAGTACTGGGGTTAAAGGCATGAGCCACCATGCCCAGCTGGTTTTTACTGTTTTAAATGGTTAGGGTGGGAAACAAAGGAAGACTAGTTCATGATGTGAAAAATCATGTAAAATTCACATTTCAGTGTTATGAATAAAGTTCTATTGGCCCACAGCTATGCTCATTTAATGATGTATTTTCAACCTTCATATTGACAGATTGAACTGAGGCAGGAGAATAGGGTTTGGACCAGGCAACTTAAGGCCAATGTGTGCTGACTTCCTAAGGCTGGATCAAAAGGGAAACACTTGGGTCTGGGGGCAGGGACTCTAAGACCAATTAACACCCACTTCCAAAAGCTAAGCCAAAAGGAAAAACTCCATCTTGCCATGCTGGGATAACAAAGAATCAAAGGTTACTCTCCATACAACCTTCCACCATGTCTCAGATGGAAAGGAAAGTGCCTTGGATTGGCTGTGGGCCAAGTGCTAGCCATCCCCCCATCTGCGTAGGGTGCCGATCCACTCCGTCTCCAGATGACTGCGGACCAATTCACTTCAGCTTTAATTAGCCATGGGCCAAATCCTTCATCCAGATAAAGAATGGACATCTTCAGCGGTGCCATTATTCTTCCTACCACACTCTCTTCCACAATCTTGATGGAGTAACTCCAACTCTAGAGCTAGCAGGAAAGTGAAGCTTAGAAGGTGTATTTGATTTTGTTTTTAATCAGCCCTATCCAGTGTAAGGTACATGTGTGAGGAACAAATTCATGCGTTCGAACTCAAGAATGGACTTAGAGACCCAGAGAATAGTGAAAGTGAGACTTTTAATGACGGTCTTGCAAGACTGGGTGTCTAATGAGCAGGCACACCCAGCGCAGTCACAACAAGCAATTCATCCTCTAGTGCACAGGTCTCTCCACCGGTTCCTCAAAGGCTGAGTACTGTGGGGTCACACTCTTCCCGGACTTTGCCTAGTGATGGTGGGTAGGGGCTTTAGGTGTTCTTTTTTAGGGTTGTCTTGTGGCATTTTGTTGCAGCCCACAATGTATTGCAATCCTAGTTAGCTCAGGGGCTTTTTAAGCATTTGTCTTATGACCTAATGACCTAAGTAGCTGGGCAGGCCGATAAGAACTGACAAAGTGAGCTATTTTGCAGGCTAGTAAACTTTCATTTTAGACTAAATGTCTTTGGTTTGAGTGAGGGCAACTAAGCAAGGGAGGAAGGGGAGAAGGGAGAGGCCGACAAGCAGGCATCGGCTATCCAAGCAGGGGCCTAGTATATCTTGTTTCTTCTGTAGTTTGCTGACCTAAGCCAATTCAAGGCACTTTATCTTGGAAATGGACCACTGTATACATTATTTCCTTCACATGGATGTGCTTTGGTCAAGGAATAGGCCGAGGCAGACATCCAGGCCTGCATGACTCAGCAGGGTTGGGGTGCAGGCTCACACCTCCACTTGTTATATAACTGTTTGTGTAAGTTCATACTTGGCTCTACGCCACTATTGTCTGTAAAAGGTATGACTGCCCTGCTGACACTGCACGGGGCTCTGGGGACATGGCTGGGCTTGGCTCTTGGGCATGGCTTGACGTGGTTGGGTGCGCTGGTGCCCAGAGGAAGAGAGAGCCAAAGCTGTCCGTCTTGCAGGTGGGCAGTGGGGAGCCCGGAACCAGCTTGTGCCCAGAGAAAGAGTTAAGCTGCTGACCCTGAAGGCAAGGGAGAGCCGGCAGCACAGCGGTGTATGGGAGCAGCCCACTCAAGCAGCTAAAACAGGGCGGACGGTGTGAGAAAACTACTGATGAGAGAAGAGTGTGTAAGAGCTGTTGATGAGAGAGCTGCTGAATAAAACTACATTTCACCTGCCTATGGCACCCGCCCAGTGTTTTTCACCTATCTGCCCATCCGCCCACTCCCCTTGGACCTCAGTATGGGCCCGAACCTGACCCCAAGCAGGACATTTGGCGTAGTTGTGGACCTGACATCCGGCTCCTGTCCTGTTCCCCAAATCTCCAGGATCCAAAGCCTAGATGATCCTTTATTTTCTATAAAGCAAGACATGAGTTTGGTACTCATTTTTGTAGCCGATAGGGCCCTCAAAAGGAGTCGTTAAAACCCAGAAAACTTCGTAACCAGGCCCGTGAGCTGCTTGCTTGGGCCCACTCCCACCTGTGGAGCGCTTTCCACTTTAATAAATCTCGCTTTCGGAGAATGGCGTGAGCCCAGGAGGCAGAGGTTGCAGTGAGCCAAGATCACACCACTGCACTCCAGCCTGGGCGACAGAGTGAGACTCTGTCTCAAAAATAAATAAATGAATAAAATAAAATATCATTCCCTGCTTTCACTGCTTTGTTGCTTTGTTTCATTCGTTTGTCACTTTGTGTGTTTTGTCCAATTCTTTGTTCAAAACACTGAGGACCCGGACAACTCACACTCAAGGCCCTCCATCTGGTAACAGAATAGTTGTGATAGATACCATGTGGCCCGCAAAGCCTAAAATATTTCCTTTCTGTCCCTTACAGAAAAGGTTTGCCAGTCCCTGGTATAGATAATTCAAAAGCATCCACTGAGCAGACTCCCTCAGGGAGCCCAGGAAGTCCTTGGTCTTAAGGCCTGGTGGAGACATGAGCTTTTGCCATCGCATGTTTTGTTTTATAGGAAATAAAGGATCATCTAGGCTTTGAGCCCTGGAGATTTGGGGAACAGGACAGGAGCTGGATAGGGATGATTAAAAACAAAATCAAATGCCCTTTCTAAGCTTCACTAACCTGCTAGCTCTAGAATTGGAGTTACTCCATCAAGATTGTGGAAAAGAGGGTGCTGTCCTGGTGATAGTGAGTGAGTTATCAGAAGATCTGATTGTTTAAAGGTGTGTGGCACCCCCCTCCCTCCCACTCCACCTCCCTCTCTTTCTCCTGCTGTCACCATGTAACAGACTGCTTCCCTTCATCTTCCGCCATGAGTAAAAGCCCCCTCAAAGCCTCCCCAGAAGCTGGATAGATGCTGATGCCATCTTTGAAACTGTAAACCTATAGAACCATGAGCCAATTAAACCTCTTTTCTTGTAAATTACCCAGTCTCAGGTGTTCCTTTATAGCAAGGCAAGAATGGCCTAATACAATGTCCACGTCCTAGTCCCCAGCACCTGTGAGCATGTTACCTTGCATGGCAAAAGGGAATTGACTAAAGTTGCTATCATCTGTCCTTGAGTTGGGGCGAGTAGCCTGGATTATCCAGGTGGATCCAATCTAATCACACGGCTCCTTAAGAGCAGACAACCAGTGGCAGCTGCGGTCGGAGAAAGGGATGTGGTGATGGAAGTAGGGTCACCTACACACTATGTTGCCGGCTTTGAAGATGGAGGAAGGGGGTCTCTGGAGGCTGGAAGAGGCCAGGAAGCAGATACCCTCCTACAGCTTCCTGAAAGGCACACGGCCCTGCTGACACCTTAATCTCAGCCCAGTGAGACCCTTGCTGGACTCTGGCCCACAAAACTATGAGATAATAAGGTAAGGTAAGACATTTGTGTTGTTTTAATCCACTACGTTTTGGTAATTTTTAATACCAGGAAATTTAATAGTAAAATAGTAGAAAATGAATACAGAGGGTGAGCTGGGTCCACCTCTTGAAATCACTATCTTGCCAGATTTTCTCATGTCTCTGATATCATTTTTGGTTGTCTAAATATATTTAGGATCATGTTATGTTTTAGAGCTAGAAAAAAAACCTCAGCGTGTCTTGTGAATGTCCTATTTTATGCTTGAAAATAAAATATTTGAATCTAATTAACTTCATCTTGTTTATCACTGATGGACAGAGACTCAAATTTAACTGTTATTCCCAGTCTGGAGTGATTTGCATCATACGATCAGTCTCTCTCCAAAAGCATTGTATAAAGAGGATGTATGTTTATTTTATTTTTGTTTTATTTTATTTATTTTTTTTTGAGATGGAGTTTCACTCTGTTGCCCAGGCTAGAGTGCAGTGGCACCATCGCGGCTCACTGCAACATCCGCCCCTGAGTTCAGGTGATTCTCTTGCCTCACCCTCCCGAGTAGCTGGGATTACAGGCGCCTGCCACCATGCCCAGCTAATTTTTGTGTTTTTAGTGGAGATGGGGTTTCACCATGTTGGCCAGGCTGGTCTTGAACTCCTGACCTCAAGTGATCTGCCTGCCTTGGCCTCCCAAAGTGCTGGGATTATAGGCATGAGCCACCATGCCTAACCAAGGGGATGTATGTTTATTGTGCATAATCCCTGCATGAGCAAACTTGATAAATGTAGACTTCATTTTAGCAATTTTTTGAAAGTCAAAATAATACAGATTGTGTAAAGGTTATGTCAATTATTAAATTTTTAGTTTATTTCCACTTATGTAGGCATCTATTTTTGTGATGTGACTTTGGAGTACTTCCTCTCTTTAATCTGTTGCATATTATTGGGTAAGCTATTCAACCTCTTCACCAAATCATGAAATCTGCTTGGAACATTTGTAATAACAGATTTTAAGGAGCAGTTTTGCATTTTCTATTTATTTCAGTCATAACAAAAACATTGTAACAGATTTTTCTTCTACGTGCAGAAACATGGACAAATTATACAAACATAATGCTGGGTGAAACTAGACAGACCTAAGAGACTCCGTCATGATATCACTTACATAATGTTCAAAAACATTCGTAATCTATTGTGTTAGAAGTTGCTTGGGGGATGGAGGGATATTGGGAAGTGGCGCAGTGGGAATTTTTAGGATGCTGGCAATGTCCTATTTTTGATCCAGGTGTTGGTTTCATGAGTATATTCACTTTGTAATAGGTTTGTCAGCTGTCTCAAGACGTGTGCATTTTCTGGATGTATGTTTTATTGAAATTAAAAGCTTTATTATGAATAAAAACATACCAGAATCACTGGGGGACACAGCCAATACAGTGCTTAGCTAAGAACTCCTACCATTGAATAGGTATAGCAATAAATATATTACAAAGAAAAAAGTTTAATTTTCAACTCACAGTTAAGAAATGGACAACAATAAAAATAACAATGAAAAGGGCCAGGTGCAGTGACTCACACCTGTAATCCCAGCGCTTTGGGAGGCCGAGGTGGGTGGATCACTTGAGGTCAGGAGTTTGAGACCAGCCTGGCCAACAAGGTGAAACCCCGTCTCTACCAAAAATATAAAAATTACCTGGGCATGGTGGTGGATGCCTGTAATCCCAGCTACTTGGCAGGCTGAGGCAGGAGAATCGCTTGAGCCCAGGAGGTGGAGGTTGCAGTAAGCCGAGATTGCGCCGCTGCATTCCAGCCTGGGTGACAGAGCGAAACTCTGTCTCAAAAACAAAACAAAACAAATATCAATGAAAAGATGTGGAAGGGAGAATTAATAAACACAAGTACCTAGAATAATCAGAAAAGAGAAAGGAAATAGTAGAACTGGGAATTGTTTCTATGAAAAAAAATACTAGCTAGTGTAATAAAAAAGCAGGAACATACAAAATACTGCAAATGACCATAAAACAAAAACGAAAAAAATATTGAGACTATTTTATGCATATAAATGTGAAAATCTAAGACCAGCCAAGAGGTAACTTCCCTTCTGGATCAACAAAAGAAGGGACTAAACAATGGTTTGCAAGACACTGTACATCGATCAACAAAGGACAGTGATCGCTGAGAAGTGGGAGACAAATGGAGTGAGCCCGGTTATGGACAGAATTGTGCCCCTCCCACCTTAATTCATATGTTGAAGTCCTAACCTTCAATATAAATATATTTGGAGATAGGGTCTTCAGGGAAGTAATTAAGGTTAAATGAGGTCATAAGTGTGGGACCCTAGTCAGATAGGATTGGTGTCCTTATAAGAAAAGGAAGAGGTGAGGCATAGTGGCTCACGCCTATAATCCAAGCACTTTGGGAGGCTGAGATGGGAGAATTGCTTGAGCCCAGGAGTTTGAGACCAGCCTAGGCAACTGAGAGAGACCCTGCCTCTTTAACTAAAACACACACGCACACACTAAAAATCTCTCCTTTCCCCAGTGCAAGCACAGAGTAAAGACTTTACAGAGTAAAGACAGACTTTACAGAGTAAAGACAGACTTTACAGAGTAAAGACTTTTTACAGAGTAAAGACTTTTTACAGAGTAAAGTCATGGAAGGACATTTACCAGCAGGGGGCAGGTTCTCAACAGAAACTGAATTTGCTGTCATCTTGATGATGGACTTCCAGCCTCCAGAAGTGGAAGAGCATAATGTCTGTTGTTGAAGCCGCCCTGTCTGTGATCTTTTGTCGTGGCAGCCCAGGCTAATACAGTCTACAATTGACCCAGTGAGTTTTCAGGTCGCAGTGCCGAGACAGGGAACTTGGCAGAATCCGTGAGTTGAGGACACTGGCTGAGAGCCTGGGAAAACCAAGGTAGGCAGATTTCTCAGGACAGAGTCCCAGAGAGAAGAGAATTACACACAGCACCCCAGGTGTTTGCAGAGTGTCTCCCTTACTTGGCAGATTGCTGATCAGTGCATGTGTGAGATGGAACTATGTGAGACCGGGGGAAGACATGCTCCCTCAGGACCAGGAACAGTGTCTGCTCCCACAGTCAGACTGGACAACCTTAAGATTCACAGGGCTTCAGCTCAAGTGCCGTCTGCTGGGCGAGACCTTCTGTGACCTCCCCAGTTAGGTGTTTTGTTTGTTTGTTTGAGGCAGTCTCACTCTGTCACTCAGGCTGGAGTGCAGTGGCACCATCTCTGCCTCCCTGCAACCTCTGCCTCCCGGGTTCAAGTGATTCTCCTGCCTCAGCCTCCTGAGTAGCTGGGATTACAGGCACGTGCCACCATGGCCAGCTACCTTTTTCTATTTTTAAAGTAGAGATGGAGTTTCACCATGTTGGCCAGGCTGGTCTCGAACTCCTGACCTCAGGTGATCCATCTGCCTCGGCCTCCCAGAATGATGGGATTATAGGAGTGAGCCACCACACCCGGCCCCCAGTTAGTTTTGAGCTTCCTGCTTCTATGTATAGTCTCTTGCACGTGACTGTTTGTTTATATCCAGTGTGTTTTCATTCTCAGAAATTATCTTCTGCACATCCTTATATTTTTATTCTCTGCTTCCCTTAAAGGGTCATTTCCATGACAGAAGGAATGTTATTGTCTTCTCGAAGGCTGTATCCCCAGTACAGAGAATAGTGCCTGGCAATTAAGGAGTTAATTACAGGTGAAAGTTATGATGCAGCTAACAGACATAGAAAGGTATAAAATGAAAGAAGGGTGGGGAGGTAGAAGGGAGTTAAGTTCATCAATAGCAGTAGGGAGACAAAAGTTATAATAGAAAAGCTCAATTAATTGAGGTTTAAGTGCATTGTTTAAAGGTGTGATGTTTCTAAGGGGGGGGTGGAATCAAAGTAATCTTTCAAAACCTTTAGAGGAATTTGGGAAGAAGTAATGTCAGAGCTGATAAATCAAGAAAGAATGGTATAAATATATTACTTAGAGTTATACTAGGTAGTCATCAGGAATTACACTGTGAGAGTTGCGTTGGTGTGGAGAGAGGGGGTGGCAAATTACTGCTTTCTATAATAGGTCCGTAAATATTTAATTTCTAGCCATAGGGATGTATTGCTTTGATTAATTTTTTTCTAATAGAGGAATTCAAACACAGGAAGAAACCTTAGATAAATCTGTAAAGGACTAGGATGAGAGATTTCATTCATTAATTTTTGGGAAGCATGCGCATAGAGAAAGCGTCTCTTATTCTTTCTCAGATAGACACGCGTACATACGGAGTCGGTTCCCTTTCCTCTTGTGAATCATTTTGAACCAAGAATAATTAGAGCACCTTTGTATAGTACTTGGTATTTTGGATTTGCATTTTTTTTCCAGGGTTGGTGGTGGTTCTATTCCAATGTTTCAGGCCCTTAAAAAAGGACTTGTTTATAACATGAGTCCAGAAGCTGTCACATCAGAGGGCGTGTTCCCAGGCAGGTGGAGTGGGAAGGGACTTCCTGAGGCAGACACCAATGTTGTCCCTAAGTGGATGGCCCTTGTGGTTGTGGCATTTGAAGCCACAATGTCAGGAAGCGCATGGTCCCTCCTCTGTGTCTGGGGGCAGGAGAGAGGGCCTGACCATCGCTTATGCAGGCAAATAACTCCACCTATGGTGAGAATTGGCCTTGCAGAGTCTGAGGGCAGTTATCCAGGGTCACTATCTTGATCGTCACCAGCTGTGTCCAGTTGGAAAATCACCCTTCCAGCTTGTTCACTTCCAAATGTGGGACTGTGGGGCATTTCCTGGCAAGGCTGTGGACAAAGATCTGTCAGCCCAGGGCCTCAAAACAGCTGAGCTTCCAGCTCTGCAGCCTCTGCCTCCTTTTCCTCTAGGCATGGCCCAACATGCCTTTGCTGTGTACAGAAGGACATTTACCCTTTTTGGGAACTCTGGTTTCTGGTATGACCAGGTGTGGTGTTTGCACCCATGAAGTTAATATGTAGGTATAAGGTGAGGTTTCAGACATGGATTTGGGATTAGGACCAGTTAGAAACACCTATACATCACCTGTGATTCCCTTGGGAAGAGTCTGCTATTTGGGGGGGATAGCACCAACCCCCAGAAAGTGCCCCTTGGTGATTATCATGGGTCAAGGCATGTTTTATACACTCATGGTATGGATGAGAGCTTTTCAGACCTGCCAAATGTTGAACATCGTTTGATGTTTCTGAAAGGGAGCCTGTCTCTTGTGGATTGTGGTTCATGCACGTGGAATATTGTTTTCTGGTCATGTAACCAAGAGTTAAGTCTGCAAATACAGGTCAGTAATTGCTGGAGATGTCAGATAACCAGGTGTATCAGCTAGCTTATGCAGCACAACAAACCACCCCAGACTCTGTGACTTAATACAACAACTATTTATTGAGCTCACAGCTCTGTGGGATGGCAGTTTGGGGTAGGTTCATGTGGGCAGTTCTGCGATTTCGCCAAGTTTGGTTTATCTCAGCTGGAACTCACTCGTACATCTGAAGTTGGCTGCTGGATGGGCACAGGGCTTTCTGATGTCAGCTGGGGCACCTTCCTTTTCTCTGCAGGGTCTCTCATCATCCAACAGGCTAGCATGGGCTTGTTCTCATGGTGATGGGTCTGACCAAGAGCAGTGAGAGGGCAAGGCCAATGAGCAAGCACTTTTCAAGTTTCTGCTTGCATAATGTTTGCTGCTGTCTCATTGGCTAGAGCAAGTCACATGGCCAAGTCTGGCGTTCTTGTCAGAGTCATTAAACAAAATCAGAGCCGTTCCTGCAAGCTGTGCACAGCACCAGGGAACAGCTGACAAGGAGCCCAATGTTTCCATCCAAACATACCTCAGAGCAGGGAAAATGGCTCCTGTTATCCTAAAAGAAATCGTGGCTCCATTTTGCTGCTCCTCAACAATGTCATGTGTGAACCTCTGATCCCTTTGGTGGGAATGGTGATAATAAAAATAATGATTAGTGACATTGATAATGACAGCTAACCTTGTTTATCACATTCCAGACACTTCTAATTGCATACAAGGATTATCTCATTTAATTCTTAGAGCCATGAGAATAAGAAGCTACATATACCAACATTACATATATCTCAAAAACCTGTAAGTGGAAAATGATATTTATAGTATGAGAAATTTACATAAAATTCTAAAACACATAAAGCAATATTATATATCGTGGATATTTACATTTGTGTTTAAATAATGGAAATGATTAAAAAAACAAACTCGAAGCAGCTACTTTCAGAGGAGGATGGAAACTGGCAGAATGAAGCACATGGGAACTTTGACTATAACTGTGTGTGGGGAGTTGAGTTCTGACTGAAGTTTAAGATTGGTGGAGGTTGCCTAGGTGCTAGTTATATTCTCTCTGTACTGTTTATACATCTAAAATATTTCAGAAAGAAACTAGAGGTTGCTTCACCCACAAAAATACTTCATTGTATTAAAAATCTACACTAAAATCAATGGATCAATGGAATAAGATTTTTAAAATCCAGAAATGGACCCAATTTTCTAATTAAAGGAGTGTCACTCAAAAAGGTGAAATGGAACCTTTAATACATAGCAAAGAGACAACTGGGCAACCATTTGGGGAAAAAGTAAACTTAGATCCATGGCTCATACTTTGCACTAAAGTCACTCGCAAATGGATTGAAGATTTAAATATTTAAAATGAAAGTACAAAAAAGGTGGTGGTGAGCTCTCAGCCTCTGGGAATCACAGCTTTATAGAATGTGAGGTTTGGAAGTGACTTTATGGGTTACCTGTACCACAGGCATGCACTACCACACCTGGCTAATTTTTGTATTTTTAGTAGGGATGAGGTTTTGCCATGTTGGCCAGGCTGGTCCTGAACTCCTGGTCTCAAGTGATCCATCCACCTCGGCCTCCCAAGGTGCTGGGATTACAGGCATACCATCTCTTTTATAGATGGGGAAACTGAAGGACAGGGGTAGAAGTGTATTTTTACCCAGACATTGAGCCCTCTCAAATTGGCACTAGTGCCGGAGTTTCAACTAGATCCCAGGTTGTGGAGCAGAGTTTCTGTGTGCTGGTGAGCAGCTTGCCTGAATCTGGTGAGATAGAACACCCACGTACACAAGTTACATGAAATGAAATGGGTTTATTACTTACAGACAGGCAGCAAGGGACAACAGAAGCCTGGGATTCATTGTAAGCCAGTCCCCCAGGCTCAGGAAATCTGCCCGGGGTGAATGGAGTCTCTGTGTGTGTGCCCCAATTGTACCACATCTGAGATACCCCAAAAGACAGCCCAGCCCAGGTTGTATACTTCAGGGGCAACACGATAGGCTGGGCTAAAACACCTAAGGATACCCCGTTTGTAGGGGAAAGAGGAATAGAGCCTGGGCTGTTGTAGCCAGTTCCTGCGTATCTCAGGATATTGCATTCCCAGCACACGCCAAGTTAGTCCTGAGAACCTTAAGCAAAAAAGTGGGTAGCTGGGCATTGTGGCTCACGCCTGTAATCCCAGCACTTCAGGAGGCCAAGGCGGGTGGATCGCTTGAAGTCAGGCGTTCGTGGCCAGCCTGGCCAACATGGTGTAACCCCAACTCTACTAAAAATACAAAAATTAGCCAGGTGTGGTGGCACACATCTGTAATCCCAGCTACTTGGGAAGCTGAGGCAGGAGAATCGCTTGAACCCAGGAGGTGGAGGTTGCACAGTGAGCTAAGATCACACAACCGCACTCCAGCCTGGGTGACAGAGTGAGATTCTGTCTCAAAAAAAAAGTTGCGGGGGAGGTGGGCAGGGGTGGGGGGCAGGCAAGGAGAACTGGGTTGATGGGTTGGCCCAAGGCCGCCTGGGGAACTGTCCTGCACAGATCAACCAAAAGGTAATATTCAGTGACGACTTGTGCACCAGGCACTGTGCCAGGACTTTACCTAGATGATCTTATGTTTTCCCACCAAATGAGCTAGTTGCTGTCATTACGCCCATTTTACAAATGAGGAAGTTGAGGCTGCGTGAGGTGGCTGAACGGCCAGCGATGTGGCCTATGTGCTCTGCCGCACTGCATTCCCTGGAAGGGTGGTGGCTGGTGTGCCCATGGCTCTGGCGGGAGTGGGCAGGGCTGCAGTGGAACAGTGCCTCAAGGATAAGTTGGGGCAGGATATGGGGAAGATAGGAGGACAGGACAAGGAATTTGGAATCCAGCAGCAGCAGCTACGTGCAGGGGGAGAGTTTCCTCTCCTTTCACACAAAGCTGGCCATGCACTTTCTATCCTAGATGAGCCAGCTGTACCCGTTCCAGCTGCAGCAATGGCATTGGGGCCAAACCAGTTTTTAAAAGGCTCTGGCTGTGGGAAGTGGAGAATCTGCTGCCAGCCAGACACGGCCAGGGTGTAAACTGGAAAAAGGCTTCTCTTCCTCCGGTCATTGTTTTTTACAGTAATTCTCCATCTTTGATATACAATATTTATGGGGTACATGTGATATTTTGGTACATGCATACCATGTATCATAATCGAAGCAGGGTAGTTAGGATATCCGTCACCTCTCCCCCAGGGATTGTTGGAGTCAGGATGGCATTGCACAGCCTGAACAATCACAGGTGGCCCTGGGGGCTGACTGAGGCGGAATGGGACGCTCACTCTAGGTGAATTGGGTGACAGTGGTCATGGCCAAAGTGTAAAGACGGAGTTCGGGGAAGGAGAGAAGGAGGGGGTAGGGGCTCTGGCACTGGGCCTTAAACAGTAGCATCCAGTTAGGAACTGCAGTTTCATAAACCAAGCTTCTTTTTATCATATTGCACACCAATAAAAAGTACAAGGGATTTGGGAGGCTGAGGCGGGTGGATTGCTTGAGCCTAGGAGTTAGAGATCAGCCTGGGCAACATGGTGAAACCCCATCTCTACTAAAAAATACAAAAAAACTTGCCAGGCATGATGGTGTAAGCCTGTAATCCCAGCTACTCGGGAGGCTGAGGCAGGAGAATGGCTTGCACTGGGAAGGTGGAGGTTGCAGTGAGCCAGGATCGCACCACTGCACTCCAGCCTGGGCAACAGAGCAAGACTTGGTTGCAAAAAAAAAAAGTCAAGGGATGGCTATACACAGCTGCAGGAATGAATCTCGTAAAATGGTGCTGAAGAAAAGCCAGACAGAAAAGATAACCATATATGAGTCCATTTATATAAAACGATAGAACAGGAGGCAAACTCAGTTTATGGCAATAACAGTTAGGGTGGTGGTTACCTGGGGAGGTGGTGTGGAGGGAGGTGGGTGAAATCACTGAGGAACAAGGGCACGTGGGAACTATTGGGGTGATGGAAACGTTCCATTTTGTTTTGGGTCATGGCTACAGAGATGGAGATGTGAAAATGTATCCTTTAAAAACAAACCAACCAAAAACAGCCCTTCTAAATCAGCATCCAGCGTGTATGCAACATACAAGAAATCAGGCAAATGCTATGTGGCTTCCTCCCAGGCGAACTCCGCTGCACACACAGGTGCCACGCTCTGTGCTTCACACACAGCTACCCCAGATGCCGCGTGTGCTCCCGCCAGCAGCCTGCCACACCGAGGCCACAATGTAGGTTTGGGGTTGGGCAGCGGAGGGTGCAGCACAGGGTGAACGTGTTCTCCCAAGCCTGTGGCATGGCTGGGGCTGCCAGCACTGGTTTAGGTGGGCAGGGGCTCTCCTGTGCTGCTCCAGGACTCAGGCGGGAGCCCATGAATCTTTACCTCTGCCACTCATGCAAGTTAGTATGTTTGCCCTGTTGCCCTTAGATGTGGCGTCTTTTTTTGCAGTGCCCAACCTAGACACATGTGCATTCATGTCTTGCCCGTTAGACTGCCCAGGGCAAACCACGTGGCTTCAAACCATTTTCCCACACTTCTCACCTGGTACGGGGAGCAGCTCTGTGGTGGTTTGAATTCAGCATCTCAAGTTGGCAACAAGTGTGCAGAAGCATCCAAAGTCACAGGTAACGCTCCATGGGGTCCTGGACCTGGATGCCAGCTTCTGACCCCCACCTGGGACTCACTTCATAAGGTAGAACACAAGGGATTCAAGGTTTCTGGGGGGCCAGGCACGTGGCTCATACCTGTCATCCCAGCACTCTGAGTGGCAGGAGGATCACTTGATCCCTGGAGTTTGAGACAAGTCTGGGCAACATTGCAAGACCCCCATCTCTACAAAAATAAAAATAAAAATTAGCCGGGCATGCATTGGCATGTGCCTGTAGTCCCAGCTACTCAGGAGGCTGAGGCCTCCCTTGAGCCTGGGAGTTCAAGCCTGCAGTGAGCCATGATTGCACCACTGCACTCCAGCCTGAGCAACAGAGTGAACCTCTGTCTCTAAGAAAAAAAAAAAAGATCTGGGGATTGTGGGTTGTGTCCTGCAAATCTCAAGGCAAGTTCCAAGTGATCCTGAAGCGGGAGACTGTCCCATTGGTGGCCCTCAGGGAGCCTGCTGCCGTTCCCACGCTTATACAGCCCCTGCCCTGGGAGCTGTGCTGATCCTGTTACTTACTTTAACCCAGTGGTTCTCAATCCAGGATGGCTTTGTCCTCCAGGGGACATTGGGCAATCTCTGGGGACACTTTTAGTTGTTGGGCCTGGTGGGGGTGCTACTGACAATGAGTGGAAGCCAGAGATTCCACTAAACATCCTGGAACACAGAGCAACCTCCTCCAATTCCTCTGCCCTCCGCAAACAGAGTGAGACCATTCCAGTGTCAATGGGGCCTACGCTGAGAGGCCCTGCCTTGCCGGATGAAGCATGGCGGGGTGATGCTCCGTCAGTTCTGGGATCAGCCTTTAAGACGCCGTTAGCTTCTGCTGCATCTTCAGGCCCCAGCCACCATGCAAGTGAGTTTCCCAGCACTGCCATAACAAGGTACCACAAACTGGGCAGCTTAAGGCAACAGAAATGTATTCTGTCTCAGTTCTGGAGGCTAGAAGGCCAAAATCAAGGTGTTGGCAGGGCTGGGTCCTTCTGGAGGCTCTGAGGGGAGAATCTATTCCATGCCTGTCTCTTGACTCCTGGCAGTCCTTGGCATTTCATGGCTGGTGTTGGCATAATTCTAGTCTCCTCCTCTATCTTCACATGGCCTTCGTCCCTGTGTGTATCTGTTTGTCTTCCAACCTCCTTAGAAGGACATCTGATGTTGGATTTAGGGCTTAACCTAATCCAGTATGACCTCATCTTAACTAGTTAACATCTGTGAAGACTTTGTTCTCATCTCTGCAGATATAACTAGTTAAGATGAGGTCATATACAACCATACATTAGGTCGTATTTTGAGGTTCTGGGCAGATATGAATTTTGGGGGTAGACTGTTCAGCTTGCCACACCATGTTAAGAAGTCCAATTCAGCTGGTCATGGTGTAATCCCAGCACTTTGTGAGGCTGAGGTGGGTGAATCACTTGAACCCAGGAGTTCAAGACCAGCCTGGACAACATAGTGAGACCCATCCTTTACAAAAAAAAAAAAAAATAGAAAAATTAGCCAGACATGGTGGCGTGTGCCTGTAGTCCCAGCTACTCAGGAGGTTGAGGTGGGAGGATCACCTGAACCCAGGGAGGTCGAGGCTGCAGTGAGTCGTGATCATGCCACTGCATGCTAGCCTGGGTGACAAGGTGAGACCCTATCTCAAAAAAAAAAAAAAAAAAAAGCCTGATGCCCCTAAGACCACCATGTGATGAGGGAGCCCAAGCTAGCTCCATGGACAGGCCACATGGATGGAGAAAGAAGAGAGACGCCCAGTCAACCCCAGATGTTTCAGTCATCTCAGTTGAGCTCTGGATATGGAGAGAAGCCGTCTTTGATGCTCCAGCTCCAGTGTCCTGTCGCCCTAGCCAACCACGTGGAGCAGGAGAGCCATCTAGTCAACCCACAGGTTTGTGAGATAGAATGAATAATCATTTTGACCCGTAAGCTTGGGGATCCTTCATTACACAGCAATTGATAACTGACATGAGGCCAGGGCTGAGCTGCTATTGACAGTATTGTCCACACTCTCACAGGTGAGATAATTCCCTCTCCCAGATCTGAGGTGTACCATAGGGCTGTACAGCCTCACGCCTGAGCATGGAACTCTAGTCTGGCCTAGAGAGCTCCTGCCTTCTCCCTCCTACGTCCCTGGCCACCCGCAGCCTCAGGATAGCCCCGGTCACGTTCTCTTCACCTGGCACTGATGTGAGGGACCGAATGAGCATCTTGCTGAGGGTTTCTTTAGAGGGAGTTGGGATGCCTGGCCTGGCAGAAGTTCTTTTGCCTCAGAAGCCTGCAAGAGGAGCTGGGGCAGAAGGGAGACCGTGGGTCTGCAGTGCGCAGCACAGGCCCCAGAAGGCGGGCAGCCAGCCAGGTAACTTCTCAAATGTCATCCTTTGCTTCTGGTCAGCACCCAGCCTGTCCCCAGGAACAATTCTAGTCCCTGGAAGCCCAGCTCATGAGTCACATGGTATTTGTCTGGAAAGGAAGTCAGTTGGTAGGTAGTTCTGGCTCACCAGATGAGTAGTTAAAATTAATTGACCAGATCATACACCCACTTGGGGAAACAGTTTGACAGGTTTTATTTTGAAGTTAAACATATACCTACCCTGTGATCAAGCATTTAAACTCCCACGTATTTACCCAAAATAAATGAAAACATATGTGCAAAAAGACTTGTACAAGAATGTTCATAGCAGCTTTAGGCATAATTGTCAAAACCTAGAAACAACACACATGACTCTCAACAGGATAACAGAAAAACAAACTGTGCCCGATCGCTTAAAATGGAATCCTGTTCAGGGACAAAAAGGAAGAAATTAAAGACATGCAGGGAACAACATGGATGAACTTAAAAGCCATTAAGTGAAGGAAGCAGACACATAAATATGTACATACCCAGTACTTCCATTTGTATGAAATTCTAGAAGAGGCAAAACCTAGCTGTAGTGACAGAAATCAGAGCAGTGGCTGCCTAGAGCAGTGGGGGCAGGGGTTGGCTGGAAAGGGGTGTGAGAGATTTCTAGGGTGACAGGAATGTCCTGTAGCTTGACTGGGACATACACGTGTATCAAACTCATCAATCTGGCCAGGCGGGGTGGCGCACACCTGTAATCCCAGCACTTGAGAGGCTGAGGTGGGCCAATCGCCTGAGGTCAGGAGTTGAAGACCAGCCTAACCAACATGGTGAAACCCCATGTCTACTAAAAATACAAAAATTAGCCAGGTGTGGTGGTGCATGCCTGTAATCCCTGCTACTCGGGAGGCTGAGGCAGGAGAATCCCTTGACCCCAGGAGGTGGAGGTTGCAGTGAGCCAACATCACGCCACTACGTTCCAGCCTGGGCAACAGAGCAAGACGCAACCCTCCATCTCAAAAACAAGAAAACAAAACCACATCAACTGTACATCAATCTAAAATGTGGGCATTTTAGAGGCTGTAAATTATACCTCAATTTAAAATGAAAAAAAAAATTAAGATCTTTTAAAAGCAAACATTAGCCAGGTCCTAGCTTTCCCAAGCCAAATGTCTGTCCATCTGTCAGTTATGACCAGTCACACATTTGGCCAGTGACATTTGTCAGGGTGGGTCAGAGTGTCAGTTTGATAATTCATGCTCATGTGATCAATCTGACAGTAGGGTAATGGGCTGGATCTTGGTCAGCAGCAGCCTCTTGGATTTGGAGGTGGAAGGGATGGCTTCCCATTGGGTAAACATTGCACCATGGTGAAGGGTCAGGCATTGGTCTGCCTGGTTCCCACCCAGGCTCCCCCGCTGTCAAGCTCTGTGACCTTCGGCAACTCACTCACCCTTCTGAGCCTCAGTTTTCTCATCTGTGAAATGTGAACAATCATTGCATCTATCACATGGGGTTGGCGAGATGATGAAATGAGCCAATGGGTCTGCAGTGCCCAGCAGAGGCCCCAGCACACGTGCTCTGGCAGTGGGATCTGTTATTCCTGTTTTTATTTCTCCATCTGGCGGCAGGAAAGGATACAAGTGGAGGCACCTTTCCTGTGTTTCCAGGCAGATGCTGCCGCTGTTTGCTGGAAGAAGAGCTCAGGACCTGGGGAGGAGGGGCAGGGCTGAGGAGGCCTGGGTGCGGGGAGCTTCCCCAGAGGGCCGTGGGAGAGGGGACCCTGCAGTCTGAGGTCAGGCCTGGCCTCTGGTTCTCTACCTCCTGGGGACAACTCAGCCAGCTTGAAGGCAGGGTCTCCCATCACAGGCAGGCAGGAAGCCAGCTCTGTAGGCCAGCAATGGCAAGTGGGCAGAAGGCTGTGACTGGGGCAGGGGTCCCAAACGGAGGTAATGACAGCACAAAGTGTCCCCCAGTCCCCTCCTCCTGTCAGGGAGGGGAGCAGCTGATAAACTCATGCTCATGTGGGTATTTGGAACTAATACAGTCACCCTTCTGGGGGAACTTCCGGTTTAAAAGAGAAGTCTGGATAGAGCAATGCATAACTCAAAGGAATATTTTGCTCCAGTGAATTTCAGGTGATACAGCAGATCTATTTTTCTGGTCAGGGGCTCCGGTCCAGAGTAACCCCTTCTCATTGCCACCCAATAAAAGAAAAAATAAGTAACAACTGGGGACCCACCTGTTTCACCTTCTCACAAGAGAGAAGGATGTTGGCAGTGTGGTGCTGCGGTGTTCTGAGTTCTGACATCATGCCAGGATCATCCTAGGATCGTAGCACTTAGTATGCAGTAAAGCCCTTAAAAGTGATATCATATTGTCTTGTTAAGTTGTCAGAGCCACTCCGTGGGGTTGTAGGTGTAGGGCAGTTGAATATGGAGGCTAAGCATGGAGGTGAATGACCTGTGTCACCTACTCGCAGATGGCAGAACTGGAGTCAAACCCATTGTCTGACCGTAAATTAGCCCTCTTGGCTCCTAATCATTCTGTTAGGCCTGCTACACTGCTCTGCAGTTCCTAATTATGACCACCAGGAGGCACCACCACTCCACACGTGAGTACTCTCCGCACTGTTCCTGAGAAGTGAAGGCTTAGAATCACGTCACTACTTTCTTATTTACCACAGTAATATTAATAGCTACTATTAACTTAGCACTTGCTATGTGTCAGGACTGCACTAAGCACTACATGCTTTATTTCATATATTTCTCACACATCTCTAACATTTGGACCAGACTGTTTCACAGAAACAGTGAAATTCAAAATCAGGTCTGTGTCTTCAAAGCCTGTCCTCTTAACCATATATCCTCAGTGGAGATCACCAACTAGATGCTTGGAGGCTGCATTTGGTCAGCAAACTTGGTTTTGTTGGTTGGTTTGTGTTTGGTTGGTTTTTTTTTGTTTTGTTTTGTTTTTTGGCTGGGATGGTGTTCCAACACGCATTGAATTTAAATGCTTTTTGGCAGGGCAGTCCCTCTCCACTTAGCCCCAGTCCTCATCACTCTCTCTCATATGTCCGTCCCTCTGTCTCCTTCCTTTGCTTATGTTATCTGCCTGACCCTGACGTCACTGGAATTTGCAGCTTGTGGTTGTGAGTTCGTCGACTCCCTTTATACTAATAATATATTGTAGATGGGAGTCAAGGGATTCCAGGGCAGCTTGGAGGTTTAGGAAGGCACCCAGGAAATGTAACAAATGGTGTGGCCAAGAGTCACTGTGGAGATGCGGGAGGCAGTCCTGTCCTTCAGTGTCCTCCCAGGACCTATCAGTAAGTGTCCCTTGTGCTGTGTCAGCATAGCGTGCATGGCACCTGCAAAGACCTGTGGATTTCCTGGGCTGGACGGTGGTGAGCTGGAGGTGGAGCATGCCGCGTTTCGACTTTGCAATACCCTCCCAGAAGAGTGACCTGGCTACTGTGCACTCACACAGAATCCTTCCTGATTTGCGTCTGTTTCCTTTCACCTGGCCCATGAACCAGTGGTTAGATTTAACCAGCACCGTGGGGTTTCTAATCATTATTGAGCACCCCATCTACAGGGACTGAACTGTGTTCCCCCAAACTCACATGTTGAAGTTCGAACCCCCGGTGCCTCAGAATATGACTGTATTTGGAGACGGGGCCTTTAAAGAGGTGATTACGTTAAAAATGAGGCCATTAGGATGGGCCCTAATTCAACCTACCAGGTGTTCTCAAAGAAGACGAGACTCAGACATGCAGAGAGACCCCAGAGGTGGACAGGCGCAGAGGGATGGCCATGTGAGGACACAGAAGGTGGTCATCTAGAGAGGCCTCAGAAGAAACAAAGCCTGCTAGCACCTTGACCTTTGACTCCCAGTCTCCAGAACAGTGAGAAAATTAATTTCTGTTGTTTAAACCATTTCTGTTGTTATGGCAGCCCAGGCTGACTAATATGCTGTCCATCAAAGGTGGGCGGAGTTGAGGATGTAAGTGTGGTCAACAGCCGGCCTCGCAGGGCACTGTAGCTCATGCATGTGATCCCAGCACTTTGGGAGGCCGAGACGGGAGGATCGCTTGAGCTCAGGAGTTCAAGACCAGCCTGGCCAACATAGTGAGACCCTGTCTCTACAAAAATTAGCCAGGTGTGGTGATACGTGTCTGTAGTCTCCGCTACTCGGGAGGCTTAGGTGTGGAGATCGCTGGAGCCCAGGAGGTTGCAGCTGCAGTGAGCTGAGATGGCGTCACTGCACTCCAGCCTGGGTAACAGAGTAAGACCCTGTCTCAAAAAAAAAAAAATAAAAATAAAAAGCCAGCCTGACAGGGGAGGAGGAAGGAGCTTGGAGACCACCCTCCTACTCCCCACTCCCCTGTGGAAGACACGTGTGTGGAGGAATTAATGAATGTGCTTCGTTTGTTACACTCTTACTATTAGTGATGAAAACCACTTCTTCATAGATGAGAGCATAAAGAAGCCAAATTCTTGGTTTCTAAATTCAAAAAGATGGTCTAGGAGTAAGAGGAAGCTGGAAGGGGAGATGCAGTCTGGCTCTCTTCAGATTGGAAGGGTCCACCTACCACCCGCAAAGCCAGGGAAGACCCACCTAAATCCCTGTGAGATTTCAAGACATGGTGGATGAAGAGAAAATCTAAAAGTTACCAGAGAAGGGGGCAAAAAGTAAGCAGTATACAAAGAAATGGGAGGCAGAATAATATTCAACGCTCAACAGCAGCAAGGCTGGAAATGAGAAGTCAATGAAGCCGTGCCTTCAAAATTCAGAGAGAAAGTTATTTTCAGCCTAGATGTCTTTACCCAGCCAAACCACCAATCAAGTGTGAGGGTAAGATGAAAACATTTGCAGAACTGCACCTTTATTTCTCATCCATCCTTTCTTAGAAAGGGCCTGGAAGATGTGTTCCACCACAATGAAGAAGCAAGATAGGAAGGAGGAATGGATGGAATCCTGCAAAGAGAGGACCCATGATAGAGAAAAGCAAGGGGATTTGCTAAGTAATAAAAGGAAGCATCTGATGATGGCTGGAATCTGCCTGAGAAAGAGATCAAATTGGAGCACAAAGTGTCTGGCCATAATCAGAAGGGGTTTACAGCTCTGAGCTTTGGGGGAAAATGAGTGACAGGGAGGAAAATTAAGCACACGAAAAACAAAAATGAAAAATTATTCAAGGAAAAAAATATGTAGCTTGACCCATCAGCAAACATGAGTTACAGAATAGGAATAATGTAAGCCTGGAATATTGATTAACCACCATGATTATGTAGTTCACTGGGAGGACACAGGGGGAAGCAAGATGGAGGAGGAGCACTAAATCCTCTTTTTCCATGAAAAGAAGTGACTAAAAGGCATTTAAAAATCGGCTAGGCTCACGCCTGTAGTCCTAGCACTTTGGGAGGCCGAGGTGGGCGGATCACAAGGTCAGGAGATTGAGACCATCCTGGCTAAAGCTGTGAAACCCGTCTCTACTAAAAATACTAAAAATTAGCCAGCCGTGGTGGCGCATGCCTGTAGTCCCAGCTACTTGGGAGGCTGAGGCAGGAGAATTGCTTGAACCCGGGAGGCGGAGGTTGCAGTGAGCCAAGATTGCACCATTGCACTCCAGCCTGGGTGACAGAGTGAGACTCCATCTCAGAAAAAAGAAAAAAAATCTATAAATCAAGAAATAGCAGTGTGTGCATATTCAGTTGTTAAATAACAAAAAGAGTTGAGAATATTTATCCCTAGGTGGTGAGAATCAGAGATTGAAGGAGGGAAGAGCAGAGGACACCCTGACATCATTATAAGCTTCATGGTCTGGTTTGACTTTTGTTTTTTGTTTTTGTTTGAGACGGAGTTTTGCTCTGTCCCCCAGGCTGGAATGCAGTGGTGCAATCTCGGCTCACTGCAAGCTCCACCTCCCGGGTTCACGCTATTCTTCTGCCTCAGCCTCCCGAGTAGCTGAGACTATACAGGTACCTGCCACCACACCAGGTTAATTTTTTGTATTTTTTTTTTTTTAGTAGAGACGGGATTTCACCGCATTAGCCAGGATGGTCTCGATCTCCTGACCTCGTGATCTGCCCACCTTGGCCTCCCAAAGTGTTGGGATTACAGGCATGAGCCACCATGCCCGGCCTGGTTTGACTTTTTAAGGCAGGGATATGTGGTCAGTCTTCCATATCCGTGGGTTCTGCATGATGGATTCAACCTACCACAGATCAAACATATATTTTTTAAAAGTACAACAGTAAAAATTAATACAAATAAAGCCAAAACAGTATAACAACTATTTACATAGCAGTTATATTGGATTAGATGTTATCAGTAATCTAGAGATGATTTCAAGTACACAGGAAGATATGCATAGGTTATTTGCAAATTCTATGCCATTTTGTATAGGAGACTTGAGCATCTGTGGATTTTGGTATCTGTAGAAGGTCCTGGAACCAATCCCCTGTAGATACCAAGGATTGATTATATTATTAAAGTGGTTTTTTTTTTCTTTTTTTTTTTTTTTTGAAATGGAGTTACACTCTTCTTGCCCAGGCTGGAGTGCAACAGTGAGATCTTGGCTCACTGCAACCTCCGCCTCCTGGGTTCAAGCGACTCTCCTGCCTCAACCTCCCGAGTAGCTGGGATTACAGGCATGCACCACCATTCCGGCTAATTTTGTATTTTTAGTAGAGACAGGGTTTCTTCATGTTGGTCAGGCTGGTCTTGAACTCCCGACCTCAGGTGATCGGCCCGCCTTGGCCTCCCAAAGTGCTGGGATTACAGGCATGAGCCACTGCACCTGGCCGCAATTATATTATTAAAGTTTTAAAGTTGAAGTCAAGGACGTTGAAAATTAGCACCCTTACACCCACGTAGATGTTACTTGCTATTTTAAAACTGTGTGAAAGGCCTGTGCAGGGCACCACCAGCGCAATTTTTACACTGCCAGGTCCAAGTCCCCTTTTCTTGTCCCCCTAGGGCCCTTTCTAATGCTCAGGGCATCTTAGCTCAGGCTGCCCTAACAAAACATTACAGACTGGGTGGCTCAAGCAACAGAAATTTGTTTTCTCGCAGTTCTGGAGGCTGGAAAGTCCATGATCAAGGCACCCGCATGGCTGGTTTCTGGTGAGAGCCCTTCCTGGCTTGACGATGGCTGCCTTCTCTCTGTGTCCTCACCTGGTAGGTGGCGGGGGGGGGGGGGGTGTCTGGTGTCTCCTCTTGGGACACTGATCCCATCATGAGGACTCTACCCTCGTGACCTCTTCTCAACCTGTCACCTACCAAAGGCCCCATCTCCAGATACCATCGCCTTGAAGGTCAGTGCTTCAACATACAAATTTTGGGGAGACACAGTACAGTCCACGGCATAAGGCAACAGTGAAATCACAGCTGGCTCCTCTGTTGATTGGAACTTCTTCAAAGTGGTTTCTTTAAACTGCTTTGCACTTGCACTTCAGAAAGCTCATTTCTGTCCTCTGATTCCCTTCCTATGCCTCAAAGTCAGCCTCGGTCTTGGGTACAGGGGGCACAACAGTCACGTGGCAAATGCATAGTGGCGTAGGCCCCAGGGCTGAGGCTCTGACTTGAGGACTGCGGCTCCTCAGCCAGCGCTCTCGCTCATGGCGCCCGTGAGTACATATCCAGTTTCCAGTGGCATTCTGCATCGTGGCAATTGGGATTCCTGTCCTTCACTGTCACCACCCTTGTCTAACGTCGCCACCTCCTCTCCCCTGGATGACTGTGCAGCCTCCTGACAAATCTTCCCACGTCCACTCCTCCACCCCTGCCATCCCCTTCCCTCTCAACCGCCAGAGGGGTCCTGTAAAACTGCCATTTGGGCCATGCCTCTCCTAAACTTAGATGACTTCCCGTTGTTCTTACAACACAGTCTAAACTCCTCTTGCGGCCTGGCCAGGCTCCTGCCGGCTTCTCAAAATCATGCCATTTTCCCCTTTGGCCATTTCCGCAGGCAACACTGGTTTCCTTGTTATTTCAGAGCAAGCCAGCGTCTTCCCACCCCAGACGTCTGTGTGCCCGTTCTTCTGCCAGGAACTCCGTTCTGATACTGTCCTTACCTGTTCTTTGCTTCCTTCAGGTCTCCGCTCAACAGCCAGCTCCATTCCCTCTCTGAGGTGCCGCACGCTACCTGTCCCTGTTCCCTCTCTGAGATGCCACACACTACCTGTCCGCTGTCCCCCGTCATGTCACCCTATCCTATCTTGTCACCATCTCACACTTCCTGTTTATTCATTAGCATATTTGTGTAAGAAAATGTTGACTGGAATCTTTCCTGTTGCCCAGGAGGGTGACCAGGGATCCCCATGGAGGAGAAAGAGAGGGTGTAAGCGTGGCAGGGGTTGATTCGCAGTGGGGCCACACATCACCTCCCTGCCCCTGGCCCCTCACACTCATCCCTGGAGCTCATGAGAAGGATGGACAGCAGCTCCTCCCTGGTCAGCACCCCGTGTGCGTCCACACCTCTGACCCCTGCAAGAAAATGACTGCAGGCTGGGTCGGGCCTCCAGGGTACTTCCTCAAAAGGCCTTTCTTCCCCACCTTCTCCCCATCTAAGACAGGCCTCCTTTTATTCTTGCTCATAGCAGCGATTTTTGACCCTTCTCAGCAGCCTCACAATCGGAAGTCTTCTCTGCGCCTGCGCGTGTCCTTGTTTAGGGCTTATTTCTCCTGCTATCCTGAAGTCCAGAAGGCTGGAGACCTGCCTGGTCTGTGTCACTTGTCACTTTGCCACAGCAGCTGGCACTTAATAGGAGTCCATTAAATGCTTGCTGAATGAATGCCAACTGTCCTGTTTTTGTACTTAATAGAAACCTCTGGAAGGCAGCCTTCCTCCACTTGGAAGCAGAGCTCTAAGGCAGAAGGTCAAACACAGGCAAGGCCAGGCTGGCAGAGAGATGGGCAGGTGGGTGGCGGGTGGCTGCACCTTCTGTTAGCAGTAGCAAGATTGGGGAGGAGAGAAGCAAAGCTTGCGCCCTGCAGGCAGAGTGAAACGGGGACCAGAGAGATTAAGGGTGACACTGCTCTCTTCACTCTCAGGCCCAGGTTCTTAAAAAACACACATAATAAAACATGAGAATGTGAGTCGTTATGAGTCAGACCTCTACAAATATGCCATCATTTTCAATCCCAACAAGTGTCCTCTGGGAATGGTAATAGTATTCCCATTTTTCAGATAAGGAAAGCAAGACCTAGAGAAAGATAAGCAAACAACATTTATTATATCAAATTGTCCCAGGCAATTCACACATACTGTCTCATTTAATCAGTAGGCTGAGCCATAGCTATTACCATAAGGTTTTGCATATGAGGAAACCAGATCTCCAAGTGGAAAGTCTTCCAATGTCATCATCTTTGTCCTTCATTCAAAGGACAATGACAGGTCATCTGGTCCACTTTGCCAGGATACGGCCATTTTGCAGAAATAAATGTGTCTCGTAACTCATGCATGTCCCCCTATACATGTTGAAACCTAAGAAAAAATTACAAGCATGTTAGATGATGCCTGCAGGGACAGCCGGTGTGCACAGGACTGTTTGATCCTGCACCAAATGTCCCCAGACCGCTAAGTTTGAGTTCTTATATCTCCTTCCCTTGCCCAGCATTGCTTCTCATGGCTTTTGGTGTGCCCGCCTCTAGCAGACAGTTTTTTGCTGACTTCCTTCATATGCTAAAGGCTGGAAGATAAAGTTGCTGGGGTTGTGTGTAAAGTGATGATCTGGGTGCTTTTTGCAAGTCAAACCCGCAGGGCTTTAGTGCCTGAGCTCTCTTCCCTCCTGGAGTTTTGCTTCCTACGTGCAAGTAGAGGAAATTTGGAAAAGGAGAGATGTGGGGTCTGAGGTCATTTTAATTCTTGGCTTCATGCAAATTATGTGACCTCCAGCAAGTACCTTGGCCTCTCTGGGCAACATGTTCCTCCCCTGAAAATGTGTTGTGATATTCGGCGAAAGCATCACTGTGAGTTCCATGAACTTGCATTTTTCCCCCAGGGCACGTTTCCTCTAGGACAGTGGTCCCCAACTTTTTTGGCACCAGTGACCAGTTTCATGGAAGACAACTTTCCCATGGCTGGCAGGCGGCGGGGAGATGGTTTTGGGATGAAACTGTTGCACCTCAGGTCATCAGGCATTAGTTAGAGTCTTATAAGGAGCGTGTAACCTACTTACAAGGAGCATGTAACTCGCATGCGCAGTTCACAATAGGGTTCACGCTCCTGTGAGAATCCAATACTGCTGTTGATCTGACAGGAGGTGGGGCTCAGGCGGTAATGCTTGCTCGCCCACCGCTCACCTCCTGCTGTGTGGCCCGGTTCCTGACAGGCCACAGACTGGCCCAGGGGTTGGGGACCCCTTCTCTGGGATGATTCCATTTCCCATCCCTGCTGACTAGCTGTGGCCATCAGGAAACGGGAAGCAGTGACAGGCACCACTTCGTTTCCTGCTTCTGCAGGATCCCCGGCTCACTCACCACTGGCTGGCTATAGAGGACTCAGGGAGGGCTCCGAGGGTGAAGGGGGTGGCAGAGCCACCACAGAGAAGAACCTTGGATCCCCAAATGTTCTTGGTGGCTTGGAGGAGGCTTGGAGGGATCAACTCTGTTGGGTTAAGCTGCTGAGATGGGAGTTGTTTCTGCAGCGTAGCCTAGCACATCCTGAATAGTACACGATGCAAGAAACTTGACCTGGTGCAGAGATTAAGTATTATTATATAATAATGAGAAATAATACTATTTTAAGGACTTACCTATATTAACTCATTGTTACTAGAACAGCCCTTTGAAGAGGAGACTATTATCTCCAAGTTAGACATGAAGAAACAGAAGTTAAGAAACTTGCCTGAGCTCATACAACTTGTAGGCAGCCAAGCGAATATTCTCCCAGGCAGGCTGTGACCCAGCCCTCCCTCCTAACCACCACCCCGACACTGCCTCTCACTCTGACTGACTACCCTTCAGCGTTTGGTGGGCTTGAGGTTATTCGTTTTGGGTAATTTGGGAAGCAGAGCTGGTTAATAACTGATGGGTTGAACAATTTTTTTTAAACTCCTGAATCTATAACAGCACATCAGATCTTTTTCGCATGGGAGTTACTTCAAACTTTCAAGAACAGATAATTCCACGCTAACTGATGTATGTATACGTATGTGCTGTGTGGCAGAGAAGAGCTGCTCTGTTGTTTGTATTCTTGCTGAATGAACGTATCGAATTTTAGCATCGCGGACTCTGAAAATTAATCAAAAAATTAATCTGTGCCATGTTGCCCACATTCCAATCCAGTGTAAAAATTTCTGTGTATCCCTCCAAGGAGGAATGACTACTGGGCAATTTTGGGACCAGCCATGACTGCCTTCTGGGGTTGGGGGAGGGGGCGTGGTCTCAGCCTCGGCCCAGGTCCTGCCTCCTGTTTGGACCGAGATGAGTTTGTTGGGGGAGGTGTGAGATGGAGAAACCTGAGGAAGGCGCTTGGCCCTGGGAAGGGTGAGTGGGGTTGCTCCCTGGGCCAGCTCTGTGGGCAGTGGGGGCAGGCTGCAGGTAGGAGTTAAAGGTGTTCACACTGTTGGGGACACTGCTCTAGGGTCTGGCAATAACTTGAAGCCTCAAGGTGTGAGGGGCCCCGACCGTAGACTGGCCCCGGCAGGTGGAGGATGCTGCAGGGAGAACCTGGCCCACGACAAGGCTGGGGCACCCAGGGCTGGCAGCTTTGGGAGCACAGGGATGGGGAGTGAGAGAGCCCATGGCAGAGACCCCAGTGCTTTCACAGCCGGTGTGACCCTGGGTTCTTGGAGGCGCTGTGGGTCGTGGCCACCATCATTGCAGGATGGAATAGAAAACATGCAGCAGACACTGCCTCCCAAGAAGGAGGAAGGCCCTGGAGTGGGGCTTGGGTGGTGGTTTCGGGGCTGAAATTCTTGTAGTTGCAGGTAAGACCAGAGCCAGAGACATTTGGAGCAATACCGATGTGGCCCCACTTGGGCCATGGGCATAGTCAGTATGGTAGGCTGTTGCCTTAGAAACATACGGGCCTGAGATGGGGATTCTGGTTCAAGCGATTTACTGAGTGGGTGCTCCCAGGAGGGAGTCACATCCTCAGAGCAGGGCGGGGTGGGGGGAGGGAGCTTAGCAAGGATGGTGTTGCCGCTGGAGGCAGCTTCAGGCTGCTCCCATGGACTCGGGTTGTGAATGGGACCAGAGAGTTGGCGTCTCCATTATTTGGTCATTAGCTGTGGCAGCTCTGGGGGGCAATGACTGGGATGGCACTCAGGACCTGGGGATGGGCTCTGGCAACAGAAGAGGACAGGCGAGAGGGGGACACCAGTGCCAACTACTGCAGTCGGCACTACAGACTGAATGGTTGTGTCCTCCCGGAATTTGATTATTGGAATCCTAACCCTCAACGGGCCAGTATTTGGAGGCGGGGCCTTTGGAAGGTGACTGAGCGGAGCCCTCAGGATTGGGGTGAGTGCTGTTGAATTCTGGAGAGCACCCTCCCCTCCTGCCCTGTCGGACACAGCGAGAGGATGGACGTTTACGAACCAGCAAGTGAACCCTCACCTGACACTGAAGCTGCCAGCGCCTTGATCTTAGACCTCCCAGCCTCCACAACTGAGCAGTAAGTTTGTGTTGCTGTGAGCCACCTGGCCCATGGCACTCTGTTATGGCAGCTGGGATGGACTAAGACAGTCGCTGTCCACTCCATGGCCCTGAAATTGGCCTTTAGGCTCTATTCTCACTCTCTGGGCCCCAGAACACACCCGTGCGACAGTCCCTGATACCTGCAGGCAGGGCGCTTAGGTTCTGCTTGGGGCCTCTGAGTGTCCCGTGCAGCCTAGAGGGGGTGGTCTTGGCGTGTGGATGCTTGGAAAGGACTCCTGAGCTCCTGGTGCAGCTGTGAGGGGTGGCAGCAGGCCTCCGCCTCAGCACCACTGTACAAGGAGGGCCTTGTACTCTTGTCATTGTGGGCTGTCTGCGTGGATCCCAGTGATGCTGTTTTCACAAACATGGAAGCAAGAGTTGAATATTAAACTGTCTAAGCCGTCGTGTTACTGACAAGCCCCACATAGAAAAGGAAATTGTAACCACATGAAATATTTATGCTGCACATTGCGGTGCTGCTGCTGACGGGACGGCAGGTGGCTGGTTTGGGGTTATTTTATTTTTCTAAAGTGGATTACAAAATGCCCTCCAGTGGGGAAACTGCACCCCACTCCTGGGCTGTCATCTGGAAGGAGGGGGTTTACCGTGATTGGAGAGTGAGAGGCTGGGAGAGCTGTCCTGAGTGTGGGGGCTCCTCTGTCTCGGTCCCGAGCCTGGCTGGGAGCGGGGGCACCTGTCCCCACCTCAAAATGGCTGCATCACAGGGTGCAAGAGTTGCAGCCTCCCACCAGGCAATTGGTATTTTTCCAGATGTAGTTAAAACAGTCAACTATTATTTGCCTTTTGTTGTTGTTTGCTGTCGTTGTTAGTATCACCATCTAACATCTGCTGGGAAATCTGGTTTAAAGAATTCCCTGTCTGGGATGCTTCCTACACTCAGGTTTGAAAAACCCCTTGGCCTCCTCCCTGGATTCCCACTGCTCACCTCCACAAGCCTGGGTGGCCCCATCCTCCAGAGGAAGGGCTCGCCACTGTCACCAGCTGATGCAAGTTCCTGTGTGGCGGCGTTCTTGCCCACACCCCTTCTCATCGTCGCAAGAGCCCTACGGGTCTGACCACTGTTACCCCCTTAGAGGGCAAGACTGAGGTCAGAGTGGTCCCATCACCCACACACAAACCCACATGGGCTGGTAAAGGTCAGGCAAGACTTTGACCCGTGTCCGTCTGGCCCGAGGGGCTCTATGCCACTTTAGGGGGTTCAACCCTGGCTCACCAAGGGCAAGGAGACACAGACTTGTTTTCAGCTTTTCAGAAGTTTTATTATAAAGAGATTTGAGAGAAGCACTGGGCACCAAGACAGACACTCGCCAGGGCCAGGAAACAGCTGCAAACGACGTCAAGAACCCAAACCCAAACGAAACCCCAAAACCACACACACGGTAGGATAAGCTGTAACTTCGTTCTCAAGGTTTCTTCATAAATAGACAAAAGTCGTCGCCGGCAATTTAAAATAGATGAATACATGATTAAAAGGAGAGCAGTGCTCCGGGGTGGCTAGCAAGCGTCCGGTCCTTGCTGTGAGGATGACGAAACGGTTTGGCAGCCGCTTTTGTGCGCGTCTCCCTTAAGATAAAACTTAAAAATGTGCTAAGGATCATATAAAATGCTTTTTACCTTAAAGGAAACTACTTTTTTCCCCCACAAAATAGTCTTACAGATGTCTTCAGCACAGTTCTAAAACACGTAGTCAACTACTTACACGGAACCAACAGTTTCTAGGTTTCGTAATCTTTTGTTCACACTGGAAAACCGATGTGCACATCTATGCCGGGGGCCGGCCCTCTGGCCCATGCATCTGGGGTGGGTGTCCGTTGGTAAGCGACCCCGCCAGGGGCGGCCCACCTGGGCTGGGGCTGGAGCTGGGGCCGGGTGTCCAGACATAGGGTACCGTGCGCAGGGCGAGGACAGGGTCCACAGTTACCCTGGAGCAAGCAGGTCAGCGGGCGGAAGGTTCCTGCAGGTTCTTTGGGCTGGTGGTGGGCAGTGGGCTGCCTCTGCAGAGTCTGGTGGGAGGTTGAGGAAGAGACTCAGCCCCCGGGCAATGGGTGTGTCACTGCTCTCTCCGATGGGCCACCCTGCCTCTGGCCAGGGCCTCTTTTCTGCTGTCAGCCCTTCAGGCTCTGAGCAGTGCCTTCCAGCGAGCCTCAGGGATGGTAGGGAGGCGGGATTAGGTGAGGTAGAGCGATTTGTCCCTGGGGAGCAGGCTGTGAGAGAGAGGAGGGGCTGTCAAAGCTGTTGGGTACCTCTCCGGGCCAGGGGAGCACCAGGACCCCTGCACTGTACGCCCCACCCCCACCCCTGGATTCAGCTGCCCCTCTGTGGCTGAATGAGGGACTTGCATCTGCAAGTCCCACCCCCACCCACCTCTACACCAAGCAGAACCAAACCCCTCCCGGAAACCCAGCAGGGGACCACCCGGTCCTCAGCTCTGGGTGAAAGGGCAGTAGCGTGTCTGTCTTTCATCGAGGCGCACGCCGATGTCACCATTGCTCTCACATGGGTTTTTAATCACAGGAATTTGTAAATCTCAAACTGAATTAAGGGAGGACAGGTGCTTTTTATGTTTTTAAAATACGGCCCTGCTGGGGTCTGACCTCCATGCTGGATGTGATGGGCAAGCCTCAGGAGGCTTGGACATTGTGTGACACTCCCCTACATACCCTAAGTATTCTGACTTTTGAGAAGGAAACTTAGGGACAGGAAAGGGCTGGGGTAGGAGGGTCTGCACCTGCTTGGGGTGCAGGGAAGGGATTCTTGCTGAGCTGAGTCCACCCACCCATGTAGAATCTCACTTCAGGCATGTCAGAAATGGGGCATGCGCGCTGGTCACTTGTTCAGTGTCCAAGGGCGCTGGTGGGTCAGCAGAGGAACCAGCCGTGTGCTGGGAGGCCGAGGCTAGGGCTGGGGGCAGCGTTTCTCAGCAGCAAGGTGGCCACCCGACAAGTGCGCTGTGCCTTCCAGGTTGTGGCGCTATCGCTGGGACAGCTGCTTGGCACTACGTCCCCCAGGTGTGGCTGCGGGACTCATTTTTGCCAAGGGAATGGGAACCTGGCTGGCGGGTTAAGGAGCAAGTGTCCCTCCTCACTGCACTCTCCCTCTCCTGCTGGCTGCGGTTGTTGAAAGGTCACTCTTCCCCAGAGTTGGGGTGGCGTGGATCCAGGAAGACTTTCTAGAGGGAGGTGTTAGCATGGGTTTGAAAGGTGGAGTGCAGGATAGGAACAGAGGCCTGAGACAGGAGGCCCACAGGAGGACTAGGGAGGACACTGGGGTGCAGGGAGAAGGGGTCTCTAAGGTGTCTGTAATTCCTTGGGATAGACAGTGGGTCCCTTCTCCCACCGTGTCCCACCGAGGTCCCCTGTCCTGCATTCTTAGCTGTTCTAGTCTTGGGAGCTGCCCTGCCCAGTGGGCTACACTCACCCCGGGGCAGCCCACAGCCAAGGGCTGACTGATGAAGGGTTCAAAAAGCCAGTTCCCTGACCTCCAGGTGGGAGCCACTCTAGCACCGTTCATGCTCCAGGGCTCCCATGGGATGAGGCAGAAGCAAGTCTTCAGCTGAGGCCACATCCCCCCTCAGCTCCTTCCCCCACCCTGTCCTGCCTCCCTCACCCCCTTCTCCTGCAAGCTTTCCCCAGTGCATCCCCAAAGGCACCCAATCCCTGCTGCCTCAGGCTCTGCTTCTAGGGAACTGGCCTAAGATGCAGGACTCATCTGTGAATGTCACGTGGAAGCACTTGTGAAAAAAACAGGAGCAAGGAAGAAGCAGCAAGACTGAAGACTAGTCAGTTTCCCAAGCAGGCCTCAGCATCAGGCCAGCAGAGTCCTTCCGGGGCCTGGCTCTGCGGTGTCATCTGAGATATCGATCCCCTCAGCAGGGCTGACAGTGACTGCAGGGTCCTCCCCTGTCCACGTTGCCCTTGGCCATTCTCCCATCCCTGGCCATCCTGTTCCCACTCTCCCTGGCTGGCAGGACAAAGGCAGGGACGGGCGAGGACTAACCTGCAGGTGCTGATGCCACACTCCCCACTGGGGTAGCTGCTGTCCCAGTCCCCGCTGCTGGTGGGGTTGGATGGGCCAGGTGAGCAGGATCCCGAGCTGCTGGGGAACTCAGAGATGTGCGGGAAGTCCTACAGAGTGGGAAGGAGGAGGCCATGAGCCAAGGAGAGATGAGGGGGCAGACTGTCCCAGGCCTCCCGGGGTGAGAGCCCATGTGTCCAAGGGTGTCCACACCAAAGAGATGCTGCCTCCAGGGCTGCTGCCTTGCTCCCAGTAGAGCACCTTTCAAAATGTTCAACCCTTGTCTTGGCTGAATCAGGGGCTGAAGGACTTGGCTTTCAGGGCCTTTCCCTTTCTGGGCCTCAGTTTCTCGATCTGTAAAATGGAATTACTGAACCCAATGACCTCTAAGGGCCATGTGAACCTCGTAGCAATCTCTGTGGAACAATTAGCGGGGGTAAGGTCTCGAAGGCTTTGGGAAGGGCCAGGGCTAGGGCTGAGGATGCAGGAAGGGGGGACTGGAGTATCCTAAGAGTCAGTCTGGCAACTCGTGAACTGTTCACTGCAGCCAGCACATCTCAGGTAAGGTGTGCGAGACCCACTTCCTAGATGTGGTAACTGAGGCTCAGAGAGGTCAGGTGCCAAGGCTGAGGTTATATCACTGGTGAGTGGCAGGGCCAGGGTTTGAAAGGGCAAAGCCGCTTCCCCTCCCCACACGGTCACAGAAGGGCTGTTCTGCTCTTCCCTGCTTACCTGTGGCCCTGGAGGTGAGGGGCTCATCGCCAGCTGCACCTGGAGTGCCATGGGGGTGGGCAGGACAGGGGGCTGGGGGGCTGGGGACATGCTAACAGGTGGACTGAGGAGGGCGCCCTGGGCGTGAGGGGGCAGTGACAGCTGCTGGTGCAGTGTGGGGCTGAGCGGGAAGGAGGGTGGCGGCGGCGGGGACGCACTGAGGCCTGGCAGCAGAGACTTGGAGCCCAGCGTCCGGGCGAGGCTGGCAGGGGAGGCCCCACTGCGGAAGGCCTGCAGGTCCGACGGCGTCAGGAAGGAGGCCAGGCCTGGCATGGCATACATGGGCTGCTTGGGTGGGAGCATTTTGGCTGGTGGGTTTGCCTGAGTGCTCTTGGTCTCACCTTGATCTGGGGAGCTCTGGAAGGAGACAGATATCAGTCACTGGAGAACAGAAGAGGGATGAGCCAGAACATGGGCTGTGAGGCCAGGAGGCTCTGCAACCCACTGACACGGCTGCTGGCTGGCTGTCTTGGGAGAGAGCTTGGACTAACCAGAGATAGCACAGGGTCCTTAGTCCCCTTGGCTCTGACCATCCAGTCACCTACTGCTTTTATCTTTGGGGGGCTCCCCTGCCCTTGGGGGAATCCATGCTCCTCAGCCTGGCCAGTGAGACAAGCACCATCCCACTGAGCCAGCTCTAATCATGCTCCTTCCAACCTCTGTGCCTTTGTAGATGTTTTTCCCTTGACTTTGAACCACCTTTTACTTGGCCTGTTATAGACCAGTTTGGATGCCATCTCTTCTGTACCAGGAACAACACCCACCTCCACTTGGGCCACGCATCCGCAGCCACACTTAGCTTCCTACGTTGCTGGTGTTGACAGAGGAGGCCGACGGTGTGGTGAGGAGGTGCCATATTTTGGGGTAGCGTGTCCCAAGCCCCATCAGCGGTCAGAAGTGAAGGCCACATAAAACTGGCAAAACTGGGTTTGAATCCTAGTGCGGCCACTTTAACAAACTGGATCTTTTCAGGCAAGTTGCTCAACCCCTCTGGGTGCTGGGTTCTTGTTGGAAGAAGCCAATGAAATGCATGTAAAGTGCCCAGAATGAGCCTGGCATGCTGTAGGTGCCCTGCAGACATGACCATGTAGGTCTGAGCCATTCTTTCTAAGACCTGGGGTGCCGGCCCTTCCCACGGGCCCCAGTTCTTGCTCCATTCCTCAAGTGGCCCCACTCTGATCAGGGCTGTGCCTGGAGATTCCGGGTGTTACCTTGGAGACGAGGCTAGCCCGGTAGGCTGCCAGGGCCTTCAGATATTCCTTCTTTGCTGCTTCTGTCTTCCTCTTGTAGGCCTGGAAGAGTCAACACATGAGCAACACTGGGGAGAAAGTTACAGAGGAGATGCCGTGCAGGGTCCTGGGGTGGGAAGGCATGGATTCAAGGATCACGAATGGACGAGGGTGGTGGGGTCAGAAGCTGAGTCAGCCAGCCACTGGCCCCTTTCTGGGAGCGCTGCAGAGAAATTGTGGAGACCAGGCCATATCCCAGTTCCTCAGCCAAGTCACTGTGTGGCCTTGGCCAACATGCTTCATCTCTCTGGGCCTCCAGGTTCTATCAGCACAACTGATCACAGAAAGACAATGCCCTTTGAAGCCCCCATTCTGAGCCAGCACAGTGCAGATTTCTTAATGCCGAACCACCTTCGCAACCTAGAATGAACCTACTTGTTCATAGTATGTTAGTTTGGATTCGGTTTGCTAATATTTTTTATTAAAAATTTTAGACCTAGGTTCATATGTTATTGTAGGACTGGTCCCAGTTTGTTCGCACCTCCTTGTTTCCATGGCTTTTGGTAGAAACGAGGAGGTGCAAATGACTTGGAGCTTAGCCTTGTGTGACTTGTGTTGGCCAATAAGACAAGCACAAATGTGATGCATGCAGAGACTGACAAAGTGATCACATATTGGTGAGCCCTCTTGCTACTCTTGGAACTCTTATTTAAAAATTTTTTTTGTATATGAATAAGTTCTTTAATGGTGATTTCTGAGATGTTGGTGAACCTACCACCTGAGCAGTGTACACTGTACCTGATGATAGTCTTTTATCCTTCACTACCATCCTTTTCCCCAAGTCCCCAAAGTCCATTGTATCATTCTTATGCCTTTGTGTCCTCATAGCTTAGTTCCCACTTATGAGAACATACAATGTTTGGTTTTCCATTCCTGAGTTACTTCACTTAGAATAATTGTCTCCAATTCCATCCAGGTTGCTGCAAATGCCATTATTTCCTTCCTTTTTATGGCTGAGTAGTATTTCATGGTGTTTGTGTGTGTGTGTGTGTACATATATATGTATATGTGTGTGTGTGTACATATATATGTGTGTATATATATGTAGCACATTTTCTTTACTCATTGATTGATGGGCATTTGGGCTGGTTCCATATTTTTGCAATTGCAAATTGGGCTGCTACAAACATGTGCAAGTATCTTTTTTGTAAAATTTCTTCTCCTCTGGGTGGATACCAAGCAGTGGGATTGCTGGGTCAAACAGTAGATCTACTTTTAGTTCTTTGGGGAATTTCCACACTGTTTTTCACAGTGGATGTACTAGTTTATATTCCCACCAACAGTGTAAAAGTGTTCCCTTTTTGCCACATCCATGCCAACATCTATTTTTTGATTATGGACATTCTTGCAGGAGTAAGGTGGTTTTGATTTGCATTTCCCTGATCATAATGATGTTAAGTATTTTTTAATATGTTTGTTGGCCATTTGTATATTTTCTTTTGAGAATTCTCTATTCATCTCCTTAGCCCAATTTTTGATGGGATTGTTTTTTTCTTGCTGATTTGAGTTCCTTTGTAGATTCTGGATATTAGTCCTTTGTCGAAAGTATAGATTGTGAAGATTTTCTCCCACTCTGTGGGTTGTCTGTTTACCCTGCTGGTTCTTTTGCTGTGCAGCTTTTTAGTTTAATTAAGTCCCATCTATTTACCTTTGTTTTTGTTGCATTTGCTTTTGGGTTCTTGGTCATGAAGTCTTTGCCTAAGCCAATGTCTGTGGAAGGGTTTTTCCAGTGTTATCTTCTAGAATTTTTAGGGTTTCAGGTCTTAGATTTAAGTCTTCCATCCATTTTGAGTTGATTTTTGTATAAGGTGAGAGATGAGGATCCAGTTTCACTCTTCTACATGTGGCTTGCCAATTATCCAAGCACCATTTGTTGAATAAGGTGTCCTTTCCCCACTTCATGTTATTGTTTGCTTTGTTAAAGATCAGTTGGTTGTAAGGATTTGGCTTTATATCTGGGTTCTCTAATCTTTTCCATGGTCTATATGCCTATTTTTATACCAGTACCATGCTGTTTTGGTGACTATGGCCATATAGTTTGAAGTCGGGTAATGTGATGCCTCCAGATTTGTTCTTTTTGCTTAGTCATGCTTTGGCTATGAGGGCTCTTTTTTGATTCCACATGAATTTTAGGATTGTTTTTTCTAGTTCTGTGAAGAATGTTGGTGGTGTTTTGATGGGAATTGCATTTAATTTATAGATTGCTTTTGGCAGTATGGTCATTTTCACACTATTGATTCTACCCATCCATGAGCATGGGATGTGTTTCCATTTGTTTCATCTACGATTTCTTTCAGCAGTGTTTTGTAGTTTTCCTTGTAGAGGTCTTCCACCTCCTTGGTTAGGTATATTCCTAAGTATTTTATTTATTCATTTATTTATTTATTTATTTATTTATTTATTTATTTATTTTGCAGTTAAAGGGGGTTGAGTTCTTGATGTGATTCTCAGCTTGGTCACTGTTGGTGTATAGCAGATCTATTGATTTGTGTACATTAATTTTGTATCTTGAAACTTTGCTGAATTCATTTACCAGTTCTAGGAGCTTTTTGGATGAGTCTTTAGGGTTTTCTAGGTATATGATAATCCCATCAGCAAACAGTGACAGTTTGACTTCCTCTTTACTGATTTGGTGCCCTTTATTTCTTTCTCTTGTCTGATTGCTCTGGCCAGGACTTCCAGTACTGCATCGAATAAATGGGCATCCTTGTCTTGTTCTAGTTCTCAGGGGGAATGCTTTCAACTTTTCCCCATTCAGTGTAATGTTGGCTCTGGATTTATCATAGATGGCTTTTATTACCTTAAGGTATGTCCCTTCTATGCCGATTTTGCTGAGGGTTTTAATCAAAGGGATGCTCAATTTTGTCAAATGCTTTTTCTGTGTCTATTGAGATGATCATGTGGTTTTAAATTCTGTTTATGTGGTATATCACATTTATTGACTCGTGTATGTTAAACCATCCCTGCATCCATGGTATGAAACCCACTTGATCATGGTGGATTATCTTTCTGATACAACATTGGATTCAGTTAGCTAGTATTGTACTGAGGATTTTTGCATTCATGTTCATCTAGGTATACAATCATATCATCAGCAAACAGCAACACTTTGACTTCCTCTTTACAGATTTGGATGCTCTTTCTTTCTCTTGTCTGATTGCTCTGGCTAGGAATTCCAGTACTCTGTTGAATAGAAGTGGTAAGAGTGGGCATCCTTGTCTTGTTCCAGTTCTCAAGGGGAATGCTTTCAATTTTTCCCCATTCACTATAATGTTGGCTCTGGTTTATCATAGATGGCTTTTATTACCTTGAAGTATATCCCTTCTATGCTGATTTTGGGCATAGAAGGAATACTGGCCTGCAGTTTTCGTTTTTTTGTTGTTGTTATGTCCTTTCCTGGTTTGGGTATTAGGGTGATTGACTGGCTTCATAGAATAATTTAGGAAGGATTCCCTCTTTATTTTGTGGAATAGTGTCCTTTAAAAGTCTGATAGAATTCAGCTCTGAATCTATCTGGTCCTGGCCTTTTTTTGTTGGTAACTTTTTAATTACCATTTCAATCTCACTGCTTGTTATTGGTCTGGTTTAATCTAGGAGGGTTGTATATTTCCAGGAATTTATCCATCTCCTCTAGGTTTTCTAGTTTATGTACATAAAGGTGTTCATAGTAGTCTTAAATGATCTTTTGTATTTCTGTGGTATCGGTTGTAATATCTCATGTTTTGTTTCTAATTGAGCTTATTTGGATCTTCTCTCTTCTTTTCTTGGTTAATCTCACTAATGGTCTATCAGTTTTATTTATCTTTTCAAAGAACCAGCTTTTTGTTTATCTTTTGTATTTTTTGGTTTCAATTTCATTTAGTTCTGCTCTGATCTTGGTCATTTTTTTCTTCTGCTGCGTTTGAGTTTGGTGTGTTCTCTCTCTTTAGTTCCTTGAGGCGTGACCTTACATTGTCTATTTGTGCTCTTTCAGACTTTTTGATGTAGGCATTTAATGCTATGACCTTTCCTCTTAGCACCACTTTTGCTGTATCCTAGAGGTTTTGATAGGTTATGTCACTATTATCGTTCAGTTCAAATAATTTTATAATATCCATCTTGATTTCATTGTTGACCCAACAATCATTCAGGAGCAGGTTATTTAACTATTTCCATATATTTGCATTGTTTTGAGGGTTCCTTTTGGAGTTGATTTCCAGTTTTATTCCACTATGTTCTGAGAGAGTACTTGATATAATTTCTATTATTTTCTTAAATTTGTTGAGACTTGTTTTATGGCCTATTGTATGGTCTATCTTGGAGAACGTTCCATGTGCTGATGAACAGAATGTATATTCTGCAGTTGTTGGGTAGAATGTTCTATAAATATCTGTTAAGTCCATTTGTTGCAGGGTAAGTTTAAGTTCATTGTTTCTTTGTTGACTTTGTCTTGATGACCTGTCTAGTGCTGTCAGTGGAGTATTGAAGTTTCCCGCTATTGTTGTTTTACTGTCTATCTTTCTCATTTCTTAGGTCTAGTAGTAATTATTTTTTTAAATTTGGGAGCTCCAATGTTAGATGCATATAAATTTAGGATCGTGATATTTTCCTGTTGGACTAGTTTTATTATATAATGTCCCTCTTTGTCTTTTTCAACTGCCGTTGCTTTAAAGTTTGTTTGGTCTGATATAAGAATAGCTATTCCTGCTCACTTTTGGTATCCATTTGCATGGAGTATCTTTTTCCACCCCTTTACCTAAAGGTTATGTGTGTCCTTATGTGTCAGGTGAGTCTCTTGAAGACAGCAGATACTCAGTTGGTCAATTATTCATTCTGCCATTCTGTATTTTTAAGTGGAGCATTTAGGCCATTTACATTCAGTGCTAGTATTGAGATGTGAGGTACTATTCTATTCGTTGTGCTATTTGTTGCCCAAATACCTTGTGGTTTTTAAAAAATTGTGTTATTATTTTAGAGGTCCTGTGAGATTTATGCTTTAAGGAGATTCCATTTTTGTGTATTTCAAAAATTTGTTTCAAGATTGAGCTCCTTTTAGTAGTTCTTGCAGTGCTGGCTTGGCAGTGGCAAATTCTCTCAGCATTGCTTTGAAAAAAAGAACTGTAATGAAGCTTAGTTTTGCTGGATACAAAATTCTTGGCTAATCGTTTAAGGAGGCTAAAAATAGGACCCCAATCCCTTCTAGCTTGTAGGGTTTCTGCTAAGAAATCTGCTGTTAATCTGAAAGGTTTTCCTTTCCTTCTTTTTGTGACAAATTTCCCAGGTGTTCTTTGAACTTCTTGTATTTGGATGTCTAGATCTCTAGCAAGGCCAGGGAAGTTTTCCTCAATTATTCCCTCAAATATATTTTCCAAACTTTTAGATTTCTCTTCTTCCTCAGGAACACCAGTGATTCTTAGATTTGGTCATTTAACATAATCCCAAACTTCTTGGAGGCTTTGTTCATTTGTTAAAATTTTTTGTCTCTGTTGAATTGGGTTAATTTGAAAGCCTTGTCTTTGAGCTCTGAAGTTCTTTCTTCTACTTGTTCAATTCAGTTGCTGAGACTTCCCAGTGTATTTTGCATTTCTCTAAGTGTGTCCTTCATTTCCAGAAGTTGTGATTGTTTTTATTTATGCTATTTCACTGGAGATTTTTCCATTCATATGCTGTATAATTCTTTTTATTTTAAGTTGGACTTCACCTTTCTCTGGTGCCTCCTTGATTAGCTTAACAATCAACCTTCTGAATTCTTTTTCTGGCAATTCAGAGATTTTGTCTTGGTTTGGATCCATTGCTGTTGAGCTAGTGTTATCTTTTGGGGGTGTTAAATAACCTCGTTTTGTCATATTACCAGAATTATTTTTCTGGTTCCTTCCCATTTGGGTAAACTATGTCAGAGGGAAGATCTGGGACTCAAGGCTGCTATTCAGATTCTCCTGTCCCTTGGGGTTCTCCCCCTTCCCCTAGGGATGTGGTTTCCTGAGAGCCCTGCTGCAGTGATTGTTATTTCTCTTCTGGATCTAGCCACCCAGCGGAGCTACCGGGCTCTGGGCTAGTACTGGGGAGTGTCTGCAAAGAGTCCTGTGATGTGATCTGTCTTCAGGTCTCTCCTCCATGGATATCAACACCTGGTCCAGTGGAAGTAGCAGGGGAGTGAAGTGGACTCCATGAGGGTCCTTGGTTGTATTTTTAAGTGCACTGGTTTTGTGTTGGTTGGCCTCTAGCCAGGAGGTAGCACTTTCTAGAGCACATCAGCTGCAGTAGTATAGGGAGGATACAAGCTTGCCCTAGTGTCAGGTGGTGGGCGGGGCCATGGAGTTCCCAAGAGAGATTATGTCCTTTGTCTTAGGCTAACAGGGCAGGTAGAGAAAGACCATCAGGTAGGGGCAGGGTTAGGTGGGGCTTGCTGCAGATGCTGTGGGGGTTGTGGTTCCCAGAGGGATTATGGCTGACTGCTGCATCACACAGGTTGTCAGGGAAGTGAGGGAAAGCTGGCAGCCACAGGCTGGTCTCACTCCCACCATGCACCCCCAACAGCACCGAGTTTATTTCCAGGCAGCTAGTGAACAGGGCTGAGAACTTGCCCCAGGCTACAGGCCTCCCAGCTGAGAAAGCACGCCAACTCACAATTCCTTGGCTGTCCCAGAGAGCCTGCAGCAGCAATCCACATCCTTCAAAGTGTCTGTGGATTCTTTTGGCTTTCCTAGTATGTTCCTGTGGTAGTTCTTGGAGCAAAAGTTCACAATGTGAGTCTCCGTGCTCTGTCTGTCCGAGTGGGAGCTGCAAGTTAGTCCTGCCTCCTTCCTGCCATTTTTCTGCTCTAAAACTGCTCTTGGAACTCTGACTTGCTATGTGAATAAGCATGAGCTAGTCTGCTGGATGATGAAAGACACATGGCCCAGTTTGGCTCCACTGCTCCAGCTGACAGCCATCCAACTCCCAGAAGCAGAGATGCCTAATTTACTGTAGTTGACCACTGATGCAAATGGGTGAGCCCAGCCAAGAGCAGCAGCAGAACCATCCTGCTGAGCCCAGCACAGTTCATGGACCCTCAGAATCATAAGTTGAATAAATGATTATTGTTTTAAGCCATTAAATTTTGGTATTGTTTATTACACATTCAAAATTAAATGATGCAGTTAGCTTCATTATGTTTTAGTGTCAAGGTTACATTGTATATAAAGACTTGTGAAGGTTTTCTTATTTTTCTAAGTCTTGGAATTATTAGCTCTTTGATGATTTGAAAGAACTTTCCTATCCATCACCTAGGCTTGAAACTTTTGGGGGATAGGCAAGGTTTTTTTATTTCCTATTATTTTCTCACTACCTCTCTTGGTTATTAGTGTATTAATAGTAAAATAGGAATATAAGTCACATTTCTAAATGTGATTTCAAAAACTGACACAAGCTAACATCCAGCCTTATGCTTAATAGTGAAACATGAGAGGTAATGCAAAGTAAGAAGACCACTATCCCCGCCATTGCTGAACATCTCTTTTTTAGAAGTCCTAGTCAACATAACTGGGAAAAGAAAACAGAATTAGAAATCTGAGAAGTGAGGAGACAAAATAAGGAGATATGGCTGGATATAGTGGCTCATGCCTCTAATCCCAGCACTTTGGGAGGCCAAGGTGGGATGATCATTTGAGGCTAAGAGTTTGTCAGCCTGAGCAACACAGCAAGACCCTGTCTCTACAAAATACCAAAAAAAAGAAAAAATTTTGTGGGGCATGGTGATGCATGGCACGCCTGTAGTCCAGCTACTTGGGAAGCTGAGCTGGGAAAATTGCTTGAGCCCAGGAGTTCAAGGCTGCAGTGAGCTATGATCATGCCACTGACCTCTAGCCTGGGTGACAGAGTGACACCCTGTCTCTTAAAAAACAAATAACAAAGGAGACAAAATTATCATTTGTAAAAGATACATATGTATAAATATGTGTATAATTATAGACACTTTTTTTAAACCTAGAAGACTCAGGAATTAAAAATGATCAGAAATGATAAAATAAATAGTAAGCTTGGCAGTTACAAATTAAATTCCTAACTTTTTATACTCAACAATTTGCTAGGAAAATGGGGAGAAACAAGCCATTTATAACGCATTAAGTAAAAGAACGCATTAAGTAAAAGGAGAGAAATGCCCATTATCGGATGGAAATAAATATATGCCAAGTTCTTGGGTTAGAAATAAAACGTCAGACAGGTAAGCAGAAATGAAACCGACACAGGGGCTGGGACTCTCAACCACCTTTGCTTGCCTCTGGGCTGCGCTGAATGAGGTCAGAGAAAGCATCGGTGGAGGGAGTGCCCGGGGACATAGGACTTGAGACCACTGTCTCCCCAGACTGTATAAAACGGCAAGGAAATCCCCCCACCAAACAAAAACAACCTGAAGTCTTTTGAAAGGGAATTGGTTGCCAACGAAACACACAAGTGAAAATGACAGACGTCCCTATAGCAAAAGCCACAGTGCCCTGCCAATATCCCCCAGTCCTTACCCCTGTCCTACAAACATGCTCTACTTCCAGCTGCCACCGGCTATATTCCTTTGCCTGAGGGTCCCTCTGGTGGCAGGAGCCTGGCATGTGTAGCAGGCCAGGGGTGCTGCAGAAGTAATGTCCCCTGGAGCAGCTCTGAAGGAATGCTGGTGTCCACCCCAGCACCCTTGCCCCTCAGACAGGATGACCCTGAGGCCTGGCACGTTCTAAGCAGGCTCCTGAGTTCCCAGCGGGATTGTGCTCCAGTTGCCCATGGTGGATTCTCCTGGGACAATGTGCCCTTTCCTGGCTGCCCTCCTTTCCCTGTCTCATTTCCCCACTCCCCTACCAGAGGTGGGGATCATCTCCCAAATAAACTCTCTGCATTATAACATATTCCAAAATTACCTAAAATTTTAGAATACGGTAAAGATGATGTTTCAAATAAGTCAGTAATTCATCTCTCTGCCCCAAGCCTGCTACTTTCCCCATATTTCCCATCCAGTGACTGGCATCTCCATTTACTCAGAATGGAAGCCAGATGCAAGGAGGCTCCCAGGACATGCTCTGTGTCCCCTACCCTAAACCATTCTGGAAGATGCTCCAGACCCTACCTTCCCCCACCTGGATCACTGTGCACCCTCCACATCCACTCTTACCTGCCTTATGCTGCCGTTCCAGTCTCTCCTCTACATAAAACTCTTCACTGGTTTTCTCTCCTCTTAGAACAGGGCCTGACTACTTCCAAGGTCTGCAAAGCCCAGCGTGGTCTGGCCCCTGCCCTCCTTTCCAGCTCCGTCTCTGCCATGGGTACTCTTATTGTCTCCTCTCTGGCCATCCTGGTCTCCTTTCAGTCCCCTGTGCTTTTCCAGCCTCCTTCCTTACCAGGCCTCCCTGTCTGGAACACTTCCCCTCCTCCAAAGAGAACTCACACTTCAGGTCTCACCTGGTGACCTGACCCCTGGGACAATGTCCGTCCCTGCTCTTTCCACTCTCATGAACTATGTACCCTCCTGGTACACGGCACAATCACAATTGTAATTTTACATTTACTCATCTGCTTATTTGATTCATGTCTCTCATGCCAACAGCCCAGTTGAGCCTCCTGCTTCTACAGATGTGAGTTCAAATCCTGACTCTACCTTGATTCACGCTGGTGACCCTGGGTGAGTCACTTTACCTCTTGGTGTCTCTACCAAACAGGAAAGCAATGGCTACTCCACAGGGTGTTGTAAGGATTCAGTGACATACCGGGGGGAAAGCCCAGCCCAGATGTGAGCTCAGAGAAGGAGTAGCCAGCACCCCTGTTTTAATAGACATGAAAACCGAGGCTCAGAGAGTTTAGGTGGTCAGGCTGAGGTCACACAGCTGGCAACTCCATTTGCCTACCAGCTAGTTCTGCTCTCTATTCTCCCTGGAGGCCTTTAGAGGAGGCCACAGGCACATGGTCAGTGGGATAGGAAGCTCTGGCCTGGACTCCAGACTTTTAGGGTTGGTGGGACAAGATGGATGGAGATGCTTGTTCTCATTTTATCAAGGGGGAAGCAGAGGTTCAGAATGGTTAAGTTGCGGGAAGCAGAGGTTCAGAGTGGTTAAGTTGCTAGTAAATGCAGTTGGTTAGTAGAATTGGAAGGCAGCTAGCTTCCCAGTTTACAGATGGGCAACCTGAGCCCAGGAAAGACCTCTGTAAGAGTCTCTAGTTCCAGAGCTGGGCCTGGTTTCAGACCTTCAAAGTGTGTCCTTGGTTCCAGGACCACAAAGCCTCAGGGGATGGCCCAGAAAGAGAGGGAGGCTCACCTGCTTCTGTTCCTCTCCCAGGCTGTCCCACATGGAGGCCACGATTTTGGACACGTCACCGAAAGTGGCACTGGGGTTCTGACCCTTGATGGCGGCCTGAGTGTCTCTGAAGAAGAGTGCGTAGGCCGACACAGGCTTCTGCGGCTCATTGGGGTCCTTCTTTTTCTTCTTCTTCGGGTTCTTGGCCTTTTTTCCTGGGTCGGCTGAAGGTCTCTTTTCTCCCGAGATCTGCCCGAGTGAGAAGAGTCAGAAAACCAAAGAAGCCCAAGGGCCTCCTGCCAAAGGCGATCAACACAGACTTGGGCCGAGCTGCACTTCTCCAGCCCTGCTCATGCACAGATAACCACTCGCGCGATGGAGGGGGCAATGGACAGACAGACACACACACCCTGGGTGGGTGTTTAACTCATTAAAGAGAATCAGCATGATTGTAAAGTTGATTCAGAGAAATGCAGGAGGAGAAGACGGACTGTATAGTCACTGAAAGAATGGAAAGAATGCTGGAATTAGATTACTAAATTACACGTGAAACTGGTTAGTGCCCAATAGAGCGCTGAAACTATCACCTTTGGGACTTTTAATCTTTTCTACTGGACAGAAATTTGCATCTCTACCGGGCAAAGTTAATTTGCCTTATAATCAGACAAAAATCCCTTACATCTCTTATCACTTCCCCTCCCCCGCCCAAGGTAACATCTTCTTTTACAGAGTTGTGAAATCCCCTAATCAATAGTGAATAATGAATCAAAGCAAAGGTCCAGTTTCCTAGGGAATCAGATAATTATTGAGTGAGCCTGTTAGCCAAGGCTTTGGTATGACATTGAAAGAATGTGCAGTTATTTGGGGGCCTATTTCCAAGTTTGGAGTGTGTGTGCATGTGTGTATATGTGTATATACGTGTGTGTGTGTGTGTATATGTATATATATGTGTGTGTATATATAGTATATATATGTGTGTGTATATATAGTATATATGTATATATATAGTATATATGTATATATATGTGTATATATAGTATATATATGTCTGTATATATATGTGTGTATATATATATGTGTGTGTGTGTGTGTGTGTGTGTGTGTGTGTATATATCTGCCCTCCCACTTGTGAGCACAATCCCCAAAAAGGATCCTGCATTACAAAAGGCTGGTCTCCACCGCCATGTTTCAGCTGTGCAGCTTTGAGCAGGTGGCTTAGTCCCTTGACCCTGTGAAGTGGGGAGGGCACGAGGCTAAAGCGACTGTTACTGCGTCAGCCCTGGAACCAGTGGCTTCACTCTGGACAGACTGCAGGACCATGATCCTGTGAACACTTGACTTAGGGCTTCCAGGATGGGGTGGTGTTGGGATGCCCACCACAGACCTCAGTGGGTCTCTGTTGGGTCACTCAAGCCATGTAGGAACAGGGGACTTTGGTCAAAAGCCCTGGACCCTGTAGTGAAGACTCTGGCTCTAGGAGCCAAGAAGATGGAGGTGACATGTTGACCTGATGACAAAGCCATGGGCCAGTAGGCATGATCAGGCATCCATGTCTGAAGGACATGGTTCTGTTCCTGAGGCTTATCTCTGCAGCTACTCCCTTCTCCAAGCCCCAGTTGTGTTAGCACCGTGGTGTGACCCTAGCAAGATCAGGGATGAAGAGGCATGTTGTCATTGATAAAGTCCTGAACAGGCACAGCAGGGCAGGGGGTTGAGGGCACATACACTGGACTGCACCTGCAGCCTCCTGGGTTTGAATCCTGGTTCCCCCCACTTACTAGCTGTGTGACACCAGATACATTACTTAACCTCTCTGTGCCTCAGTGTCCCCATCTGCCAAACAGAGATAATAACAGTCCCTGCCCTATAGGACTTTTATGAGGATTACATGGACGTATACTTGTTATGTGTTTAGAGCAGTGTCTGGCCCATAGAGAGTGTTTGTTAAATAAAAACCGTTCCTGCATGGACTATAATAGAGGTCGAGTCATCCTTAGGATGAAGCTGGGCCAGGATCCAGAAGTAAACCCCTCTTCCCCCAAAGTCCAGGGTTACTGCCCTAGGCCTCGGGAGGCCACCACGTGGAAAGGACACTGGATCGACAGAGGCAGGAGGCACGGAGGGAGATAAGTCTTAATTCTGCCACTAGCTCGCTGGGAGGCCCTGGGCAAACACTTCTGTCTTTGGCATTTCTGGGCCTCTGTTTTCCTCCCTGGTAAGACAAGATGTTCTCTCACCGGGAGGTGGATTTGGAGTCAATGCAAAGAAGGGCCAGAGCCCGGACAGGTGGCGGGCTCTCATCCCTACCATGTTCTTGAGGAGGTCAAACCACTCTAGACTCCAGGAATGTTGGGGGAATGCATGTTCCCAGTGGGGCGGTCATTTTTGCACCCCACCCTCAAGGTCAGTGAATACTCTAGGCCCAGAGGTGCTGTCTTCTGGACCACACAGTTTTGTCAGAATATTTTCTCCTAAAAGGGCCAAATGGCCATAAATGTGACCCCGATGGCCTTGCTGAAGCCGTCCACACCTCTGAAATCGCCCACTGGCCTTCAGGAGTCAGTCTTTGCCAACTTTCACAGGATCTTCTCACCCCATCCCCTCAACATTTGTTGGAATTTTCTCTGCTTTACGCACAAGGCTGTGGGAGCCCCGAGGGAACACAGCTTGTCAAGGACGCTCAGCACTTGGAGCAGCCAAAGCCCGATGCCACAAAGCCCCATAGGTGCCATCCCCCCTGACCAGGTGCTCCACCTGCCAATGTGCTTTTTCCTTGGCTTCCAGCGTGGCCTGGGGGTCTTAACAGAAAACCACTGAGCTCTGTGGCGGACATCCCAACCGCCACCAGGAACGCCTGCTCAGTGGGAATGGCACCTACGGGGACCTTGGGACATCAGGCTTTTCTAGTCTTTACTAGAGGGAGGTGATGCCCATTTCCCCACAGGACCCCTTCCCTGCCGACAGGAGGGCAGCTTCAGGCTCTGTTCCTCCACCGCACATACCTTGAAATGCACTTCCGACTCCTCTTCCTGAGTGGAGCTGGAGGGAGAGGGGGTCGCTGACTTGCTCCCCGGCGGTGATGGGGAGCTGTGGGCGATGCTGCTCCGGATGCCCATCTGCGAGATGAGCTGGGACTGGCTGAGGGCACTCATGTGGCTGGCCAGCATTGCCGGGCGACCCAGCAGGGGCCCGGGCCGGCCCGAGTCATAGGCAGCCACTTCCGAGTGGACCATCTCCTGGATCTAAGAGAGGAGGACAGGAGGGTTGAGTTAGGAAGGATCTGTCCTGCCACTCCATCACATCTGTGCTAGCGGACTTAGAGGAGGGAATGCAGAGGAGAAGTGATGGGTGCGGCTCCTGCTCCGATCCCTGACAGGTGAATCTCAAGATGGAGCCTCATGCTACTTGGACCTCTGTATGATTAAGTGCACTCGTGGGAAACCGGCAGCTCCGTGGCTGTGTGCCATTCTACTGACATTCACCTCGGACAGACGCTTTGCATTTCAGCCCCTGCCAGAGAGCTCAGTCCAGTTATGTTGGATCATTTGATGAGACCGAGTCTTCCCTCCTGGAATGCAATATGTCTCTGCATGAACTGAGCAGTCAGCATGATAGCAACGCACACAGATGCTGGACGACGCTAACTACATTTTGAATCCTGGTCCTGCCATTCTACCAGCTGGGTGACTTTGGCCAAGTTACCTAACCTCTTTGTGCCTCAGTTTCTTCATCTGTAAAATGTGGATATGAGCAAACCTACATTCTAGGGTTCCTTAAAGATCAAATGTACCTGGCATACAGTAAGCCCTATATTGTATAAGCATGTGTTAAATACATTGAATAAATAAATTTCTTGATAAAGTTGAGTACTTTTCTTCCTACAGGTCAGCAATTTTGTTATTAACTCCATTCCCCATGATATTTTCTAACTGGTTACTTCTGGAAAGTTATTGGTTTTACATATAAGCATTTTTCACACTAAACACGCATTGAGGATAGGACTTTGGACCTAAATATATGTCCACACCCTGTTGAGTGAAGCATACCTATTTGCATACTCTTACGATTTTTATTTCCTCTGCATCTGTGGTTATTTATTTGCCCTTTCTAATTTCTAACAAACATCAAGTATCTGTTTTTCTCCCATTTTTTCTTCATTAGGAAAGCAAACAGGTTTTCAGTTTTATGTGGGTTGTTTCTTTTCTCCTCAAAAGAATCAAATCTCAAGTGTATCACTTCTGCTTCTCTGTTTTCTAATTCTTTGTCTTTAGCTATCCCTTCCTCCGCATTTTAAAGATTCATAATTGCTGCTTCCCCCTCAATTTTGAGTTGTATTTTATTTTTTAATTGACAAATGACAAATTGTATATATTTATATGTACGATATGTTTTGATGCATGTATACACTGTGAAATAATTGACATATTCATCACCTCACCTAGCATTGCTTAGATGAGAACATTTAAAATCTACTTTCTTCTTTGATCCAAGAGTTGTTCAAGAAGACTTCTGGAATACCATTTGACCCAGCAATCCCATTACTGGGTATATACCCAGAGGAATATAAATCATTCTATCATAAAGATACATGCACGTGTGTGTTCACTGCAGCACTATTCACAATAGCAAAGACACGGAATCAGCCCAGATACCCATCAAAGATAGACTGAAAGAAAATGTGGTACATACCTATCATGAAGTACTATACAGTCATAAAAAGGGATGAAATCATGTCCTCTGCAGGGACATGGATGGAGCTGGAAGCCATTATCCTCAGCAAACTAATGCAGGAACAGAAAACCAAACACCTCATGTTTTCACTTGTAAGTGGAAGCCGAACAATGTGAACGCTTAGACACAGGGAGGGGAACTACACACTGGGGCGCGTTGAGGGGGCAAGGGGAGGGACAGCATCAAGAAAAATGCTAATGCATACTGGGTTTAGCACCTAGGTGATGAGTTGATAGGTACAGCAAACCACCGTGGCACACATTTACCTAGGTAACAAACCTGCACATCCTGCATATATACCCTGGAGCTTAAATTTAAAAAGGCTAACAAAAAGAAGAGTTCTGGAAATTCTAAGTGGCTAATTTTCTTTTTCTTTTGGCTACAATTTCCAGTAACAAAAATTATCAAAGTATGGGGTCTGTACTATTTACAAGTTTGAGATTTTGTTAAGGTTTTCTTTGAGACCCAAATATGATTAAATTGTGTACATATTCCACAGTCCTTACAAAGAATAGGCTATGTTTGCAGATGAATACAGCAGTATATTTTTCCATTCCATCAGTGATTATTCTTTAGATTCCTTACCTTTTTGGCTCTTTAATCTTACACAGGCTTGTCCAGATTGCCTGCAATTTTTCTGTTTCCATAAAAATATCTCCTTTTAATGCTTAAAGTGTTTGTTTTGGGAATTTGATGTCGGTTTTGTTTTGAGACAGAGTTGTGCTGCATCGCGCAGGCTGGAGTGCAGTGGCGCGATCTTGGCTCACTGCAACCTCTGCCTCCCAGGTAGCTGGGACAACAGGTGGCACCATCATGCCTGGCTAATTTTTGTATTTTTAGTAGAGCGAGACGGGGTTTCGCCATATTGGCCAGGCTTGTCTCAAACTCCTGACCTCAAGTGATCTGCCCACCTCGGCCCGCCAAAGTGCTGGGATTTTATAGGCATGAGCCACCACACCTGGCCCTGATATTGGTTTTTATTACAAAAAGAAGACAGACAATTGTATCTTCATTATGGATTAAACTCTTTATTAAGTATCTTTTTTGTCTCATTTTTTTTTTTGCCTTGAATTCAGTGGAGTCTGATATGAATAATGCTGTCCTTGCCTGTATGTTTGTTTGAATGTGTCTGGCATGTATTTTATTACAAATCTCTTAGTTTTTATTTTTTAGGGTTACTTTTGTCAAATGTTTTTGTTATGATCAGCTTTAGAAATTGAACTCTTCCCTTATGCCCTGGAACAGTATAGATAACATATAAATTACATTTTCCTTAGAGAATGAAAGAGCTTAAACAGAAAACCATCTGAGGCCCAGTGCTTTTTGTTTTCACAATATCCTTCATGGCTAATAGGTCTATTTCAGTTTCCATTTTCTCTCGAGTCAGTTTTGGTAAATTATACATATATATATATATATATATATATAAATTCATTTTATCCAGATACTAACATGTACTAGCATATAACTGGATAATATATTTAAAAATATACTCTGTGGTTTTCATCAGTTCCCATTCAAAATTGTAATATTGTGAATACACGTTGCTTTTTAAAATTTTCCTTCTCAAAATTTATTTTATTTATTTTTTTGTGACGGAGTCTTGCTCTGTTGCCCACACTGGAGTGCAGTGATGCTATCTCGGCTCACCACAACCTCTGCCTCCACCTCCAGGGTTCAAGCAATTTTTCTGCCTCAGCCTCCTGAGTAGCTGGAATTACAGGTGCATGTCACCACACCCGGCTACTTTTTGTATTTTTAGGAGAGATGGGTTTTTGCCATGTTGGCCAAGCTGGTCTCAAACTCCTGACCTCAAGTGATCCACCCGTCTCAGCCTCCCAAAATGCTGAGATTACAGGCATGAGCCACCACACCCGGCCAAAAGTTTATATATTTCAACTGTCTAGCCAAAGAACCAGCTCTTATATTTTATTTTTTTTTTTTTTTTTTTTTTTTTTTTTTTTAATTTTTTTTTATTGATAATTCTTGGGTGTTTCTCACAGAGGGGGATTTGGCAGGGTCATGGGACAATAGTGGAGGGAAGGTCAGCAGATAAACAAGTGAACAAAGGTCTCTGGTTTTCCTAGGCAGAGGACCCTGCGGCCTTCCGCAGTGTTTGTGTCCCTGATTACTTGAGATTAGGGATTGGTGATGACTCTTAACGAGCATGCTGCCTTCAAGCATCTGTTTAACAAAGCACATCTTGCACCGCCCTTAATCCATTTAACCCTGAGTGGACACAGCACATGTTTCAGAGAGCACAGGGTTGGGGGTAAGGTCACAGATCAACAGGATCCCAAGGCAGAGGAATTTTTCTTAGTGCAGATGTTAAAAAAATTTGACAACTTTCATGATAATTCATTAAATTCTGCTTTCTTCTCTATTAATGTTGACTTGAGGTAGCATATGTTGTTTTTTACATAGGTTTTCAAATTAAGCTATTTTCACATTTTCTTTTTTAGTAACAGAAACATCTAGGGCAGGAGTTGAGATGAGCAATTTTACCATGCAGGGGGCATTTCTCTGAAGACATTTTTGGTTCTGACAACTGGAGGGTGGGAAGCTACTGGCATCTGCTGGGTAGTGGCCAGGGATGTCCCCACTAAACAAAGAATTATGCATCCCAAAATGTCAATAGTGCTGAGGTTGAGAAACTCTGCACTGTAACTATGATTTTTCTCCCAGGGAGAATTTTAGCTACATCATATAAGTATTTTTAAAATAGTCTACATTGATGATTTTATTTTCTCTCTGACCCTAAAGTTATTTGGAAGAGTGTTTTTATTTAATGTATCCTTTGTTATCAAGATCAGAGACCATGACTCCCAGAATTTTATCTTTTTGGAAAGTACTGAGATTTTTGTTATAGCTTAGGATATGATCAGTTTGTTTTTCCTTTTTAAAAACTTTTAGGTTCAGGGGTATATGTGAAGGTTTGTTATAGAGACAAATTGCATGTCACAGGGGTTTGGTATACAGACTATTGTGTCACCAAAGTATGATCAATTTTTGCAAAACCGTTCATGTATATTGGAAATAATACTGTATATTGTACAAATTTCTCCATATGTCTATTCAATAAACAGTTTTGACTACTTTACTTTAGGTGTAAAATCTCAAAAGAATTGGCTTATTTCACTTAGCTTAAGGTACTCAAGGTTCATCCATGTGGTAGCTGAATCAGAACTTTCTTCCCTTTTTAAGGCTGAGCAATACACCCTTGTATGTATAGACTACATTTTGCTTATCCATTCATCTGCTGGTAGGCAGTTGGTTGGGCATTATGAATAATGCTGCTAGGAACGTGGGTGCACAAGTATCTCGTGGAGACTCTGCTTTCAATTCTCTTGAGTAGACATCCAGAATTCCAATTGCCGTATCATATAGTAATTCTGTTTTTTAATTTTTAAGAAACCACCATACTGTTTTCCACAAAGCCTGCCATTCCTATTGTGTTTCCAGCAGTTTCTCTCTAAAATTTAAACAGATTTTCTGCATACACACTAACGTGAAGTTATTTATCCTGTAAATGTCCCAGAATGTTATGTCTTTACTGTGGCTTCTCCTTGCTCATAAAAAATAAGCATCTTTGCCTTAATGTTTCTGTCTTACATCCTACTTTATCTGCTATCATTATCACTCTAAGTTTTCACTGTTTTATTTTTGTCCTGCATAATTTTAAGTGTAAACAGTGTGTAGGTAGATACTGGTTTCTAACCCAGTTCTTAATATATTGTGACATATATGTATTTGATTATTAATCATACAAATATCTGAGAGACAGATTTAAAGTGAACTGTTTTATAGAAGGTTTTAAAATGTATTCTCCAAACATTCTCCTCTTCCCACCCCATAGCTTACGCACTCTCACCTTCTATAAGCCTTAAGCAAGAATCTGGCATTAGCTCCTCAAGATCAAATCAGCTTTAGAACTCTGTATTAGGGCTTGTTTTCTTTTTCTTCCCAGTGGCCTGCTTTAGAATTCTTCCATCAGATATTCCTGACTTGGTGATTTAATATTTTTACCAACTCTTGATAATGGCGGATTTTTGAAGTTTTGCAAACCTGCTAAGTGTGAAATTCTCTCAAAGTCATTCTGATTTCCACCATTCTGATCACTAGTGAGGGTGACCACCTTTTCATAAGTTTACTGGACCATTTATGTTTCTGCATACACTGCTGTTAGGAGTGTAGACTAGTATGTAAAACACTTTAGAAAACAACCTGGCAACACTCAGTATATTGAAGATGCAGATATCCTATAACCTAGAATTCTACTCCAAGATGTTTACTATAAAGAACTTTCACACATGCACAAGAAGACATACACACAGTGTGGAAAACTGCAAAAGACTTCAAGATGGACAAATGAGTGTCATTCAATGAACTGCGGGGCATTGTCCAGCAGACCTCTGGGGTTACCTGCTTCTATAGGAGTACACGTCTTTGTCTAGGCTATTTATTTTACAACTTTGTAAGCTCTAGAAAGGTGACATTAATGCAACTGATTTTTTTAATCATTAAAAATTTAAATTGTGATAAAATACACATAAAATTTACCATCAACCATTTTTAAGTGTACAGTTCAGTGGCATTAAATATGTTCACGCCATTATGCAGCCATCACCAGCAGCCGTCTGCAGAATTCTTTCCATTTTGCAAAACTGACACTCCATCCCTAGTAAATAAGAACTCCCCATTCCTCTCTTCCCCCAGCCCTGGAAACCACTCTTCTACTTTCTGTCTCTAGAACTATGACTACTCCAGGTACCTCAAACAAGTGGAATCACACAGTATTCTTTCGTGACTGACTTATTTCACTTAGCTTAAGGTACTCAAGGTTCATCCACGTGGCAGCTGAATCAGAACTTTCTTCCCTTTTTAAGGCTGAGCAATACACCCTTGTATGTATAGACTACATTTTGCTTATCCATTCATCTGCTGGTAGGCAGTTGGTTGGGCATTATGAATAATGCTGCTAGGAATGTGGGTGCACAAGTATCTCGTGGAGCCTCTGCTTTCAATTCTCTCGAGTAGACACCCAGAATTCCAATTGCCGTATCATATAGTAATTCTGTTTTTTAATTTTTAAGAAACCACCATACTGTTTTCCACAGTGGCTATATCACTTCAATTCCCACCAGCAACACACAAGGGTTCCGGTTGCGGTTTCTACACATCCACGCCACTCGTTTCTCTCTCTCCCTCTTTTCAATAGAAGCCATCCTAATAGGTGTGAGGTAGAGTGAAACCCATTCTTGTCCATAAAAATGCAAAGAAATTTTGTCCGGTAGGGATATAATTGATCCCACCCTGTAAAAAGGATGATTCCAAACATTATGTTTGGTTGCTCTATAGCCATTAAGCAGTTTTGCATTTCTTTTTTTTTTTTTTATGCTTTAAGTTCTAGGGTACATGTGCACAACATGCAGGTTTGTTACATATGTATACATGTGCCTTGTTGGTGTGCTGCACCCATTAACTCATCATTTACATTAGGTATATCTCCTCATGCTATCCCTCCCCACAACCGCCCCCCACAACAGGCCCCAGTGTGTGATGTTCCCCTTCCTTTGTCCAAGTGTTCTCATTGTTCAATTCCCACCTATGAGTGACAACACGTGGTGTTTGGTTTTTTGTTCTTGCGATAGTTTGCCAAGAATGATGGTTTCCAGCTTCATCCATGTCCCTACAAAGGACGTGAACTCATCCTTTTTTATGGCTGCATAGTATTCCATGGTGTATATGTGCCACATTTTCTTAATCCAGTCTATCACTGATGGACATTTGGGTTGGTTCCAAGTCTTTGCTACTGTGAATAGTGCCGCAGTAAACATACATGTGCATGTGTCTTTATAGCAGCATGATTTATAATCCTTTGGGTATATACCCAGTAATGGGATGGCTGGGTCCATTTCTTAGAAAATTTATCTCACCATTCCTGTTTGCCTATATATGTGTCTACTCTTCAGATTCACCTTTGAACCTGTTGTCATATCTTACTGGATTCCTCATTAATCACGACTTAAATAAATTTTTGGCATGCTTTCATCTTATATTTGTATGAGAGTTATGATGTTACCTTTAGAAAGTTATGCATTACAACAAAGATGATCATTATGGCATTTAATTCCAAAAAAACTGGAAATAATATAAACATTCACTAACTGGGAGATGGCGAAAATCTGTGGTGTATTCACATAATGGAATTCTGTAGACGGTTAACCTGACCAACGTGGACCTACAGCTGCCAATGCAGATGAACTCAAAGACAATAACCAGTGAAGATAGTTTCAGAAGGACACATACAGTATAATGCCTTTATGAACACGTTTAAAATATAAAACATCACTGTCAGGTGTTCAAGGATATATGAAAATGTAGTAAAAGCATAAAAACACTCACTGCAGAATAGTGGTTATTTCTTTCTGAGAACAGAGAGGTACAAAGGGACCTTAACTTGTACCTGCAATATTTATTTCTTCAAAAGCAGATCCAAAGCAGCAGCAACAACAATATGGGCTCTTCCAAGCAGAGTGTTAAACTTAAATGTGATGAGTTCTGGGAAGTCTGGAATGAGGGGAAATGGCTGGTACCTACATAACTTAATTGGCCACATTAGGCACCCTGAAATGTCTGAAACAGGGTCAGCCTCATCCCCTCATCCCCAACCTGGGCTCCAGACTCCCACATCCAAGTCCCTGAGTGACATCTTCCCTCGGATGCCCCGCAAGCATATAAAACTTCACATGCTGCAAATGGAGCTCTTCCCTCTCCTGAAAACTGTTCCTCCTCCAGTTTTACCAAAATAGTAAAATGGCACTGCTGTTCTTGCTGTCACCCAAGCCACAAACCTGAACAGAAACCCTGACTTCTCCCTTTCCCTTACAACCCCAGGCACTAGCCAGGACACGCCATTATTGGTTCCACCTCCATAATGAATCCTATGTCTTTCACACTCCTCACATCCCAAGCAATTAATATCTCTCTATATAAATAAGTCAGGCCAGGCTACTATCCTCCTTAAAATTCTTCATTGGCTTGTTGATCCTCTTAGAATAAAATCCGATCCCCCAAATAATAATGACAACAATAATAATGGCTTTTTTGAGTCTCAAAGTTTCTTTGAAATAAAAACATTGCACTATGATGTTTTTAATGTGGGTAACAGATTTAATTTTGCTGATATTTGCTAGGTCCTTTGGAACATTTTCCACTTTCTTCAGATAAGTGATATTTTCTACAATTATTTGATTATTGCCTTTTTGCTAAGTTTCCTATTAAACACATTGAATCATCACGATCTTTTATCTTTTCAGTCATAATTTTGAGCCCTTTAACTTCTCCCTTGGAGTTTTGGGAGAAAACCTGGAGCTGATCATCTTCACTTATTTGGTTACAACCAGTGTTGCTCGCTGCTTTCAACAAACTTTTACATCCAGTGGTCACATATTGATATGGTTTCACACTCAAATCTCATCTTGAATTGTGGCTTCTGTAATTCCCACATGTTGTGGGAGGGACCCAATGGGAGGTAATCGAATTACGGGAGTGGGTCTTTCCTGTGCTGTTCTTGTGATAGTGAATACGTCTCATGAGATCTGATGGTTTTATAAACGGGAGTTCCCCTGCACAAGCCCTCTTGTCTGCCGCCACGTAAGACGTGCCTTTGCTTCTCTTTTGCCTTCCGCCATGATTATGAGGCCTCCCCAGCCCTGTGGAACTGTGAGTCCATTAAATCTCTTTCCTTTATAAATTATCCAGTCTTGGGTATGTCTTTATTAGCAGCATGAGAACAGACTAATACACATGTTTTACCTGAAAGCAATCTTTCCTGATTGCAAATTCTTCTCATCACATGGATACACCGTATAATTGAAGTTTATTATGAATGTTTTTGCCTATTTTTTGGAGTAAGATTCTCAGAATGTGTGCTCTTTAGAACTACGGATTTTGTACAATTGTCCAGTGACTTTTCTTTATATCCTGATTCCTAGATTCGAGCCTGCACACTGCAAAAGCAAATACTTGTTGGACCTATTTAATAAAATTAAAGCCACAACAGCAGAACTGGATGCGATTCAGGAAGGATGTCAAGTCTCTGTGGAGAAGCTTCATTCTTGCTATAGTTACAAATACATTCTCAATATATAGTCGGACCTTTCATGAGTCCATGCTTTGTGATGGACACAATGGCAAGCTTTGGGGATGAGAGCGCCCACTTCCCCAACCGCACTTCAGGGTCTCACAGTCAGAGAGACAGTTCCCTTCATAAAGACAGTACATGACTGGCTATTCTTAGATAAAAACCAGCAAAAACATGGGGACAGCCACTAAGCATCCCAGGTTTTCTAGGGCATTTAAAAAACTTTGTCCTAACTTCCCCACGGTGAAAGATATGCCTCTCATTTGAGGCCTGCTAGTTGAGGATGCCCGCTGTAGTGGACACTGTCGGTGCCGGACCCCGCCCCCTTTACCATGCTTCTGTACCCATTCCCCTGTGTGCTGGGATCATCTGCACCTGCCCCCATCTCCAGAAAAGTGGCCAAATGGGAACTGCTTCTCCCAGGAGACTATGACATCTTAACGCCAACAGCCCACCTTGCAGCAGACCTCACCACTGCTTGACTGGCACAGGGGTGCTAAAGGCCACCCTGCTGGCTGTGCAGTGAAGCTGCGCTCCAGGGCTCCCTGTGGAATCAGCCTGAAGCGAGTCTCCAGCCGAGGCTACATCCATGCTCAGCCCCTTCCCTTGCAATCCCTGATTCCTGCAGCCCCTCCCTCAGTAAACAACCTTCACAAGAACCCCATCTCAGGCTCTGCTTCTAGACAGCCCCCACCTCCATCAGTTCAGCTCCTGTCTCCCCTGTCTGTCGGCTGCATCTCATCAATATCACTCCTCTCCCATCTTTTAAAATCTCTCTTAGCTCCAGGTCTCTTAAAAACTTCTGCCCCAACTTTCCTTCTTCTCCATGCAGCCAACTGTGCAAAGAATTGTCTCTCCTCACTGTCCTTGGGCCACTCCCCCCACCAGCGACTCACCTGGCATCTGTCCTCATTACTACCCATACCGTTGTAATCAGTGTCCTCACCACCATCCTCATCAGGAGGAAGAGAAAGAGGAAGAGGAGGACAGATTTTTATTAAGCACTTAATATGTGCCAGACACTGTGCTGACCATGTCCACTTATGACTCATTTAATCACAACTATACAGGAGGCGGAATATAATCATCCCCAGCAGAAAAAGCCAAGTCTCAGGCCAAGAGACTTGCCCATAATCACACAGCTACTAAAGGTGGAGTTGAGCTTCTCCAAAGTATCACCCTCCTCCCTAAGTTATGATGCCTTCCCCAAGACACTTCTCCATCCTCAACTCCTGGGCCTGCTGCCTCCCCTCCCAGCTCCCTTTCCTTTCTCCAGGGCCCAGTGCTTGACTGTCCAACCACCTCTCCAGCCAGTCCTTCCTGCTCTTCTTCAGCCCACCCACTAAACGCTGGTGTTCCTAAGGTTCTGACATTTCCTCCCATCTTACTTTCCTTCCAAGTAAGTCTGTGGCTCCTCCATAGACACCTACAGATAGGGGCATCCCCGTGATGATTCTAAAATTCCCAAGTTTCACCTCAAAACGTGTTTTGCTTAAAGCCAATTTCAGCCTTTAGAAGAAGAAAGTTGAGCTCACAAGAGAGGGACACAGAAGTGGTGAGACCCTGCCCATCCCTCCATGCATTCTAGAACACTCTACCAGCTCACGAGACCCCTACTCCAATCAGAACCCACACCCCGCTGCCCCAACACTTTTAGCAGCTAAGGCCTTTTGTCCTGATCAGCTGCAGCAGATGCAGTGGAGACCCTGCCCCCCGGCCCTCGGCCCACCTCGGGGGTCCCTACAGAGGGTTATTGTGCATGCGGACAGCTTCCCTCGGCACCCTGCCTGAGGGTGTTCTGTGCCCCAAACAGCCTGGAAGTGCTGACCAACTGGGGCCCCAGGAATGACCCTCAGCCAGTGAGGAACAGGAGTTTGTAGATGAAACCTCGACTTCCTCTCCCCTCAGTGGGACGATTCTGACTTGCGTCCTGGAAGACTTGACATCCTTCCCGGATCACATCCACAAGTCTTTCAGAGGGTCCACAGCAGGACCCCGTTCCTGTTGCCCACAGAGGTAACAACCCATGACTTTCTTTCCTTTCAATCTCACTTGCCTTTTTCCCTCCAAGGGCTTCCTGGGTTCACCCCTGAGACAAACTACTTGCACCCAAACCTTTGTGTCAGGGTCTGTTTTCAGGGCTATCTCAAGCTATGCAGCTCTAGTCCCAGCCTCCAGCATGGCCTCCTGAGTCCAGGCACCATGCTGGCCCCTGCAGTGACCCTTCTGGAGCATGAAATGTCGCCTCCCTGCTCTCCATCTCTCAGCAGCTCCCAGGGGCCCACTTAGCAATGGCCTAGCCATGTAAAATGCTCCATGAGGATCTGTACAATCTCTCTCCTCCTGACCTCTCCAGCCCCTTCCCAGAGCTCCCTGGGGACATGTGGGCTTCTCTCTAGACTGGACACCTGCCCTCTGTGTCATCCTCCTTTATGGCTTACCTGAAATGTCACCTCCTCAGAGAAGCCTTCCCTCTCCTGCTCCATCCTCTGGCCTCACCCTCTTTCCAAGCCTCTGGCAGAGCTCTCCACACGTTGCCTCCCGGCATCTGCTCAAGTGCAGAGACACCTGCCTCCCAGCACCAGGCAGAGGGCTGGGCAGGCAGCCGGCACTCATGAGATGTCTGGGAACCAAGTGAAGCCAGCCTCCTGCTTCCCTCTTGGAAACATATGGCCACGCTCCCGAGCCACATCTGCACCCGCCCCAGGAAGGAGGAGACACGGAGGCAGCAGGAACGAGGCGGCTGTGAATGTAATTAGGATCGCAGAGCTTAATAGCTTCGCAGGGCTGCAGGAACACAAGGGCGTTTTTCACAAATTCCCCATTTGCAGTCTCTATGGAGAGCAGCCCCGTGTGCTTAGTGTAACCCCACACAGTGAGGAGAGAACAAGAAAAATCACACCTTCCTCCTTCCCGCCTTCTGCCGATTCACAGAGCTGGCAGCCACCCTGCGTCCTCCGAAGCCTGAATGAGCTGTCATTCAACACAGCCTCACACTCAGCCCAGGAAGGCGGAATTTTTTTTTTTCTTTTTTTCCACAATTAAATTTTTTTATTTTCTTCAGCCTGGAAAGGTGGAATTTTTTTCCCCCACAATTAAATTTTTTTCTTTTCTTTTTATTGACAAGTCATAGTTGTATACATGCATAGGGTCCAATCTGATGTGCTGACAGATGTATACGATGTAGAATCAATCTTCTGATGGCAACAACGGCTATGTTCAATTGTGCTCTTATTTAAGTCCCTGCTTCAGTTTGAGAGGGTTCAGAAACGTCTCCTTAATTCCTGGACTCTGTTGCCCAGGCTGGAGTGCAGTGGTGCAATGACAGCTCACTGCAGCCTCCACCTCCCAGGCTCAGGCGATCCTCCCACCTCAGCCTCCCAAGTAGCTGGGACCACAGGTGGAGCCACGGAACCCGGCTAATTTTTTATATTTTTTGTAGATACAGGGTCTCTCTATGTTGCCCAGGCTGTTCTTGAACTCCTGGGCTCAAGCGATCCACCCTCCTCAGCTCCCCAGAGTGCTGGGATTATAGGTGTGAGCCACGGCACCCAGCACTTCTCGTTAATTTCTGAGCACAATCAGAAATTAAAGCATAGCAAGAGTGACCTTTATTCCAGTTTTCAATAGGTTCCTCATCTCCATTTGAGACCACTGAACTTCATTGTCCATATCATTATCGGCATTTTGGTCAAAACCATTCAACAAGTCTCTAGGAACTTCCAAACTTGCCCACATCTTCCTGCCTTCTTCTGACCCCTCCAAACGGTTCCAACCTCTGCCTGTTACCCAGTTCCAAAGTTGATTCCACATTTTCAGGTATCTTTGTAGCATCGCCCCGTTACTGGTACCAATTTTCTGTATCAGTTCATTCTCATACTGCTATAAAGAACTACCTGACACTGAGTAATTTAAAAGAGTAGCACTTTCCAATAGATCCCAACGTCTTTGTTTTATAGAAAATGATAGCAATAATAATAATGATAATAATATCTAGTATTTCAGTGAGTGAGGGCTCACTACACCCCAGGAACCATGCTAGAAGAGTCACCAACAAATCTTTGATGGAAGCACTCTTATCACCCCCATTTGACAATAAAGACACTGAAACCCAGAGAGTTAAGTGATTTGCCTAAGATCACACAGCCAGAAAGTGGGAAAGCCAGAATTCTGCCTGTCTTCTGAGTCTGAGATGTTTTCCACTGTATCCATACAGATCTTAACAGCTTCAACATGGGGTAACAATGACCCTGCCCTCATGGGGCAGCTGTGAGGATCAAACAAAAAGCTAACTTTGTACAGAGTCAGACACCTAGTGTGTTCAAGACGAAAGTTTTCCTTTCTTCATCCCCTCATTAACTTGCTTAAGGTATGAGCTTGAACTGCACCTCAACTGGGCTAAGAAGAGGTGAGAAATGACTGGGCGCCATGGCTCATGCCTGTAATCCCAACACTTTGGGAGGCCAAGGTGGGTGGATCACCTGAGGTCAGGAGTTCAAGACCAGCCTGACCAACATGGTAAAACCCTGTCGCTACTAAAAATACAAAAATTAGCTGGTCATGGTGGTGGGCTCCTGTAATCCCAGCTACTCGGAGGCTGAGGCAGGAGAATCGCTTGAACCCGGGAGGTAGAGGTTGCAATGAGCTGCGATCGCACCATTGCACTCCAGCCTGGGCGACAGAGCGAGAATCCATCTCAAAAAAGAAAAGAAGAGGTGAGAAACAATAGAAGGTTCTGAAATCTGAGAGGAGAGGGATGCCAGGAGGGAGCCTCCAAGGACACTAAAAATGACAGCACCCAGCCTGGCACAGGAGGGCACTTCACAAATATTCGCTATATTTGTCAGATCCAGGGGTTGGCAAACTCTGTAAAGGGTCAGACAGTAAATATTTTAGGCTTTGTGGGCCAGATGGTCTCTAATCACTACTCAACTCAATTCTGCTGCAGGAGCAGGAAAGCAGCCATAGATGAGAATGCAAATGAAGGGCTGTGGCTGTGTTCCAATAAAACCTTATTTACAAAAATGGGCAGAGGGCCTTTGGCCCAGGGCCACAGACTGGCAATCCTTCTGGTAGTGGAGTGTGGTAAGTAGAAGCGATGGTAGAAATGTTATCCTTTATGTGGCAGGTAGCATTTGCCAGACACTGACCTGTTGACCAGTTACTTCTTACTCAGGCATGCGAGAAAGGGGTGCTTATCATCGACATTTTACAGATGAGGAAACTGAGGCTCAGAATGAGAAGTCACGTGCCCAAGGTCATTTGGCCGTAGGCGGCACAGCTGGATTCACATGAATGTCTGTGTGGCTCCCAGGCCTGTGTCCACAGCCCTACCCCATTGCTGCACCCACTTGCCCAGCACAGCCTCAGTGAACACCTACTCAGTGTGCTCTCACTTGGCCAAGCCCTGTGCTGGCCACAAGCTGAGCTCTTGCTCTAACCTTGCGTTGTAGCCTCTCTCTAAAATCAGTGCAGCTGTGACCCCTGCACGGCCCGACGGCCCCCTCAGGACCACAGGACTCAGTTCTCCAGCTGCCGGGCATATGGGCTTCTGACAGCTCGCAGCTGCAACCCTCTCCAGGAATTGCCTGTGGCTGATGGAGCTGCTTCCCCCATGGTTACAAGCCCTTCCAAGGGGTGGTCTACATTCACTGATGTGGGGGTTCAAAGGCCCAGCCCCGTTGACTCAATTTGGGACATCTCAGAAGGCGCATCCTAGCATTCCAGAGCTCACTGGATTGGCTGAAGCCTCTGTAGCAATGCACGTTGGTTCAAGTTCTCTCTCTGCCCCAGGCTGCTTCCTTTACTTCTCATGGGTGACGTTCCTGAGAGTGCTCCCCTAAAACTTGCTGTGCACAATCTCCATCTCGGAGTCTGTTTCCAGGGAACCTGACAGATGACAGCCACCTGGCTGGCCCATATTACCCCATTACCCAGCACATTCAAGCTCTCTGCATCTCCCTGGCATTGAGCAGGGTCCCAATGCCTGGGCAAGAACCAGCCTCTCCCCACGCATCAGCCACGTCTCCCTCCAGCCCTTCAGCAACCCTTGTTGAGTATGTCCAGTGCTGAGTGCAGATGCTGGGTTAGAGAACACATGGCTGACCAGAACACAGTCCCTCCTTCAAGACGCCTTGTGTGGTGGTCGTGGGGGAACAGGAGTAAGACATGTGCAGCGACCTTCCCACCTAGTCTGCAGAAGGCGGCGGCCACCGAGAGGAAGTGGAGTCTGGCCTGACTCTTGCAGCTGCTCAGGAGTTAGCTGGTGAAGAAGGTGAGGGTGTCCAGGAAGAGGAAACAGCCTGTGCAAAGCCGTGGAGCTGACATGGACCTGGCAGGACCCAAGGTGGCTTCACTGAGGCTTCAGAGGCCAGCAGGGATGGACAGCAAAAGGCCTGAGAGCCAGAGTAGGGGAAGGCTCTCCCAGACCCATGGGGAGCCATCGAAGGGATTTCAGCAGGGGAGGACGTGTTCAGAATTGCCCGATGGAACCACTCTGGCTGCACATGGATGAGGCAGTTGAGAGAGGAGACAAGAGGTCCCAGAGAGGGGGCTGGTACAGTCTATGGCAGTGGCCAAATCTACCAGGTAGGTCCGAGAGGCACTGAGGAAGATTGATATTGACAGGTGATTGAGTGGAATGCGTGGGATGAGTAGTGGCTGAGTCAAGCAAGACTCTTGGGATGAAATGGTGATAAGGGGTGGCTATTGCAATTCTCTGAGGTGGAGACATAGAAGGAGGAGCAGGATTGAGCAGAGTGAAGGTGATGAGCACAGGCAGACATGTGTTAAGTTTTGGGAGCCAACAGGGTGTCTATGGAAGCTAACATGTTCACAGGGTCTGGGAATTAGGATGTAGACATCTTTTGGGGGTATTCTCTTCCAGCCCACCACACTTGGATCAATGATGTGAGAAGTCAAGACAAAGCTCCTGCATGCCAGTCCTGGAAGGAGAAGCAGAGGTCACAAGTCTGGAGTCCAGCCTGGAAGTCTAGACCTGGCAGAGAGGCCTGGATGGTGACAGAGACCCAGAAGTTGGCCACTGTTCTGTCCTCTGACTCTGAGCTTCCTTGAGTCACTGCCTCGAGCCTCTTTCTCACATCCTCTGCAGGCCTCTGTCTTGAGCTGCCCTCATCACAACTCTTTCTGTGGCCATTTCACTTCTCAAGACCTCCCAGAGCTCCATGCTGCTCCTGGTACTCCATTCATTCATTCATTCCATAAACATTCCCTGAGGATTCTTATGTCTGAGACCCTGAGCCAGAAACACCCCATCGCAGGAGTGCACATTCTGGTGGGGGAGGCAGAAATGACCCCACAATTTTAAACAGTGCAGCAACCCAGGTGTGCCTGGGGTCCTGTGGGGTGCCAGAGAAGGAGCCCCTCCAATACCTGGACAGCCAGGAAGCCTTTCCACAGGAAAAAAAAAAACTGAACTGACTCTTGAAGTCTGCAGAAGATAAGGAGGGTGCAGAGGGTGTACCAGGAGCAAGAACGGCACATGCAAAGGCACTGAGGCATGGGCCAGTGCGATGAGCTCTGCAAGCTGCCTGGAGCCTGGCAGGGCTGGAGTGATGGGTAGGGTGGCAGATAAGGATAAAGGGGTATCCAGAGGCTGGGACTTGTTGGAGGGTAAGCATGCTTGCAGATGCTAAGTGGATGGCCACAGGCAACAGGTCTGGGCACTGATAACTGACAAGAAGCCCTATGATCTGCAGCATATCTGCCTCCCCAGTGAAAGTCGACACGTCTCAGTCCTCTGAGAAGGCAGCAGAGACTCTGTGTATTAGTTTCCTGTTGCTACTGTAATAAATTACCACAAACTTAATAAAAATTCCTTCCGTTGCAGGAGCAAGAACAGCACATGCACCTCCTGGAAGTCAGAAGTCCAAAATGAGTCTCACTGAACTAAAGTGAAGGTGTTGGCAGGGCTCGTTCTCTTTGGAGGCTCCAGGGGAGAAGCATTTCCATAATTTTTTTTTTTTTTTTGGATGAACCGTATCCTCATGCCTTGGCTTGTGGCCCCACATCACATGACCTTTTTGCTCTCTGCTTCTGTGGTTTCATCAGCAGTGGTTCTGTCTGTTGGGCCCTCCCATCTCCCTCTTGTAAGTACTTCTGAAATTACATCATTGAGCTCACACAAATAAACCAGAGCCATATGCCCATCACAAGATCTTTACCTTCATCACATCTGCAAAGCCCCTTTTGATATATAAGGTAACACAGTTACAGGCCCCAGGGATCAGGACATGGGCATCTGGTGGGGCATGATTCAGTTTACTGCAGCCCAGAATCAATGATGTGGGAAGTCACAACTAAAGCTCCCCCATGCGAGTCTTCCCAGGGGCACACTGCTCTCTGAGATGTCCTGGGGCTTCAAGTGTCAAATAATTGAAAACTATCTCCTTTTTGGAAAAAAAAAATCTAGCACAAAAGAGAGGAAAAGAGAACCAATAGGAAGCCTCCCCCGTGCCTGCCTCTGGCCCCGAAGCCTCGTCAGTACGTATTGCTAATACACTTTCATGCTTGGTGGGAGATCCTTTGCACGCTGACAAATTTCTCCTGAAATGTAGATGTCTTGTTCAGAATAATAGCTGTAGCGCACAGGTGCCCAGCTGCTATTGTAAAATCAGTAAGCATTTAATTGAAACAAACGACTATAATAATAGCATATTATCCCTGCAGGCCAAGTGCCATCACAGTTTTAATTATTGAGTTAAGAGTCAGACTAATTTATCCTTTAAGGCAACAGCCCCATTCCTGGTGATACTGATCATCGTGTTATGAATATGAAGCCGCCGGCAGAGAAGCAGAGAAATGAAAAGCAATTTGTCCCCTTTGGGGGCTGGTTTTGTCTTAGAAGAAAGGTTTGCAAATACGGGTCACCAAGCCCCTGGGTCTGGGATTGCTCAGCTGGGGGTGTGAGGTTTCTGTTCAGGTTGGGATGGGGCTGTGGGGAGTCCCCGTGCTCCCCACCTCTGCAATACAGACCCTCTCTCCTCTGCTCAGAGCCAGCTCCAGCTCCCTACTATATCTCAAGTAAAAGCCAAAGTCCTTACTGAGCCACAAGCCCCTATAACAACTCAACCACCACCACCACCACCTGGCACCTCTCTGGCCTCCCCAACTCCAGTCCCCTCCATCACCCCTCTCCATCACATCCACCCCCACTTGCTCTTCCTTCAGCACTCGAGCAGCCTCCCACCACAGGGCTCTCTTCTAGCTCAGTGCATTTTTGTCCCCAGGAGATATCTGGCATTATGTGCAGACATTTTTGTTGTTACAACCGCGGGGACGCTCCTGGCATCTGGTGGGTAGAGGCCAGAGAAGCTGGCCAACATCCTGCAATGCACAGGGCAGCCCCGCAATGAAGAACAATCCAGTCCAAAATGTCAGTAGTGCTGAGCTGGAAAACCATGGGAGGTGAGCTACTGCCTCTGCATGGAATGTTCTTCCCCCACCCAGCAGGGGATACTCACCCTGCTCCCTCCCTCACCTACTGCAAGACTTCCTTCAAACCACAGTTTTATCAGAAGGCCTTCCCCGACCATCCTACCCAATACTGCAACCCGCTCCCCTGCCCCTCACACCGGGCCAGCATTCCCCATCCCATTATGCTTCTGTTCTTTCTTCCAAAGTACTTAACACCTGCTAACATACTGCATGACTTATTTAGTAGATTATTGTTTATTATCTCGCTCCCCCTGCTAGGATGTAAATTGCACATGGGCAAAGATCTTTGTTTTGTTCACTGATGTGTTGCTGGTATCTAGACCAGCGCCTGCTGGTATCTAGACCGCGACACCTAGCAGGGGGTTCAGTGAATGTTGAATGAGTTATCCACCAACCTCCCCCTCCCTTCACCCTCCACTTCTGCTGGGCCCTCAAAAGCACATGCCACCTCCTCCTGGTCTCCCAAATCCACCCCTTCTTGCCAAGGTTCAGAGCCCACTTCATTTTCCTGGCCTATGGTAAGTCTCTTAATGGGCAGCTTAGGCATTTCTCCAGCAAGTGCTTTTGGGTAACTCCCACAGGCCACATGGTGTATTCTCGGTTGGTTCTTTGAGGGCAGAAACAGTGGCCTGTGAACTGTCACAGCCTCAGGACCTAAACGGTGGCGGTCAATGAGCCACAGGACCTGAGACACAAAGAATGCAGGCACAGACCTTGCCACGCAGAAGGGGCCACCAAGTCCAGCGGGACAAACAGATGGAATGAGCTAATCGCACCAATATAGCACAACCCATGCTACTAATGCGCTCACCCACTTGACAAATGCAGCGTGCTCCTGTGACACAAGTATCTCACCCCTTCCAGTGAACGGGGAAAGTGGCATTGCAGAGGAGTCCTGCTCAGTCATACAGGCTTATTCCAGCGCAGTACTATTTTATGCTACCAAGGAACAGCGGCTGAACACAGAGGGCGCTAACAGAGCAGGACTCAGCAAACAGTGGAGGAAGCAGCGCTGCTTCCAATGCCCATTCGCCCACCTTCCCCCACCTGCCCTTGTGTACCACTTGGCCCACCTTCATACCACTTGGCCACCTGCTCTGGTGTAAAGGCGCCAACTGCTTGCTTCTCCATCTTTGTGCATTTTGCCCTTGTCTCCATAACTCAGCAGTGAACCTCACACCCACTTCCATCAAAATGTCTCCCCACCCTTCCTCAAAACCCCTTCCATCAAAATGCCTCCCCAGTTGTTACTGAGGGTTTTTAAGGAAGAATTTAACAAATGCTTTTTAATTGTGCAGATATATACATTAGGAATGTAATGGTTTTCTCTTAGTGCTCTGGTTACAAAGTTGCATAGACCTTGAGTAGTTTGTCCCAGCTCTATTTTTCCCATAAACTCTTGTTCTTAGGATTTTTCAGGTTTTTCAGGAAGGCATGTGTCACTTTATAGCAGGCACATCTGTATTTATTAACTATCTGCTATATGCCAGGCCCTGTGCTGAGCACTGGGACTCCCCTGCCCTGTGGAGCTCATCTACACCCAAATCAATACACAGTCACAGTGGTGGTGAGGGCCGAGAGGGAAGCCAAAGGCCAAGTGAGGCTGTAAGATCAGCGGTCAAGGGCACACTGGGCATCAGGAAAGGCCCTGATTTGGCAGGAGTGAAGGATAGTGGGAGGGGTGAGGAGGGTTGGGGAAGGAGGAGCTTAGAGTCACAGGCAGGGGCCAGGCTGGGTGGGCCTTGAATGCCAGGGGAAGACATTGGACTTTATCCTGAGGGTCATTGGAAACCCATAAGAGTTTTAGGCAGAGCAGTGACTTGTATTTCAGAAAGGCCAGCTTGGCTGCTAAGAGTAGGTGGCAACTTCCAGCTGAGAGGTGATATAGCCACCATCTGAGACTCAGATAGATGGAAAGCAAGAGATGGAGGGAGAGACTTAGGATTGGGGACTGGTTCTGGCAGATTAAGACTCATACCAGATTACTGATGAAATTCATGGGCTGCTTACATAGGAGAAGAGACACATCCAGCCAGGTAGGGGAGAGTGGCCAGCTGTAGACAGCTGAACTTGGGGATGACATCCAAGTGGGGGTTTCCAGGTGGGGGCCGATTGCATGGTCTGGTGCTTAGGAGAGGGGATAGAGCAGTGGAAATGGCCTGGACTCCCTTGTGGTACCCAGCCATGAGCGTGGAGCATCGGGAGAGTCCTATAAAGGAGGGTGCAAAAGGGTGGCCTGAGGGGTGGAGGACACCAGGAGCCTGGTCTAATACAGTCAAAGTCAAGGATGATAAAGACAGCAGGTGCCCAATGGGTTTGGCAACGTGAAGGCCATCAGTGCCCCTAACCAGAGGAGTTTTATAGTCACAGGGAGGCAGAGGTCAAGGCAAATGGGAGGGGAGGAAATATAGACAGCCAGAGTCAATGACCCCCTTTTGGAAGCTCTGCTGGGACCACGAGGGGAGAGAGGAGACAGTAAGCAGGTGTCACAGGACAACTTTCTATTTAGATGCTGAGCAGAAAGTGCGATTGTGGAGGGCAGGTGTTCCCATCACAGCAATTCCCCATGGGGATCCTAACTGCAGAAGCGGGTGACTGGAACATGGGTTTGCCACTCACAGGCCATGTTCTCATTTTGGGGGTCAAGTGGTTCTTTTAACAACCCTGTGAGGTCGCTGCTGCTGTTTCCACCTTACAGTTGAGCAAACGGAGCCTCCAAGAGGTGAGGTTCATGGCTCCCTGTCTGCAGCGCACACAGAGCAGGATCAGGATCCAAACCCAGGTCTGTCTGACCCCAAAGTTTGAGCTCTTTTCACTATTGAGGGCAGAGGGGCATGGTGCAGGCTGGGCTGGCCTCACCACATCCTCTTACCCACGGTTACAGAGTGCCTGAAAGGGTATGGTGCTTGTTATCACCAAGCAGGTCAGCACAGCAATATCCGTCTTGTTTTGACTAATCTTTGTGACTTATCTTTCTGTATCTTTGTGAAGAATTGAGAGGGAACCACTGGTCAAAAACAATGACAAACCACAGAACTGCTGTGATGGAAGCGGAGCTGGAGGGCGAGGCTTGCTGTTCAGCATCAGCGCGGTGGCGACCCTGAGTGTCAGGGGGCTGCCAGGACTCCAGGGTTCACTGTGGCCAAGGAAGGGACGAAGCTTGGGGAGCCAGGAGGGGCAGATCACAAGGGGATGAGGACTTGGTCTGGCAGTCACTGGGGGTCCAGAGTGGTGTGTGAGTGGGGGATGGCCCAGCAGGTTCCCCTGTGCTCAGGGCAAGAGGCTAAAGGCAGGGTCAAGAGGCACATGGGGCAGATGTCATGGACAGGAGAGAGCTGAGGAGGCAGAACTGGCTGCCCTTGGTCACAGCAGGTGGATAACTAAAAATGACCTGTCCAAGCTGTGAATCCTCCAAATTCCTGAATTTGATCTTCAGTTTCTATTTCAAAAGGGGTCTGAGAGCCCTGCCCACAGCACCAGGACTGGGAGGGGGCATCAGAGAATCTGGCAGGGAACCTTTCCTCCCCCATCTGAGTGCCAGGGAGGGCACATCTTACTCCTTTGCGTCTTTGTCTGTCTGTATCACTGGAATGTAAGCTCCAGGAATCAGGGATTGTCATCAGTTTTGTTCACTGCTCAGGGCTTGGAAGAGTGCCTGGTACATAGTAGGGGCTTAATAAAAGTGTGAGGGCTGAATGAGTGCGTGAGTGATCCTGATGGAATGAAGCAGAGAAACTCCAATGTCTTGCTCAAGGTTTGCAGCTCTAAGCGCTGCAGCGAGGGTTTGGGAGCAGAAAAGTAGGTTATTTTCTCCTCCAGCAATGAGCTCCCCATAGACAGATGCCCCTCTCCCAGAACCAGTCCAGCCCCACCCTAGGCTGCTGCTGGGGGCTCTACTAGACCCCCTCACCCCCCTGCCCAGCCACAGCACCCCCTCTGGGAATGGGGCAGCCCCTTCCACCTGGGACCAGTTGGCCTCCTTCACCCCTACTCACTTTTGGACTCAGTTCAAATGCCCTTGCCTTCAGGAGGCCTTCCCTGGCTCCCCACCTAAATCAGGATCCCTGCTGATTCTCTCTCCTGACACCCTGTTATTTTTTCCATTGAACTTGTCACAGCTGTTAGTCGTACCTTCGGCTGAGTGTGTACATGGCTCTGGTTGTGTGCTCCATTTATGAAAGAGGGAACCGTGGCTGGTGCTTTGCTCTGAGCCGTTTCCCCAGTGCCCAGCCCGAGGTCTGGCACCTGTCAGGCACTCAGCACATGTTGAGGAATGAGCCAGGTGGGCTGGGAGCTCTAGGCCCCAGACTGGCAGCCTCCATGATCCCCTAAGTGGGACCTCCCTCCTACATCCTCCACCTCGAAGCATTTGAGGCACGCCATGGTCGGGCCCCTGCTTTCTCCAAGCCTCTGCTTGTCCTGCTCCCCACTGGCCCCCGACACACAGAACATTCCTGCCTCCTCATCTTTGCCTGTGCACTTCCTTCTGCCAGTGATGCCTCACCCATCCCCAAGCACCTAGGCACTGGCTGAAGTCAACTGGTGTCTGGGACCTATTTGAGCTCGACCAGCCACTTCATCTCTCTGGGCCTCCTCAATTAAGGATCTCCAAATGGGGCAGAGATGGAATCAGATCTGCATCCAGTAAGTTCCCACTGGCTGCCCCCATGGGGATGAACTGGAGCAGGAGACACAGAAGCAGGGAGACCAGGTCAGAGGCTTCTGCAGCTGCACAGGCTATGGCGGAGAGGCCTAAGCTGGGATGGGGCAGTGGAGGCGGGACAGACTCAAGGCAGGAAGCCTGGTGGTGGGTTCCGGGTGGGCTCAGCATGGCTCAGGGATCCCAGGCAGGTGGTGGGACCTCCGCATGACGGGGAAACATAAGAAGGAGGGGAGGGTGACCCACCCCCTCCCCTGAACGCTGAACATTCTCCATTCTGAATTGGCACATGTGCTAATTAAAACCATCTTTCCAAAGAATTTATTATAGGCTATTCTGAGCTAATTATAAATTCTCTGAAGCTGATCCTGAGCAGTTTGCTAATGCAGTGTTGAAATCTCTTTGGCCACCCTCATTTAAATTATTCATCAGGCCCTGCAACAGTTGTGAACTGTAATTTAAACAGTCAGCTCATGAATATTCAGTTAACACAACAAACACTGCCGTGTTTTACTGCCTCGCCGCTCAATATTTTGTATCCTCACCCGTGTTTACATGTTTTTATGAACTCTCGAGAAAAGTGTTGCCTGTGTTGAAGTGGCTGGTTAAGCCGAGACTGAAATGCCCAAGGTGGGGAGGAGGCGGCAGGAAAAGCTTCCCAGATCCTTTCCCAGGAGAGTTGTGGGTGCTCAGGGATGGGGCTCAGTGGCCTCACCCCACAGAAGAAGGAAGGAGGCCCAGAGAGGGTCAGAACCAGCCCTGAGGTCACACAGTGGACCTGAGGCACAGAAGGACTTGGAGTTCTGGGGTGGTTCCTACCGCCTAATTTACCACAATTTAATTGATGAAGGGGGTGTGGGGAGGTCTGGCCTGAGACAGTGTCAGGGAGGCAGAAGAAGCCACACATTTCCTGCTCTCCAGCACCCCCTTTTTAGGTTTATTACGGTTTATTTTATTTTTGAGGTAAAACAAATTCCTAGGGTTTTTTTAATCCATAATTTAAGAGGAATGCCCACTATTAATATCAAGGAGTAATTTTTAGTTCAAAATATGCTGTTTATCTTCTTTTTCCCCCTCTTCCCACCCTTTCTCCCTGAGTCCCCAAAGTCCATTGAGTCATTCTTATGTCTTTGCATCCTCATAGCTTAGCTCCCACTTATGAGTGAGAATATACGATGTTTGGTTTTCCATTCCTGAGTTACTTCACTTAGAATAATAGTCTCCAATCACACCCAGGTTGCTGCAAATGCCATTAATTCATTCCTTTTTATGGCTGAGTAGTATTCCATTGTGTGTGTGTGTGTCTATATATATATATATATATATCACAGTTTCTTTATCCACTCGATCGATGGGCATTTGGGTTGGTTCCACATTTTGCAATTGTGAATTGTGCTGCTATAATCACGCGGAAAGAAGTCATTATCCCCAGCCCCTTTTGGGCAATGGCCAAATGTTGACCAATCAGGTACAGCCGTTCAAGGCAACAGGCCATCTTAGAATCCAAGCTGGCTTAAAGATCAGAGTTCCCCCTACCCAGGACTCCATGGCCACGTCAGAGGACTATGTGTCCCCACCCCACCCCGCCAGGAGCTTTAGGGCCTCTCAACCTGTAAACAGTTTGGAAGGCTCCACAAATGGCTCCTCATTTATCCTCACATCCCTCCTCTGAGGCAGGCGCTATGATGGTTACCATTTTTTACAGATGAGAAAGCTGAGGCTGAAAGGGTGAAGAAGATTGCCCAGGATAGAGCTGGGGCTTGAGCTGGAATCTTCCAGCCCCAAGGTCCCTGCTCTCCTGATGGCATCAAATTACTCCTCCACTGAGGATCTGGGTTCTTTCTGAGAGTGGGGGAAGCTGTAACTCATTCCTCCCAAGGATCCAGACATGTGGTGGGAGGGGAGAAAATAACATTTTTCACACATAGGATTAGTTCAGATTTTTAAAAAGTTCTACAAAATTCAGTGCTGACATGAGGGGGAGAACTCTGATATCTCTGGCACCATGAGTGGGGGTGCAGCTGATGCAGAAGTTCTTGGCCCCTTCCTGGGCCCCCTTCACTGGAGCAGCAACCTGTCCCCCAGCTGCTGGGAACATCGGTTGGTGAAGGCTCTCAGCTGCCCCCTTCTTCAGAGGACACCACTTGCCAACAGGTACTGCAGCCCCAGGAGGTCACTCCATCCCCCAATCTCTGGCCAACGACGAATGGACATGGGGGTGCAAAGGCTACCCCTTTACCCTATGATGGGATCAACTGTGTGGTGCAATTTATGCTCCAGAACACCCCTGGGGGCAGGCAGAGGCTCGACGCATCCAAGGGAAACTTCTCTGTCTGCCTTAACATCTCTCCCTCCCTCTCCTGAGATCCCACCCTCAAAATATAATAATAATAAAATTTTTTAAAAAATCCTTTTCACCACTCCCAAAGAACCCATCCCAAGAGAGTTTATAATAGAAAAGATCAGAAATAGCCTAAATGTCCATCAACAGAAGGTTAAGTACATGATGAAACACCCATATGATGGAATGTTATCTAGCCACTAAAAGGAAGAGCAAGACCTGTAATTATGCACGTGGAAGTATACACATGATACACTGTTGCAGAAAATTGGCAGGTCCTAGAACTGCTCCAATAGAACACACTGGAAAGTACAGGAAAAGGCATCACATTCGGGTCCCATGTATGTAAATTTTGTACATATTTTTATATATTGTGTATATTATCTTTGTATATTGTATATCTTTGTATATTGTATATATTATTGTATATATTATCTTTGTGTATAATGCACAAAGATAAGACTGAAAAGATACTTAGTAAATGGTTGGGTTAATAATGATTATTTGTGGATGGTGCAGTTTTAACAATTTTTACTTCTTTGTATTTGTTGGTTTAATTTTTTTTTCACAGTGAACATGTGCCATTTTTTAAAAATCAAATCCACAAAGCTATGCTTTGGGAAGAAAGTAAAAGATGTAAGAAGACTTCATTTCAAAATTTATAGATGCAGCCAAAGCCATACTAAGAAAAAATGTACAGCCATAAACTTTTTATTATTAAACAATAAACAATAAAAGTAAATGAACTAAAGAATTCAAAATAAAAAATGTAAACATCTACAAAAAGAAAGAAGGGATTCATAAAGAGGGAAAACATTAAGAGAAAGAAAAGTAAGAGAATTGGAACACAACTCTGATGCTTAGTCCTCTGAATAAAATGAATAAAACAATGTAGATAAAGCAATAAGATGGATAAACCCTGGGTAAAGGTGAACAGAAAAGAGAGGGAGAAACCACCAATATATGACTTTAGCATTATGAATCAGGGTGTAATTATAGATACGAAGACCATAAAAGAGATAAGGTAATACTATATACAACTCCATGGTAATAACCGTATAGAGCTCAATGTAATAATCATCTTAGGAAGATGGTATAACCTCAATACAGAAGTATGAGATCTCAGTGTAGTAGATTACTCAGGAGAACTCAGTGTAATAGTCATCTTATAAAGATAGTGGAACCTCAATACAGAAGTATGATAAAGCTATCTTATAAAAAGCCACCACCGGATCAGAGAGGGGACGGGCTAAGGGAGAGGGGATGTGGCTGAGGAAGGAGGGAAGGGGGTGAGTGCTGGTGGCAGCCCCAAGACCAGAGGCAGCAATGAGGTTGTCATTTGTTAAGTTTCCCTGCAGAAGTGAGGGCCCACGGGACGTGGAGGTGCTGCTCACTGTCCTGCATGAGAAGCAGAGCTGTGTGGCAAAAGGGATGGACTGTGCTGGCCACCAAAATGTGGGACTCAGACCTTCTGTGCCAGGTGGCACTGATGCTGAGAGCACCAGCTGCAGCTCCTCGGCTCCCTGAGCATGCGCCTCCCAGGCCACGCTGGCCTGTGGTCACGCCCAGTCAGTGTCTGAACACATTGGTGCTTAAGGCAGGTCCATTTGGGGAAGGTGTGCAGCTCTTCTGATGGGCAGCTTTGGTTTGAGGACTCCCCATTGGCCTGGCCAATCTTTCTTAAAACTGATGCAGTCCAAGATGCTTCCTGTCCAGTCCTTGCTACCCAGATCTTCCTATCCAGTCAGTCCTTCTTTCCCTCCTTTTTTTTTTTTTTTTTTTCTGAGATAAAGTCTAGCTCTGTCACCCAGACTGGAATGCAGTGGTGCGATCTTGGCTCATTGCAAACTCTGCCTCCCAAGTTCAAGTAATTCTCCTGCCTCAGCCTCCCAAGTAGCTGGGATTACAGGTGTTCACCACCACATCCAGCTAAATTTTTGTTGTTTTAGTAGAGGCAGGGTTTCACCATGTTGGCCAGGCTGGCCTTGAACTCCTGACCTCAGGTGATCTGCTCGCCTCGGCCTCCCAAAGTGCTGGGATCCCTTCCTTCCTTCCCTTCTGTCCCTTCCTTCCTCTATCTTTCCCTCCTACCTCACTTCCTTCCTTCTTTCTTCCCTTTCCTCCCTCCTTCCCATCCTTTTTCCCTCTGGTTTCAGACCTATATCATGGTCTGAAGCTTCCCCCCTCCTCTGGCCTTCTCTTCCTCCCCCCACCTCCCTTTCCCTCTCTCTCTCCTCTTACATATCTAATCCCGTCTGGTGCCTGTTTCTTGGTAGACTCCAACTAATGTACAACTAGAATCTGTCTCTGGGAGAAAAATTGTACCTGTTTGATAGAAACACACTGAGGACCTGCTTGGGGTGGAGGGTGGATCCCAAGGACACCCCACTCAGGGGTCACTAAGCTAATTTCTAACGAAGGCAGGTCCTGCCCATGGAGGAGCTTTGGTTTCATGGGCACAGAGGTAAGTATAGGGGAGATGCCAGGGCTGAGGGGCTCACAGTGTGACAGACAGAACCGAGAGAAGAACCAGGCATGGAACATGCCACAGGGCAGGGATACACTCACAGGCTCACAGTGACTGTGGCCACAATAAGGCATGGAACTGCAAAAATGAGTAAACTGTTTGTGCCAGGTACCCCTGTGAGACCATGTGGGTATCCACTGTCAGTTCACCAATGCTTGGGAAGGTGGACTTCCTGGGGGAACCAGAAAGGATACAGAGCCCTCTATGTGGTTGGCAGGGAAGAAAAAGAGACAGCTCACACGTAAAGTGCTTAGAGACAAATAATAGCATTGCCATGGCTCCCATGCTGAGTACTTTATAATCATGACAGCATCTGATTTTCAAAGCAACCCACAAGGTAAGAATGAATAATACATCTATTTTACACACACAAAAAAAAACACTAAAGTTCAGAGGGCCTGGGTAACTTCCTCAACACGCATGTAGCTGGAGAAACTCAAAATCCAGTTCTCTCCAAGTCCAAGGCCAGTGACATTAATTCTGGCAATGTGCTGACCCCCCTCTCAGCAGGGCCATGGGCACAGAGAAGACAAGGAGAGTCCCGGTTAAGGGGCTGTTCCCGAAGGACAGTTTTGTCTCCAGCGTCATCGGCCGGCCATTGCTCACTTGTGCTGTGGACGCATGTGTGGGTGACGGGCCTTCCGCCACGTGCTAAGGGCAAAGTGAGCCTGCTCCCTACCACATCTGGAATTCATTTTGCAGTGGGTTATGGGAAGGTACAGTTCTGGTTTAGTGTGATCAAAGTCAGTTAGGCTGGGTGTGGTGGCTCACACCTATAATCCCAACACTTTGGGAGGCCAAAGTGGGAGGATCACTTGAGGCCAGGAGTACAAGACAAGCCTGGGCAACACAGGGAAACCCCATCTCTTAAAAAAAAAAAAAAATCAAAAATTAGCCAGACATGGTGGTGTGTGTCTGTGATCCCAGCTACTCAGGAGGCTGAGGCAGGAGGATTGCTTGAATCAGGAAGGTAGAGGCTGCAGGGAGCCATGATTGCACCGCTGCACTCCAGCCTGGGCAACAGAGCAAGACTCTTTCTCAAAAAAAAGTCGACCTAGTGGAAGCATGCAGGGCACAGCCAATGTACTGGCTAGAGTTAATCTGCTTCTCAGAGGAGGGATACAGAAGCAGAAGGTAAGAAGGTGTCAAGTTCACAAGGCAGACAAAAAGGGAGTGGTTGGGGGTCTTGTGTGCACAGGGACAGGGGCCTCAGGTCTGGGGCTCCCAAAGGAGAAGAGGAGTCCTGTGGGATGGGGTAGCGACCATCTCAGGCTGATCCTTCAGTCTTAGAATCTCGGCTTACGGCCCCATAATTTGCTGTTACCCTGTGCTTCTGACGAAGGTCCAGTTCTCCCGGGCCAGTTGCTACCAGTGCTGCAAATGTCTGAGTCTGTCTACCTGCTCACACTCTGTCCTCCTATGATCTCAAAGAATGGGCTTTGCTGATCCATCCCTTCCCCGGCATATGCACACCCCTCTCCCCCATAAGCAGTGGGAGGAATTTTGCGTTCTGGTCACAAGACGTCCCTGATACCTCCCCTGTCCTAGGCCCCCTTTCTTTTCCCTGTTGCATTTTGTTCCTGGTTCTTCTTAGGCCCTTGGTGCACAATTGCCCATGAAGCACCCCAGGATGAGGCGTCGTGCGATTCAGGAAAACCTAGAGTCTTTCTGATCACAGGCTGGGACTGTCATCATGCCAGAGGGTCCGCTTCAAGGCCTGTCCCAATGGGAGGTGCACAGGGTAGGAAAGAACCAGGAACCACAGGCAGAGGTGTCGGTCCTCGAGTTCCTCTGGGGGGAAAAAGTCTGCAACCATCCTCAGTGTGATGAAATCCTCAAGGCAAACAGAAACACAAGTGCATCCTATGTGTCCTAAAACAACTGAGAATTCAGGGCTCAACTGAGGATGACCACAGCCTAGTGTTCTGGGCTGGCATTAGAAGCCCCTGGAGGCGTGGTTAGGCATGGGCTGCTGGGCCCAGCCGAGTCTCCCAGTCACCAGGTCTAGGGAGGGGCCTGAGAATCTGCATCTCTAACAGGTCCCCAGGCAATGCTGCTGCTGCTGGCCTTAGGATCACGTTTCCAGAAGCAGCTCAGCAGTAGTCTGTCTTGCTGGATCCCCTGCTGGGAGTGTGGCTGCCAAAGGCACACACCTGCCCCTTTCTCGAGAACTGCCCTTGGCCAAGAGGGGCCATCTTTTTATTTTTATTTTTATTTTTAATTTTACTTTAAGTTCCGGGTTATATGTGCAGAACGTGCAGGTTTGTTACATAGGTATACATGTGCCATGGTGGTTTGCTGCACCTATCAACCTGTCATCTAGGTTTTGAGCCCCGCATGCATTAGGTATTTGTCCTAATGCTCTCCCTCCCTTGGGGGGCCGTCTTACGTAGGAAGTTATGCAGGAGCTCCACCTACTTCTGGCCTGTGACCCATGACTGATTCACAGTTCACACTGGGGAACAAATGCCAGCAACTCCGTGGCCTAATCCACGCTGCAGTGCTGCCTGTGGGACCAGGCAGACCTCCCTCTAGCGCGGCTCCAGATAGCATCTCTAATGTCTCATTTACTCTTCACAACAACCCTGGGAGGAAACTGTGGCACAGAGAGGTTAAACAGCTTGGCTGAGGTCGCACAGCTGGTTACATGTGCAGCTGATGCTGCCTGACCTTGGAGCCCTACCTCCTAATCCCGGGGCTCTCCTGAGCCGGCTGTGATCCACACCCTCCAGAGACTTGAATCTCTTGAGGAGCTCATTCATGAAATGCTTTAGAAGCCCCCTCTCCCTTGATCCTTTCCACAACTCCCTGGGGTGATTTAGGTTTTGTCCATTCAACAGGTGAAGAAAGTGAGGCCGGAAGGAAAGTGACTTGTCTCCCACAATCTCTTAGTGGTGGCAGAGACAGGAAGTTAAACCCAGGCTTCCTGACTCGCGGTCTTGTTATCAGTTTCCGGGATGACAGGAAGAACTAACCATGCTTAGTTAGTTAGTTAGAGATTCCTCAGGGCTCCAGCATCCCAGTCCCACAGCTCTGCCCAACACACACACCCTATGACAGGTTCTGACTACTCACCTGATATTCCTTCCCTTTTTCCTTGCTACCAGGAGTTTGGAGACAGAGCCATTAAACCAACACTTTTGCCCTCCTAACCCTGTCTCAGCTGAGAGCTTTGACCAACACCCACACTCGATAGGGAGACAGGGGCAAGGGTCCCACCTTTGCCCACCATCCCAGCTCAGAGGCCTGGGCCAAGGATAGGGTGAGGGATGTTTTTGTGTTGAGGACATAAAGCACTTGGGGTCAAAAGAATCAGGGTCCCATCCTGTCTTCACCACTTCCTAGCTGTGTGTCTTTGGACAAGCCACCTTCCCTTTAGGTCTTGGGAACACATCTGTAAATGAGCAGAATTCTATCTCCCTTAAAGTCAACAGGAGGGTTAGAAGATATGAAGCAGACTGCTGTGTAAGACAGAAGATGCTATAGGGTCCCCATGTAACTTAGTCTCCAAAAATGATGTTTGAGGTGTTTACAGAGGCATTTATTTTTCATTCATTCATTCATTCATTCATTTTTCAGTCAGTCAGTCAGTCAGTCAGTCAGTCAACAAACCTTTTTCAGACACCTGCTACATGCCACACATGAAGCAAAGCATCAGAAATATTCATTGGCACGTTTGATTCCCACACTCTGTGGAGTAGACAGCATCAGCTCCATCTTACTTGAGGCTCTGAGAGAGACAGTAATTCACCCAAGGTCACCCACTGGGGTAGAACAGGCACCCAGGACCCCAGACTCCCAGTTAAGTGCTACTGCTTGGGCAAGCAGCTGCCACCACCATAGCCCGGGCCCCAGCCCAACACAGCTGCTGAGCTTAAATCTCTGATGGGGCGCGCTTGTCCTGGAAACGCTCCCAGCCTCCAGTCTTCCATAGTCCCCCGACACTCTCTCCTGGAGCTTTAATATTTAGATGAGCTGTATTTGTCTTGCTGCCTTTTATAAAGGCTCCGAGTTCTAAATGGACAAAGCCACAAGATGAGAGAAAGAGAGCTCATGAGACTGACTTTTTATTATCCAGGCAGAGCAGGGGGAAAATGACTCCAATAAATCTCAAGTTTTATGTGCTCCAGACATTCTGCGGAGCCAAAGATGGCTTCTCAGCAATGCCGACGGTACATTAAAAGCTCATTTTCCCAAACATGGTCCTGAATATGCACTCGGAGGAAAGAGCCATTACACCCAGTAATATCGAGGCTGCAGCTGACGAATGTCGCTGCGATTTTCCCTTAATTCTCCCTCATGACTCAGGAGCAGCTCTCAGAGTTCATACCCTGTTAGGCTTGGCATGCTGCCTGGAGTGGAAGTTAAACACCTGGCCCTTGCACTCAGCCTCGAGTGCTCTGATTAGGAGCCCAGCAGGGGATGGAAAGGGTGGGTACCAGAGGGCAGCTGAGCAACCATAAAACATCACAAATTGTTTTATGAATTTCAGCGGAAGGGGTGGTGATCAGGTCTGAACAGGGAGGTCCATGCACATATGAAATTTCTTCCTCTCAGGCTTTCCCACTGTCCTCTGGCCCCCAAGGCTACCCCCTCCAGGAAGCCTTCGGTGCCGGGACAGTCCCCTGAGCTCAGCACTTCTTCCATTTCTTGTTCCAAGCTGCAAGTGCCTCACACTTCATGTTGAGATTATTTATGAATATGAATAGCTCAACTCAGAGCTGGGCAGATAAAGTGGGTCTCCATCTTGTCCCGCTCACTGCCTTGCTCATTCACTCATTCATTTTGGAAGGCTACATGGGCTAGATATGGAGAGCCCAGGCTGGGGAGTCGGGCTGCCTGGGTTCAATTCCTGGCACCATCATTTTGATAACTGTGTAGCCAAGTCATTTACCCCTCTGTGCCTCTGTTTTCTCATCTGTAAAATGGCAACAATAACAGTACCTCCTTCTCAGGGTCAAGGATTAAGTGAGATTATAAATAGAAAGGGTTTAAGTAGGTGCCAGTTCCATAGTAACTGCTAAATAAATGTTACATGACAGTTATAAATAATTCACCCATTCCTTTAGGAAAAGTTCACTGAGAGGATACAAGGTCAAATAAGGTGTGGTTCTTGACCTCCAAAGGCCAAGGTGAAGCATCTGGCCCCATGGGCATGAGCAGTGCTGCAAGGGGCTGGCCATCGTGATGTTCTTGGGGATGCTCCACATGTCACTGAGCTGCCCACGTCAGCTCTCGCCTGGCACAGAGGTGGTGAAGCCGAAATAACAGCCCCAGGGAAAGCCGGGTTGACACCAAGCTGAAATCACGGCCACTGTTCCCTGCCCGCCACTCCTAGACGGTGAGCACCCCAGAGCATCTTTCAATCGTCCACAGCTTAGGTCCCTACTCAGCGGACAACAAAGATTCACCCCATACTCATACTCAGCCAGGCGGGTGCAGGAAGAACTGGGCTTAGAGTCAGAGGCCCAGGTTCAAGTCCCAGCTCTATCCTTTTTCTGGCTATGTGACCCTGGACAAGTAATTCCCTTCTCCCATTCATTCAGTAATTAATAAACAGACATTGAAGGTCACCTGCTAACCAGGCCCTTTGCTAGATTCTGGGGCCAGAGAAAGACACAAGGCCCAGGCCCAGCCTTCAGGCCATCCCAGGCTGGTGGCCCCTGGTAAATGCACAACCACATATTGCCATGAATTCAGACTGATCCCACCTTAATTTACATTTCTGATATGTTGTTCATCATGGTTTTCTGTGTTAATCTTGCCTTTTCAAAATATTTCGTTAAAACACTATTTTTATCTTGATGACTTTTTGGACACACCTTTAAATTTTATGGTTGAGGCACGCATCTCACATGCCTCACCCTCGTTCCAGCCCAGAGCATCCAGGCAGCCTCTGTGAGAAGATAACTTCTGAACTGGGTCCTCATACAGGAATAGGAGTTCACTGGGTGGACAAGGTGGAACAGCCTTCTCAGCAGAGCGAACAGCAGGCGGAGGCTCTCAACCAGGGGTGATTTTGCTCCCAGGGGATGTTTGGCAAGGTCTAGAGACATTTTTCGTTTTTATTTTGACTAGGGTAGTGCTACTAGAGGCCAGGAATAGTGAGTAGAGGCCAGGAATGCTGCTAGACATCCTACAAGGCACAGGACACCCCCAATAACAGAGAATCATCCCACCCAAAATGTCAGTGGTGCCGAGGTTGGGAACCCCTGCGCTAAAGAACACAGGTGGGAAACACCATGGTTTAAGATGCTACTTCAGGCCAGGCATAGTGGCTCACGTCTGTAATCCTGGCACTTTGGGAGGCTGAGGCAGGCAGATTGCATGAGCTCAGGAGTTCGAGACCAGCTTGGGCAACATGGTGAAATCCTGTCTCTACTAAAAATAAAAAAGATGCTACCTCAGCCTGATCCCTTGGCCTCTCTAAGCCTCAGTTTCTGCATCTGAAAAATAGGCACCCTAATGGTTCCTACCTTAAAGGGTGCTGGGAGAAGGGAACGGCACCAAGGCTCTGCAGAGCAGGTGCTCAGTGAATATCTGTGCCCCATCCTCTCCCAGTGTGAACGCATCCCAAACTGCAGAGCAAACGGTTCTCAAAAGAGACAGTGTCCCTGGTTCCAAAGAAAACTGGGACATGGAAAAGAACATGTTTTGTTCCTTTCCGACCTTTCTTGTAGGGAAAACCATGAATCTTATCTCGTCAACAAACGTGATCCTGTTCACAGAAAACCAGCCTGCGTGTTAGCTTATCACTGGCCTGAGTTTTAACAGGGAGTGAATTTTTATGACCGAGTTGTAAACCTTTGCAAAAACCATTTTTAAACTAAAGAACGCCGACAGATTCTTAACTACTGTAGCTGCTAAATTAAGCATGAGGGATGGGATGGGGGGTTTACGAAAGAAAAGTAAAAGTGCCCTAAAAGAGTTAGTGGAGGTAAAATAATGTTCATTAAAAACAGAAAAACAAACACATACAAAAAAATCTTTTGTGTTCAACTTCACACTCGTACATCATAATGTTCCAGTAAAAGGCCATTTCCCCCTGAGATAATAAAAGAATTGAATTTTTCCTTATCGGTCATCTATTTTTCTAGCCGAAGCTATTACTCCCGCTCTGGGGTTGCTAGGCAACAAGAAATATTAATAGCAGCTTTTATTAGCTTAGCTTTTGCAGCCGAGTACCAGAATGAGAAAATGGGAAACATAAATGTGTTACATAAATCTTTCAACCTTTCAGAGCCGGTGTTAGTCTCTGTTTCCATAATGATTTATTGAAGTGATGGTTCATTTATGAGAAAAAGGAGTTCAGGGTAAGAAAACGGAGCGGTCCCCTGCAGGAGTGTTTGAAAATAAATAATTATAGCAGGAGAGCAAAAGCTGTTTAAAGCCATTTTTCTGAGTTTTATAAAATGTAAAAAGACATATTTCTTTTGCTTAATGCCTCTGAAAAACAGGGGCCAGGAGTTTCATCTGGACTCTGGTAAATACAAAGGAAGCCCAGGGCCTCTAGTTACCACTGTTTAGGACCCTCAGAGACCCATTTGGGAGATCAGTGCTCCCCCTACTTCCATCCCCAGAGGGACGTTAGACAAAAGCATGGCACCTTGGAAAAGCCCAACTCGGAGGTGCCCCTGGTAACCCCCTGCTTCGACTAAGATGGATCCTTCCCTTGGTCACGATGCCAAGAAGCATTGCGTCTTGGGCCCCCGCTTTCTTGGCAAGCAGTGGAACTGTCACTCCGCTGTTGCTTTTAAGCTCTGAGCCCTGACCGAGGTCCTAAGTGTAACTAATATGCCTTCCCCTGCCTGTCCCCCAGCTGGGGCCCTCCCACTATCCCTGGCCACCTCAGCCCCCGACAAAGTTGGTAAGCAGCAGGTCAGCCCGGACAAACTTAGAGACGAGGCTGAAGCCACCCCAACCCCGTCAATAAAGTGGTTAAAGTAATAAACAGAGCAGCTTACATTTACCAATTGCCTATGCGTGACACTTCACCTGCATCGGATCGCTGACTCTTTATAAACTCCTATGAGGCAGGTAACAATATCTCCATTTACAGATGAAGAAACTGAGGCTCAGGGAGGATCAACCCCTTGATCTGGGTCACAGGGTTGGGGGTAACAAGGAGGGGAGCTGGGGTTTGAACTTAGGTCAGCCTGACCACATAGCCTATACACCTGACTACTAGATGATACTGTATGCCAAGAAACCAAAAATGCACAGAGAAAACCCAAAATGTCATCATGGTAGGTTACAAAGTTAGCTACACATTCTTGCCTCTCTGCGTGCACACCCTCATATGATGCGACTCTACCATTTCTCTCTTCAAGAGGTAGGATCTATTTCTCCACCCCTTACTCTGGGATTTGCCACATGACAGGCTTTGGCCAATGGGCTAGGGCAAATAGGATGCGTGCAGAGGTTTGAAAAGTACTGCACATTGGGGTGTACCCTCTCTTGCACCCTGTGTCCATCACCATGTGAATGATCCTAGGCCACCATGTGATGAGAGACACACATCTCTCTTTTCCTTTTTTTTTTTTTTTTTTTTTTTTTTTGAGATAGTCTCACTCTGTCACCCACGCTGGAGTGCAAGTGGCATGATCTTGGCTCACTGCAACCTTGGCTTCCCGGGTCCAAGTGATTCTCTTGCTTCAGCTTCCCGAGTAGCTAGGACCACAGGCGCAAGCCACTATGCCCAGCTAATTTTTGTATTTTTAGTAGAGATGGGGTTTCACTATGTTGGCCAGGCTGGTCTTGAACTCCTGACCTCAAGTGATCTGCCCATCTTGGCCTCCCGAAGTACTGATATGACAGGCGAGCCACGATGCCCAGCCTTGAGACATACACCTCTCATCACGAGATATGAGAGTGGCCAAATCATTCCCCTTTGGTGTCAGCTGACCCTGGGCCAAGCACTGCAATGTCAATAAGGCCATCCTAGAATAAGCAGCTGCAGGCAGGCTTTAAGCTGGACCTCAGAAATCACCTGAATCAGTCCAGATCAAAACAACTACCTCGCTGACCTGCCAAATAATGAGAAATCATAAGAATTCATTGTTTTAAGCCACTAGGTATTGGGGTAGTTTGTTACACAGCAAAAGCTAATTGATACATTCATAAGACAAGACCAAACCAAAAATGTTATGCATTAAGAGTAATGAAATGAATGGGTTGGACTAGGGGGTCCCTACTGCCCCCTGTGTTTCAGAAGACCAGAGGACCAAGGGTTGAGGGTCTTTCTTCCTTGTGTCTGCAACTTGGGAGGGTATTCCTATGTCTCAACTTGTGAGAATCCAACAGGGATAGACCATGCCTTCTGCAGGGAGGAGGAAAGTGGTAGGGAAGAGAAGAGGAGAGAGAAAGGAGATTGGAGGGGAATAGTTCAGAACAGGAAGAAAATGGGGGAGGTGTTAGGAGGTATATCAAGCACCTCCCAGAGTCAATACCCAGACCCTGTCCCTAACTCCAAGGCCCTTGCCCCCAGGATCAAGTCCCCACTCCAAGGTATATCAAGGACCTCCCAGAGTCAATACCCAGAACTTGTCCCTAAGTCCAAGGCCCTGCCCCCAGGATCAAGTCCCCACTCCAAGTTTTAAATCCTGCCCCCAGGCTCCGGGCACAGGAACCATCTCTAAAGCAAGGTGGTCAAGTGGCAACTAAGGTACAGCTCAGCCCCTTCCCCAACAGCCTAGTCCAGGGCACCAGCATGGAAAGGCCCTTCACTTGGGGTGGGGGACCCTGGGCCACAGCCCCTAGCCCTGTGTGTGCAGCATGAAGGGCCTATCTTGGCAAGATGCTTTGGGACGGGGACCTAGAACACAAAGAATCTGAAACGCAGCACTAAGTACTGCATTTGATAGTATTTGAGCCCCCTTAGGCCAGTGATATGTGTGACGTTGGTAGTGGGAGGACTATTGAACTTCAGATCCATATACTTGTCTAGTATGTCACTGCTAACAAAACAATTCTACCCATTTTCCTATTTGTGAGTTCACCAGAGCTGAAATCCCAATCCCCATTTCATAGATAGGAAAACTGAGGCTGGGAGAGAAGTAACTTGTCCAAGATCCCAAAGATAGCAAACAGGAGTCAAAGCTGGGAGGAGAATGCATGAATGACACTGCATACCTCTCCTGCACTAAGTGAGTCCCACAGCAAGACCACACAACTCCAGGGACCCACAGGGCTTGGTGCAGGAAAAACCCACATTTCCCTGATCAGCAGAATCTATAGCTACTGTCGGGGGAGCTTTGCCAGAATTCATTTCTGGCTGGGCCCAGCCTCCATCTGCCCGAGGCTCTCCCAGGAGTTTCTCTGGTCTCACAAAAGATGCAGGTTCCCCAGGAACCTGTCTGGGAATGTCCAACTCTGTCATCTCCCAGGGTAATTCCTCTCCTGGGTAAGCCAGGAGCATAAGCTCAAACATTTCCCAAGGACGACTCCAAAATAAATGATTTCAGACTTAACAGAAGCAGCTTAATAAATTCCACTCTTCGAGTTTCTTTGGGTATTTTAGAAACTGATTTATACATACAATATCTCTCTCGAAATGAGACAATCAACACAGGATAAAATTATTGAGTTATGAAAATCAGGGTCAGACAGAGGTGCAGCACTTTAAATTAAACCGGCAAAATATATCTTTCATACTAAATTGACTCTTTTTGTCTTGGAAATAAATGTTTAATCAGTTAAGACGCTGAAGTTGAGAGAGAAGCCTTAAGCATATTTAATTTTGTAAAAGGGGTTCGATTCCAATACTGTACATGACTCCTGCTAGCTGCCATACCTTCAAAGCAGAAAGCTAACTCCCACCCACGCCTGCAAGGCTGAACAGGCCAGGGCAGGGGACCGGAAAGAATTGGTGGCCTCTGGGATCAGAGCCAAGGGGGCTTTGGCATTTATGAGATGGCTGTCAAATGCCTTGGCCTTGCCCGCCTCTCCAGGGATGACATCCTCAGTGTATCTCGATCTGTGCAGACAACGCCTGAAGCACCCTGGCCATCAGCGCATCCTCTGTGCCACCTGTGGCCCTGCAGCCCAGCCGCACCATCCCTCAGCCATCTGGTAAAACTGAGAGGTGGATGGCAGGGGATAGAGCTGGGTTTGCATTCTGGCCTTGCTGTTTAAGAGCTGCATGACAGTAATTCATTCACAAAGTACTTATAGAATCTACTCTGCATCAGGGGACACTTCCTCTAGGAAGTGATAACCCCACATCTAAGGGGCCTCTTCCGGGCACAGAGCACCACACACTGATGCTATTAGAGAATTTACCACAGTCTTAGAAATAGGCTTTTCACCTTCTCTCCATCTGCACCAGGAGTCCCTCAAGGGCATCTTGTAGATCACAAGCCTAGAACAATGCCTGGTACCTAGTGGGCACTCAATGAAGGCTGTCGCACAGCTGAGGATCACTGTGGTAGGTTGAAAAATGTCCCCCAAAGACATCAGGTCCTAATCCTTGGAACCTGTAAATGGTACTGTATTTAGAAAAGAGGGTCTTTGCAGATGTGATTAAGGATCTTGAGATGGGAGATTTTCCTAGATTATCCCCAAATGCCCTAAATGCCATCACAAATGTCCTTAGAAGAGGGGCAAAGGGAGTTTTGCTGACAGAGGGAAGGCGATGTGAAGATGGAGGCAGAGATCAGAATGATGCAGCCACGAGCCAGGGAAGACCAGCAACCCCCAGGAGCCGGAGGAGAAGCGAGGCTGGATTCTCCCCGACAGCCTCTGGGGAAAGTGAGTTCCTCCTGACACCGTGATTTCAGCCCAAGGAGACTGCTTCTGGACTTCTGGAGGTGTGATAGAATAAATCTCTGTTTTTTTAAGCCCCCAAGTTGGTGGCAATCTCTTGGAACAGCCATGAGACACTAATATAATCATCTGCCACCTTGGGGTCTCCATCCCTTCATGATACTATTATCATTATCCCTCGGTTTGCTTCTTGGGGGGATTATGCAAGAAAACGTTTGAAAGCCCTCTGCACGGTGCTTGAAACCCAGCAGGTGTTAACACCAATTCCAGCGTCACCCACGTAGCGTGTATGCCCACGCACACACAGAGCCACGCCCCTTTGTCCTGTGGTTCAGATGAATTTAAAAACTCTTGTCTTGAAGAGTCCCTTGTCTCTCTTCACCAGATAGTCCCAATGCATGTACATCTCCTTATCTGGTTTTCCCAGTTGGTCCGGGTGCCCTCCCCTGGGTAATAGAGTTTGGCTTATCTTTCATGACATAAAGAGAAAATATAAAATTCAGTGAACCCTTGCAAAGTCTAATGGAAGAATTAAGGCTATCTGAATTTGTGAAGCCTCTTAAACATGAGCTACTTTTAAAGAAAATCTGGAAAACGACTGCAAGTGCCTATTTGGACAGAGCCCAACAAAAGCATTTCCTAGGAGGGGCAATTAGGGGGCCATCTTTGACAAAAAGATAACATGCTTTGTAATTATCAGAGCTATTATAATCAGGTGGCCCTACAAATGTACCTGAGGGCGTCTGCAGTCTGCTCCTTTAGGTAAATGAGACTTAAGGGAAAACACTGCCATTCAGTTACAGTCAAATTCGTTTTTATTACAAATAATAATAGCAAGTGCTCATTGAATGTTTACTCTCTGCCAGACATTTGCTAAGACTTTACATACATTATCTCCGATACACTTCATCACAATCCTCAGGTGGGTACGATTATGATTCCAAGACAAGGAAACCGAGGCTTCAAAGGTGAAGCCAGGATCTAATTCTGGTGTCTGGGACCAACCACCACCCCACACTGTCTCCATTCACCCCAGTACCAAAGGCGGCAACACAGTGGCCCCAAACTGTAGCCATGCTCACCCCTGCACCACAGCCCTCATAGCAGATGACAAAGTGCCCACCTGGCCCTGCTCTTGTTTGTATTACCATAAATCCCAAACAGGGATGGTCCGGAGCAGTGAGGTTTCTGCTAGAAAATGAGCCCAGTAAGCAAGTACGGTACAAGCATTCTAACGAACTGGAAACCCATTTATGCCTAGTGTTCCATTACTGAAACGCTAAGCATGTGGGAGTTATTTATATCCTACTGCTCAAGCTCATTGCCAAGGTCTGATAGCAAAAATTCAAAAAATTGCAACCTCAGGCATAAATGGGTTAAAACCATTCCAGACATGGCAGTGTGAGTCTGAATCGCTAGGTTTGAGAGAGAGAAGAGGAAGCTGAGGACTTGCATTATTGATGGACCCACGAGGAAAAAATTTCTGGAGAAACGGAGCATCCATTTTCATTGAACTCTTTCGTGAGAACCAAACACTATGAAATGTGGATCTCGAGTTGGTTTCCTCCCACCCTCCTTCCCTTTCTTGTCTCCTTTTATTTCCCACCTAGCTTCAAAAACAAACAAAAAAATGTGACGTGCCTTATAAAAATACACAGAGGACACCGCTTTTTTGAACAAGGAAGTTTGGTGGTAATAAATGAAGAGTAAACAAAATACAGTTGAGATCGTTTGACTATAAAGCCGTGTCCTAAGGTCCCAGGGGTCTGCTAGAATTGGGCCACAAATTCGACTGTGGCTTCTGAACAGTCATGGCAGAGGTAGACACAAGCCACCCCAAACCATGAGATTCTGCTAGGAAAATCAACTAAGCAGGCCTCCTCCTGTGCCACAGGTGTATGTGTGACTCAAGCTGACAAAATAGTGAACTGCTTCCTCCTAGACATAGTGGTCTGTCCAGCGATGCTGTCATCATCCTCTCTGCCAGAGATGTCAGGGAAGATGCTGGCTGCCAGCAGCCATCAAGCCTGTTGTGTGGAAATGGGCCTTGTGACACTGGTGGGGTTCCTGGATTGAACCATGCCTGAAACCCTGTATCCACCCCCTGGATATTTCATACTCTTTTGTATAAGTTTGAGTTTGGTCCCTGTCACTTAAAAATGAACGTAAGAGTCATGACTAGTACGTAATATTAAATGTGAAGGGAAAAAAAGCAAAAATAAACACAAGTCACAGTTGTTCAGAAGAAGCAATAGAATTCCCTTAAGGAGATTTTTCTGTGGTATAAAAAAAATGCTCTACTGTTCTACCATTTTTCTATAGATTTTGATGGTTCAGATCAGCCATTATTATTTTTTTTTTTTTGAGACAGGGTCTTGCTGCGTGGCCCAGGCTGGAGTGCAGTGGCACCATCTCAGCTTACTGCAACCTTTACCTCCCAGGTTCAAGCAATTCTCGTGCCTCAACCTTCTGAGTAGCTGGTATTACAGGTGTGTGCCACTATGCCTGGCTAATTTTTGTATTTTTAGTAGAGACAGAATTTCACCATGTTGACCAGGATGGTCTTGAACTCCTGGCCTCAAGTGATCCCCCGCCTCAGCCTCCCAAAGTGCTGGGATTAGAGCTGTGAGCCACCATGCCTGGCCTCAAATCAGCCATTCTAAGGATATATATCTCCTTAGAATGGGATTCAGGACCCTTATGATCCAGGCCCTGCTGAGCTCTTTCATCTCCTCTCTCTCCTTGGCTCCAGGTCCTTCCTCTCCAGCCCAATAAAAAGCATGAACCACATGCTATTCCCAAGCATGGCACGAGCACCCTTGCCACCTCCTTTTGTACCTGATATTCCCCCAACCTGGGAAAGGTTCTTTCTTGCCTTTGTCTGCCTGCTACATTTTTACCTATCCCATGAACTTTAACTCAGTAATCACCCTCTTCTCTGGCAGCTTAAGCAAGATACAATTTTTTTTTAATTATATGACTCCATTTCTATGAAATGTCCAGAACAGACAAATTTATAGAGACAGAAAGTCAATTAGTGGTTGCCTAGGGCTGAAGATTTCAGGGGGTGGATTGGGAGTGATGGCCAAAAATATGATGTTTCTTCCTGTTGTTTTTTTGAGAAAGGGTCTCACTCTGTCACCACAGCCTTGACCTCCCGGGCTTGAGTGATCCTCCCACCTCAGCCTCCTAAGTAGCTAGGACTACAGGTACATGCCACCACACCTGGCTAATTTGTTTTGTAGAGACGGGGTCTTGCTATGTTGCCAAGGCTGGTCTTGAACTCCTAGACTCAAGTGATCCTCCTGCCTCAGTCTCCCAAAGTGCTGGGGTTATAGGCGTGAGCCACCATGCCCGGCAACAGAGCATTTTTCTTTTCTTTTCGTGATAGGGTCTTGCCATGATGCCCGGAGTGCAGTGCCTTTTCACAGGCACAATCCCACTACTGGTTAGCATGGGAGTTTTGACCTGCTCTGTTTCCGACCGTGGCCAGTTTACCCCTCCTTAAGCAACCTAGTGGTTCCCCTCTCCCAGGAGGTCACCATACTGATGCCAAAGCTAGTGCAGCCAACTGATTTGCATAGGGCACTACAGCCCAGGACTCCTGGGCTCAAGCGATCCTCCCATTTAGCCTCCCAAGTAGCTGAGATTATAGGTACACAACACTGTGCCTAGCTAGTGTTTCTTTATGGGGTGATGAAATGTTCTAAAATCAATCGTGTTAATGGTCACACAACTCTGTCAATATATGAAAAGTCATTAAGTAGTATACTTTAAATGGGTGAATTGTATGGAATATAAATTATACCTCAATAAAACTGTTAAAAAATAAAAATGAGATTATACTATTAACAAATAATGCAAACCAATACCGAGATACTGTACGCAGAGCTCCAGAAGGAAGCAGTGTGCTGATATTAGATTTCTCTCCATGCCCACCCACCGTGTCCCACAGACTCCCATGCTACCAGGTAATCCCAGCATGGGATTACCAACTCCAAGCAACCAGGTAAACCCAGACCCTGCCCATGAGCAGAGAGTTCTTATCAAAGCATCAACATTCTTCTGCTTCCCTCTCAACCCCCTCCCTGCTGTCATCAGCAGGAACTGCAGCAGGCGATAGGGACTCACCGTGGGCAGCTGGCCCGACAGCAGGTGGCTGTCCTGTGCTAGCATGTTGGACACCATGATGGCTGGGAGGTCCATGGCCTGATAGGAGTAGGCAGGGAGCAGACCGTTGGGGGTGAGGCCGTGGCACAGCGAGTGGTAGCTGGCTTCGTGGTCCCCCAGGTGCAGGAGGGATGGCTCCGGGAGGTTGGGAGGTGTTATCGGGGGGATCTCATAGTCTTCGTTGTTCTCGCTCTGGCCGTTGTAGGTCTAAAACATCAAAAAGACATGTCGGTGGGGGTCAGTGCCTTACAACCGCAGAACATACCCAACAGCACCAATAACAGCAACAATAATAACGATAGCAACCCCTTGGCAAAGGAGAGAAGGGATGATGTTTCTGCAAGGCAGAGGGTCAAGACGGTGCCCTAACTCGGTCAGACTCCTGCCCTATCCCCAAACAGATGTTTCCTCCCACCAGAGGCTCTGCACACAGAAGCCTGCCCTCCTGGAGAATGGGGGCCGGCTCCCCCTGTTCCTCTCTGGTTTCCCACCAGATCTGGCCATCACAGTCCACCTTGGATCCATCTTTCCTGCCCACCCATTTCACAGATAGAGACTCAGGTCCAGGGAGGAAAGCAGTCCATCCATGGCTGGGGGAAGAGTTGGGAATGGAGCTGAAGTATCCTGATTCCAGGCCTGGTGATCTTTCCAGGGAAGCCAGGCCATTTTCTCTTGTGCTCCCAACACTCAGCCCAAGGCTTCTCAGTCTTTCTCATCTTGGTAAATGGCACAAACATCCTTGCAGGAGTGCAAGCTAGAAACCAGGAGTCACCTGTGCACCTTCCTTTCCAGTCCTTCCTTGTTTTTTTTTTCCCACCTCGCCAAACTGTCCAGGAACCTCCAGGACAACGCTGAATAGAAATGGTGAGAACAGACATCCGGGCCTTTTTCCTTATCTTAAAGAGCTCAATATTTCACCACAAAGGATGCCATTTGCCACAGGTTCTTTGAGGTATTCTTAAGCAAGCTGAGGGACCTCCTGGTGGGTCAAAGTGTGTGGCTTTATTAAAATCATGCATGGCTTTTCAATTGTATCAAATTCTTTCCCCCTGCATCCACTGACAGGCTCAAATGACCTTTCTCCTTTAATTCAGTTAGCATAGTAAACATGTAATTTGGTTTTCTAATGGTAGATCAATCTTGCATTCCTGGAATAAACCCTATTTGGTCATGACATATTATTCTTTCTATAGATTGTTGGGTTTTGTTGGCTGATGTTTTGTTTAGGACTTTTGTATCAGGTTCACAAGTGTGACTGGCCTATAATTTTCCTGTCTCATACTGTCTTTGTTGGGGTTTTAGTAACAAGGTTACTTTAGCTTGAGGAGTCATTCTTCCATTTCTACACTCTGGAACAGATTAGACCTAGCAGAAAAGAGGTGTGTCAACTGGAAGATGACTCTGAAGAAATTATCCAGAGTTTGGCATAGACGGTCAAAAAGGAAATATGAAAGAGAGTTTATGTGCACAGCGGACAGAGTAAGAGTGTCTAATGGATGCCTGTTCAATCAGCATTCTGGAAGGAGAAGAGTGAGAGAATAATAGGTCAGGGGAGAACTGAGGAGATAATAGTTGAGAATGTTCCAGAACAGAGGAAGCATATCAAAGGCATTGGTAAATATAAAGGTAAATGTTTTCTACACTTTTTCTTTCATTTTTTAAATGGACATAAAATAATGGTACTTACTTATGGGGTACACAGTGATGTTTTGATACAAATAATGCATAACGATCAGATCAGGGTAATTGGCATATCCAGCATCTTGAACATTTATCATTTGTGTTGGGAACATTCAATATCTTCCTTCTAGCTCTTTCAGACTATATAACTACGTAACATATATTGTTACCTACAGTGCTAAATCTTAAATCAATCAAGAAATATGCATAGAGGTGGGGGGAAACCTAAACCACAATAGCATGTAAGAAATAACACCTTCTAGCATCATTGTATTGTTTAAGTGCGTGTGTTAAAATAGTGAAGGTCACTGAGCCTGGCACAGGACCTGGTTGGTGGTGGCCAATTCCCTGAGTGTCTGCTGGATGAAGTTACTGAGCAGCGGGGATAGCTGGGTGTGTGTACAGCCTGTGGCAACAGCAGAAAGCACAAGATACCTAAATTCCATGGGGGAGAGCCCTAGACTACCCTTTACAGTCGTAGAACAGACTGAGAGGGTAAGTGCCTTGCCACCCTGGGACCCACCACTGGGACCCAGAGCCCACATGGCCCCTTGCTCATTTCCTCCCTCTGCAGGGCTGCAGTGGGATGATCTCATAGATGGGCAAACAGTCATCTGGGAACAGGCCATGACCATGTCCACCTTCCTGCTTCACCTTCTCCTTCTCTGTTCTCATCTAGGGTTCCTCAGGCTGTCCTGAACTCCCCTCTCTTCCTGCCCTACATTGCCTCCCCAGGTGGACCTCAACCAGTCTGGGTTTCGATTCTCATCTAAGTGCCACATTTACCCCTCCAGCCTTGGTCACTCATCTGAGCTCCAGGGCGGAGCCTCTCGATGCCCAGTCAATGTTCTCGTTTGTTGATCATAATACCCCTTCCCCTGCCGTGTCCCTGTGTCCTCTACATCTCAGCAAGTGACACTACCTTCCATCCCGTTCATAGAACCACGAACCTGGGACTCACCCCCTGACATCTCTCAAATCCAATGAAATGTCTCCAAAATATCTTTAAAATCTGTTTCTTTCCCACTGCCACTATCCTAGTCCAGGCCACCACCACCTCTTACCAGCCGTTTTCATTGGCCACTCGGGCTGCTCTATTCTCTTTCTGTAGCCAGACTGGTCTCTGTCAAGATGATCATCACACGATGTCAATCCCACATCAAATGATGAGCTCCCCACTGCCTTCAGGATGAAGTCCACAGTCCCAGATCCAGCCCTGGAAGTCCTTGTATGGCCTGGCCCCACCACCCCTCTAACCACAGTGACCTCTCCTGCCTCTGGGCTCTCCCCTACACAGTTCCCTCTGCTGCACTCCGCCTGCCACACACTGTCCCTCCCGTGGTTAGTTCCTACTCATCTCTCCACAATAGGTTTTGTTTAAATGTCTTCCCTGATACTCCAGGGTAGATCAAACCCCATTTCACACCCCAAGATTGCCCAGAATTTTTCCTTGGAAGCACTCATCGTTATAAGTAGTTAACTGACTTCTTGTGTGATTATTTGTCTGATATTTAACATGAGTTTTGCTCCCTATATCCCCAATGCCTCAGTCAGGACCTGGCACAGAGTTGGAACACAAAGTAAGAGCTCAGAAACAATGAGTTGGCCTATAATCCCAGCACTTTGGGAGGCCAAGACGGGAGGATCGCTTGAGCCCAGGAGTTTGAGACCACTCTGGGCAACATGGTGAAACCCCATCTCTACAAAAAAAAATACAAAAATTCACTGGGTGTGTGGCCATGCACCTGTAGTCCCAGCTACTTCGGGGGCTGAGGTGGAGGATCATTTGAGCCCAGGATGTCAAGGCTGAAGTGAGCTGTGATTGTGCCACTGCACTCCAGCCTGGGTGACAGAGGGAGACCTCATCTTAAAAAAAAAAAAAAAAAAAAAGTTGAATGTACAGCCAGGTCCTGGGGTGGACACCATAAACATGCATCTCACTCAACCTTCATGATTGCCCTGGAGCTGGGAACTACTGTCCCTATCACGCAGGAGGCAGTGCAGTGCAGTGGTTAGGAGCCAGGCAGCTTGGGTTTGCATCCTGGCTCTGCCACTTACTGCCTGTGTGTGACTCTGGGTGCATTACTTACCCTCTGATACAGTTTGGATATTTGTCCCCTCCAAATCTCATGTTGAAAAGTGACCCACTGTTGGAGGTGGGGCTGAGCCAAAAGTGTTTGGGTCATGGGGCAGATCTTTCAGTAGTGGCTTGGGACCCTCCCTGTGGTAATGAGTGAGTTTTTGCTCTATTCATTCATGCAAGAGCTGGTTGTTTAAAGAGACTGGCACCTCTTCCCCTCTCTCTCTCTCATTCTCCTGCCGTGTGACATGCCTGCTCCCCCCTTCACCTTCTCCCAGGAGTAAAAGCTTCCTGAGGCCTCATCAAAAGCTGAGCAGATGTGGGTGCCATGCTGATACAGCCTGCAGAACCATGAGCCAATTAAACCTCTTTTCTTTGTAAAAGATCTAGTCTCAAGTATTCCTTTATAGCAATGCAAAACAGACTAAAACACCCTCTCTGTGCCTCAGTTTCCTCATGTGTGAGAAAGCAGGTAATGACAGTATGTATCTACAGGGCTGCTATAAAGAATAAATGAATCAATAACATGTAAGTTTCTCAGGGCAATGTTGAGCACACAGTGAGTGATGTCAGCGTTAGTTATTGCTATCCTTGCTGCCCTCATCTGGAGTTTCAGAGATGGTGGGGACTTCCCCAAGGACACAGAATAAGCAAACAGTAGCACACTGGGATATGGGGGACAGGGACACAAGCAAAAGGTAAGTAGAGTCAAAATGGTTGCAGGTGGTCATGAATATTATGATACTATGGGGGACACACACAAGGAATTGTATAGGGAGCATCAAAGGAGTAGAGTCTTGCCTTAGAATGGGCAGAGGGGTTGGGAAGGCTTCCTGGAGGTGGCGACTCTGAACTGGAAAGCTGGCAGTGGGACTCTACTTTCTGGGGTGATATGATATCTGTGGCTTATTGCCACCTAAAGGCAATCGGCCCCCAGCCCATCTTGGTGGTCAGGCTGAAGACACACATCACCCTGTGGTGCTCAGACCTGTGCTGTGTGAGTTAGGAACACTCATAAATGAGGATCCTGAGCCAGTGAGCTGCTGTTTACTTATTCTGTGTCTTTGGGGAAGTCCTTTAACTCTCTTGTCCTCAGTGCCTAGCACAGTGCACAGTAATGACTCATTACAACACAATAAATGGGCACGGGAAATGGGGGAATGTCCCAGGCTCTAGTTTCAAACCACAGCTCTCCTTCCCAGCATACTACACGCCCCTCAGCCACCTGCTGTTCATGTGTTTTGACCGACACCTCCCTCCCTGTCCCTCAGCACTGTTAAAATAGGTGCTGGCACAGAGCAGGTGCTGGCACAGAGAAGGTGCCCAGTGAATGCTAACTGACTGCTCAAGTCCATTCCTTTCAGTCAAAAAACAAAACTTCAATCCACTGGAACCGGCCCAATTGACCAGAAGCCTTTTGAAAAAATAAGCATATGCTGTATCAAAATATTGGAATCACACAATTATGACAATTCACTTAAAGAGGCAATTAGCACACTTAAAAATAACTAAGCACGCAAACATGAACATGCCTCTTCTGAATGCAATCAAATCCTACATGCATGACACTGAACACTAAACAACTTGTCCTGAGTACCTACTATGTGCCAGGCACTGAGCCCAGCATGTCCATGTACCTTCTCCATTTAGTTCATATGTGTTCTGTAGAGAAGTGATTATTATCTTCATTTTGCAGATGAGGGACATGGAGCTTAGAGAGTAGAGGTGTCACATAGCTAGTAGGTCCTGGTTGTGATTCAGACCCTGGTCTTGTGACTCCAAACCCAGCATTTTCCTACAGTAGAATTGGCCGTTCCATGGTGCCTAATTTTCTCTCTACCACTGGCATCCTCATGAAAATATAGAAAGAGATGCTAAGTCGTAAGAGCTTTGCCAGTTAAAAATATTAGTAAAATCTTACAGGAAATCTGCAAAGAGTTACCTCTTCATTTCCACTCGTTCTTTCTTAAACCCACTCCAATCATGTTTTCATCCCACTTCCACCAAAACTGCTTGGGAAGGTCATCAATGACCTCCATCTTCCTAAATCCAGTGGCCAATGCTCAGTCTTCATCTGGCCTTCATCTTGACCTTATCAGTGGAATTTGATATAATTAGTTCATCCTCCTCCCTGGGAACAAACTTCTTCACTTGGCTTCTGGGACACCAGAGATATTGGTCCTTCAACATCACAGGCCATTTCTTCTGTCCATGGCCAACATCACAGGCCATTCTGTATGTCCTTTGTTGGTTCCCATTCTTCTCCTTAATCTATTGATGATGACATTCCCAGAGCTCAGATCTTATACCCTCCTCTAAACACACTCACTCCCTGGTGCTCTCATCCAGACTCATGGCATTATGGACCATCTGTATGCTGCTGAGCTCCAGTTCTTACCACCGAGCCAGACCTTCCCCTGAAATGCTGACTCATATAGCCCACTGTTATTTGTCCTTCCCTTTGGATGTTAATTGATACCTCAAACAACTTAACACATTTAAGAGAGAACCTACCCCTCCCACAGTCTTCTCCACCTCAGCTAATGGCCACTCCATCCTTCTGGTTGCTCAGGCCAGAAACCAAGGTGTCACCCTTGACCCCTCTCTTCCTCTCACATCCTACACGAAATGTGTCCAAAAATACCATCAGCTCCACCTTGAGCCATCACCCTCTTTGCCCTGGATGACTGCAGCAGTCTCCTCCCTGGCCTCTTGGCCTCCCTGCCTCCACCTTTGCTAAGGTCCATTCTCACCCCAGGGCCAGAATTATCCTGCTAAAATATAAGCTCTGCTCACAACCCTCTAGAGCTCTCCTTCTCACTCAGATAAGGAACAACGGCCCCATGCTATGTAGTCTTGCTCTCCCCAGTCCCACGTCCTTTTTTACCTCTCTGACGTCATCATCTCCTATTCCCCTTGTTCATACCACTCCAGCTACTCCAGGCACGTTTCTGCCCCAGAGTCTTTGCAATGGCTGTTCCCTTCCTTTAGAATACTCTGCTCTCAATATCCACACAGCCTGCTGTTCTTTCCCCACTGAATGGTCTTGACACCCCTATATAAAATCAACTGGCCATAGATGTATTGGTTTATTTCTACACTCTCAATTCTATTCCATTGGTCTATATGTCTATCCTTATGCCAGTACCACATTGTTTTGACTACTGTTGCTTTATGGAAATTGGGAAGTGTGAGTCCTCCAGCCTGTTATTTTTCAAGATTACTGGTGCTATTCAGGCCCCCTGGCAATTCCATATGAATTTGAGGATCAGATTTTTCATTTCTGCAAAAAAGACCAGTGGAAATTTGATAAAGATTGCATTGAATCTGTAGACGCTCAGATAGTATTGCCATCTTAACATTATTAAGTCTTCCAATCCACAGACATGGATATCTTTCAATTTATTTAGATCTTTAATTTCTTTTGACAATGTTGTGTAGTTTTCAGTTTAGGAGTTTTTCCCCTTCCTGGTTAAATTTATTCCTACATATTTTATTCTCTTAGATGTTATTATATATGGAATTTTTTTTTAGTTTCCTTTATGGGTTGTTCATTGTTGGTTTACAGAAACACCAGTGATTTTTCCATACTGATCTTGCCCTGAAACTTTGATGAATTAATTTATTAAATATTTGTTATAATTTTAAGGAAAAGCAAAAATTTTACACCATTGGAAGAACCAAAGAAAGTAGAAGAAAACAGAACTTTATCAATCTAGAAAAATCTGCAAAGAAAACAGGAGTGAACTATCAAACATAATAAAGAATATTCATAAAATGGCAGCATTAAGACTAAATATTCATAACATAATACGAATGATTTCAATTGCTTTATTAAAAGACAAAATATTTTTATTAAAATACATACAGCATATGGTTTATAATAGACATGCCTAAAATAAAATGACCTGTAAGATAAAAATAAATAGACACCAGCCGAGCATGGTGGCGCACGCCTGTAATCCGAGAACTTTGAGAGGCCAAGGTGGGTAGATCACCTCAGGTCAGGAGTCCAAGATGAGCCTGGCCAATATGGTGAAACTCCATCTCTACTAAAAATACAAAAATTAGCTGGACATGGTGGCGAGTGCCTGTAATCCCAGCTACTCAGGAGGCTGAGACAGGAGAATCCCTTGAACCCGGGAAGCAGGGGTTGCAGTGAGCTGAGATTGTGCCACTGCCCTCCATCCTGAGTAACAGAATGAGACTCCATCTTAAAATAAATAGATAGATAGATAGATAGATAGATAGATAGATAGATAGATAGATAGATGTATCAGGCCAACAAAAAGCAGAGTGGCAAAATTAATTACAAATTAAGTACAAATCAGGGCAAAAAAGCACTAAAAAATATCAAAAGGAACACTTAAGTCAATAAATGATATAAATCTACTAAGAAGAAATGACAAATTTTTATGTAAATTGATAAAACCACAGAAATATAAAATGTAAAAAACTGTTAGTATAAAACCATAAATAAAATGGGCAAATCAGTCAGATAGAAATGAGTGAGGATTGAGGATCTGAATGACGCAATTCACTCTTTTGATTTATTCCTTTCAAATGTCCATAGAACACTTACAAAATATAACCAGGTAAACTACAAAGAGAATCTCAAACTCTTCAAAAGGTAGAAATTAGATAGATCAAATTCTAAGACCTAACTACACTGATAGGCTTTGGCTTTGCATCCCCACCCAAATCTCATGTCAAATTGTAATTCTCAGAGTTCAGGCAGGGGCCTGGTGGAAGGTGATTGGATCATGGGGGCTGATTTCCCCCTTGCTGTTCTCGTGACAGTAAGTAAGTTCTCACAAGATCGGGTTGTTTGAAAGTGTGTAGCCCTTTCCCCATCTCCCTGTCTCCTGCTGCCATGTGAATATGTGCTTGCTTCCCTTTCACCCTTCTACCATGATTGTAAGTTTCCTGAGGCCTCCCTAGCCATGCCTCCTATAGAGCCTGCAGAACTGTGAATCAATTAAACCTCTTTTCTTTATAAACTACCCAGTCTCAGGTAGTTTTCTAGCAATGTGAGAACAGACTAGTACATGCACCAACCTAGTTATTAACAAAAACAAACGAGCAGAAAAAAAAATGGAGGGAGGGAAATCCTCCTACATACTTAAACACTTTAAGAGCAATCATCTAAGTAACTTCTGTGTTAAAAAGGAAATCACAACTGAAATGATGAGAACACTACCTGACAAAACTTATGAGAGATGGACAATGAAAAATTATACTTTTATCAAAATGAATTTATTAGAAGACAAGAAAGACAAACTCAGCACTCAACTCAAGATGGTAGAAATAGAATAACAAAATAAACCGAAAGTCTGTAGGAGAAAAATAAAATAGAAAACAAATTTTAGATAAGAAATACAAGGAAGAGATTGTTTTTTTGAAAAGGCTAATAAAATAAGGAACCACTGACATGAAAAAAGAAAAAGATACCCAAAAGGGAATGAAAAATATATTAATTCTTTAAAAGCCATTGAGAATTCCTTTGATACAGTATCAGGCTAATTTTGATCAATATTTATAATTTTCAGCTTGTTAATTCTATCATTTAAATCTTCCAAACAACAATTACTTTTCTTTTTCTGCTTGACCCTTTGGTTTCTGAGAGAAATGTGTTAAAAATTTCCACTGTGATTGTGATTTTATCAACCTGCTGTATTGCTTCATATATTTCAAAGCTATGTTGTTAGGTATTTACAAATCAGTTGTTATTGTATCTGCTTGTTGAAGTGTTCCTTTTATTAGTGATGGCTTTCTACTTTATCCCAGTTAGTGCTTACATGAAAGTTCTCAGGCTGCCATTTTGACTATCGATCTCCATTTCCCACCACAATGCTGTATAAGAAAGAGGTGAAGATTCACTGAGGGAGTAGCAGGTGATTTGACCTTTTTCCAAAGAGCTTGTTGAGAGTTGGAGTATAGCATAAAAGGAGAAGTGGCATTCACTCCCTGGTGATGCATGGTGAGAAATGATTCTTGGGAGAACCCAACTTGTGTCCCCAGAGTTGAATCCTGATTATGTATTCCAACAACCTTCCAGCTTTGTTGGGAGGAATATTTGAAATACATGGAAACATGAGGTGCTGTAACTCTCATGTATTGAGAGTTACATTGTTGATCTGCAGAAAGAGCTCTGGCTTTGGAGTTACACTGACATGGGGAATCTTACTTGCTGAGGGCTTCTGGCAATTTATCCAAACTGCCTACTACTCAGTTTCCTTGTCTACAAAACCCCACCTAAGAGCTGAGAGAATTATACCAGGAAACAGATGGGAAAACACATTAACAGGAAGTCAGCATAAATCCCACACACACACACCCAAGCAAGAAAAAAAAAGCCCTCGGATGATATGCAGAACAAGTAGAAAATGGCATTTCCATTTTACAGATGAGGAAACTGAGGTTCAAAAGGGAAAAATGACTTATCCAAAGTCATATGGGTAGCATTTATGAAAATGAGGACAAGAAGCCCTGCCTACCAGTAGCCAAAGCTTTGCTCTGCCACTGTTCAAGCTCCTCCCAACACACACGAGTCCTGGCTAGGCCAGGGCAGGCCTGCTCCACGCCTCTTGTTCCAGTGTCACGTTAATAATGTTTTATTTCACTCTAAACAGTGTCCTGGTTTGGCCAGTAAATTATATGGTCGCCCTACCATCTTGCCATTTTAACAAGTAAAACCCGCACCAGCAAGAACATCTCAGCTACAACATCACCGATCATTAGAGAAATGCAAATCAAAACCATAATGAGATACCATCTCACACCAGTCAGAATAGCTATTATGAAAAAGCCAAAAAATAACAGATCCTGGCAAGGTTGCAGAGAAAAGGTAACACTTACACTGTTGGTAGGAGTGTAAATTAGTTCAACCATTGTGGAAAGCAATATAGCAATCACTCAAAGAACAAAAAGCAGAACTACCATTCAACCCAGCAATCCCATTACTGGATATATACCCAGAAGAATATAAATCATTCTTCCATAAAGACATGTGTACACAAATGTTCATTGCAGGACTATTCACAACAAACATGGAATCAACCTGAATGACCATCAAGGACAGATTGGATAAAGAAAATGTTGTATGTGGTACATATACACCATGGAATACTATGCAGTCATAAAAAAGAATGACATCATGTCTTCTGTAGGAACATGGATGGAGCTGGAGGCCATTATCCTTAGTAAACTAATGCAGGAACAGAAAAGCAAATACCACATGTTCTCACTCACAAGTGAGAGCTAAGTGATAAGAACTCATCAACACAAGAAAAGGAAAAACAGACACTGGGTTCTACTTGAGGGTGGGAGGAGGGAGAGGAGCAGAAAAAATAACTAATGGGTACTAGGCTGAATACCTGGGTGACAAAATAATCCGTACATCAAATCCCCACGACACAAGCTTACCTATATAACAAACCTTCACACGTACCCCTGAACCTAAAATAAAAGTTTAAAAAAAGCCATCTCTGCTAAAAGACTGTAGTGCGATTCAGTGTTTCTCAACTCTGTTTTCACAACAGAAAATGACATCTTATCAAAACTCCAAACCCCAACAACTGGAGCTGAGCTCCTAGCACTGTAACTTCTTATCACGGGTATAGTGATTTTATGAATTCTGCGGGGAATGAAATGCAATTTTGTCAGGCTTGTCTGTGTCCATAATGACCGAGTCAAATTAATCATCTCAGATAATACCCCTATGTCACCCACCCCAGACATGTTTAATAGAATCTTTCTGATTCGAGTCTCACCATACATCAGATCTGGAGTATTGTAGCACTTCTGAAAATCAGGACAATTATGCCTTTTGCTTGGCCTGTCATTTTCCTGGACTAAAAATGCTTCTTAAAAAATAAAAAACTAAAAGTCCATACCATATATAAGCCAAACAGGAGAGAAAAGCCATACCGGTAAAATGAAGCGTGGATTCTGGAGGAGGTGGGGGAGGGGAATGTAATATCTTTTCTCAGCCTTTATCTACAGGCAGAACCTCCAAGCCGAGCCAGGCCACTCACACAGGAGTGCATCTAACACCCTCCCACCGGCAGTGTGCCACGCTGCCAGCCACGGCTGCTCTGTGGCTGTTCCTGACCCCGAAATGCTTGGATCAGGGCAGACAGAGGCATCATAGTGGGACAATGACAGGCAGTCACATTAGACAGGAGTTTTGTTGACTAAAACCCTATCTGGGAACAAACATGATAATCCCCATGTGTTCTCGCTCAGGACACAATCTGACTCAAGCTAAGGTTTCAGCAGCATCCTGGGTGATTCACCGGGCAGGGACGGGGAGGCTCTGGAAAGATACATGATTGGTGGGTGGGTTTGGGGGTCCTTTTCTTTAGGAAGCAGCAGTCCCAGCAGAACTTAAGTAGCAAAAGTCGCAAGGCTGGGGATAACTTGTGGGCAACAGCATCTGAATGAGAAGAGGCAGCCTGAAGCAGGCACTGGCCCCATTTTACAGATAAGGAAGCTCAGTTTTCCAATAAGTGGTAGTCTTTTTTTTTTTTTTTGGAGACAGGGTCTGGCTCTGTCACCCAGGCTAGAGTGCAATAGCATGATCTTGGCTCACTGCAGCCTCTGACTCCTGGGCTCAAGCTATCCTCCCACCTCAGCCTCCTGAATAGCTGGGACTACAGGCACGAGCCAACACACCTGGTTAATTTTTTTTGTAGAGATGGGTTTTTGCCATGCTGCCCAGGCTGGTCTCAAACTCCTGAGCTCAAGCGATCTACCCACCTTGGCCTCCCAAAGTGCTGGGAGTATAGGCATGAGCCACCGTGCCAAACTGTTTTTGTTTTTTTAATTGAATTTTCTTTTTCGAGACAGGGTCTTGCTCTGTTGCCCAGGCTGGAGCACAGTGGCATGATCACAGCTCACTGCAGCCTCAATCTCCCGGATTCAAGCGATCTTCCACCTGAGACACCCAAGGAGCTGGGACTACAGGCGTGTGCCACCATGTCCTACTATTTTTTATTTTTTTGTAGAGACCGGGTCTTGCTATATTGCCCAGACTGGTCTCAAACTCCTGGCCTCAAGCAATCCTCCCTGCTTTCCATTCCGAAGTGCTGGGATTACACGCGTGAGCTACTGTGCCCAGCCTCAAATTACATTTTTATAGCTACATATCCAACTGCCTCTTTGATACTTTACTTCCCTTGGATGTCCTACACAAAAGCCCAGCAAACTTTTTCTGCAGATAATATGTATTTTTGGCTTTGTGAGTCATATGGTCTCTGTCAGAACTATTCAACTCTATTGCTATAGCATGAAAGTAGCCACAGGCAATATTTAAACTTAGGAGGATCCCATGTTCCAGTAAAGCTTTATTTACACAAAACAGGTGGAGGGTCAGATTTGGTCCAAGGGCCATGATTTCTTTGACACGTCCAGAACTGAGCTTGTGGTCATCCTTGTACCCACCAAGTCCATTTCCCCCTCAGTATTCCTCTACCGGTGGCTCAAGCTGGGTACCTGGGAGAGATGTTCAATTCCTCCCTCTCTCATCCCCATCTCCAATCAATCACAAAGTCCTGTCAGCCCCACCTCCCCATGTATCTCAAATCTTCCCACCACAATCCATCTGCAGAGCAACCATCCTAGTCCAAGCGGTCATCACCTCCCACAAGGACTGCTGTAATCACCTCCTCAATGATCTCCTAACTTCTAATCTCTTTCCTTCCAAATTGTTCTCCATAGCAGCCAGGGTAGAGGTTCCACACACAAAACTGATGGTGATACTCCCATTAGCTGATGTCCTCTACGCTCAGGATACAGTGTGTGTGAAACCCTCTCTGTAGCCTGCAAAGTCCTGCATGATCCGGCCCAGTCTCCTTCCAGTCTCACCTCCTATGACACCCCCTCATCGCTATGGCCAGCCTGGATGGTGTCTGACATGCCACGTGCCTTCCTCATTCAGCGGGGACTCGAACATCACTCCCAGGTTCCCATCTCGAGCCACTGGTGGAGGAATACTGAGGGGAAAACATGCTTGGTGGGTATAAGGAGGACCACGAGCTCAGTTTTGGACATGTCAACATTCCTAAATCAGTTCGGATCAGCAAATCACAGGCCGTGGACCAAATCTGGCCCTCCACCATTTTTTCTTTTTTTTTTTTTTTTTGTAAACCCTACACGAATGTGTTTCATGTTCTAAAACCAGCATTACCTCTGCCATTTTTCTATTGTTTTATTCTATGTGTTTGCATGTTACATGCTACAAATATTACTCCCAATTTGTCACTTGATCTTATTTATAACTTTTGCCATATCAAGGGCTTTACATTTATGTTAAAACATTAAATGTATTAATGTATGATTTCTGGCTTTCACATCATGCTTAGAAAATGGCTTCTCCATGCTGGTATTACTAAGACATTCAACCACGACATTTTTTCAGATATGGGCCTGGCTCGATCTGAAGGCTATGATCCTTCCTTACGCCACATGAGTTTCCCACAGTGGCCTCAAAATGGGAGCTCCTTTGGCTCCAAGACATTGCGAGATGCTGAGACTTCCCTTTAAATCACTGCAAGGGATGCCACACCCCATGCACGTGCCCTGCCCTCATGTCAATGCTGGGAGGCCTTACAAGGGAGGTAGGGGTATCCTGGCTCCTACACGATCGCTCCTACACGATCACTCCTGATGCTGTCCTGGGTCACTTACCTCTGCCCATGCCACACGTGGTTGGGAGCTGCTCTTGACCATCCCAGCCGTCGATCAGATAAGTCTCCCAGTTCTTCCACCTCACTGCCTCCACTCCAGCCACGTTCCTCAAACATGCCAGGCACACTCCCACTGCGGGGCCTTGGTGCTGGCTGTTCCCTCTACTGCAATGTCCTTTCCCAGATCTCAACTCCCTCGCCCCTTCAAGTCGTTGCTCAAATGTCACTTTCTCAGCAGCGCCTTCCCTGGCCACCCTGTTTGCAAGTGCAGCTCCTGCTGGCACACCCAGCTCCCCTACCTGCTCAGTTTCCCCACAGAACTTTTACCTGCAAACATACAGTATACTTTACTTCTTTAAAATAATGATTATGGCTGGCTGCAGTGGCTCACGTCTGTAATCCTAGCACTTTGGGAGGCCAGACCACCTGAGGTCAGGAGTTCAAGACCAGCGTTGCCAACATGGTGAAACCCCATCTGTACTAAAAATACAAAAATGATCCGGGCATAGTGGTGTATGCCTGTAATCCCAGCTACTCAGGAGGCTGAAGCAGCAGAATTGCTTGAACCTGGGAGGTGGAGGTTGCAGTGAGCTGAGATTGTACCACTGCACTCCAGCCTGGATGACAGAGCAAGACTCCAACTCAAAATAATAATAATAATAATAATAATAATAATAATAATAATAATAATGATTATTGCCTGTCCCCTTCACTAGGATATAAATTCCACCATTTGGTCACTGATATATTCCAAGGGCCAAGGATAGTACCTTGCACATAGTAGGCCCTCAATAAACATTTACTGAATAAAAGGATGCATGAACGAGTAAGGACTAGGAGTGTTTGACTGCTTTGTTCACAGTTTCGTCTCAGCACCTACACCACTGCCTGACGCACAGTAGGTGCTTAGTAAATATGTTTTGGAGTGAATGAATGAATGAACATCCTAATGGTCTGCTATGGCATTGGGCTCAGTGCTGCACCATCTTTCCTGCAAGCTCTAAGAAGTCAGCAAAGGTCTGAAGCAGCCCGCTCAGTGACGCTGTTCAGCATGAAATCATTCTAACTTGGCCCATCGGGGTCTCCTGGTTCCTTGTCCTTATCTTAGCATCTTCTCATGAAGATCTGAGCCCCTACCTCTGACAGGCTGTGTGACCTTGGACAAATCACTGACCCCTTTCTGGGCCTCAGTTACACCAACTGTAAAAAGAGGCAATTGGATCAAGGGATTTTAAAAATCAAATTCAATTCATGCCTGTGCTCCTTGTATGCAGGTACCCAGGCACACACAAGGCAGTGCTGATTTTAAAAGCAGCAAAAATGATGAGTAGGCTCTCTAGTTGTTTCTGTCTTAAAATAAGCTTCTGGAAAAATGATGTCTATTTGCAGCTTTTTTTTTCTTTCCCATTTCTACCTTCTGAAAATGACAGAAGTAGCATTGCCTAAAAATGTGCCACACGCCAGCTGCCTGTGGATGAAGGCACTTAAGTTCTCTGAGAATGGTCCTCATGAGTGCCCCGAGATCCCAGGACACCAGGCTGAGCAGTGAAGTCCCCTAGAGCACACTGCTCCATGGACACTGCCCTGCTCAGACCCTTCAGAACAGGGTCCCGGCCTCTGCTTGGCATCCAAGGCCTCCTGGACCAAGTCCTGCAACCTTGCCTGATACTAGCCACAGTGAACTCACTGTAGCCCCCAAACACTGCATTCTGTGGTATCACCTAGGTGTGCTGGCCCCTCTGCTCATGCCATTGTCCTCCCAGGTGACATTGAGAGGACTTCCACAATACCCTACTGCCTTCCCAGGTGGTGGCACCACAAATGGGGCCCAGTGATCTGGGCAGAATAGAGCAAGGCCTGCTCCTCTTGCAGCCTGGACCCCGTGCTCCTGTAACTATGCCCCAAACATCCCATCAGGGGGCTGCCACCCAGAGCTCATCCACTCCCCTAAAATGTAGTAAGCATCCACTCTGAACTAGGCTTGTGCTGCAACCTACGGAGTTACCAGTAAAATTTTTAAAAAATATATAGCTCAGCCCCCATAGTCACATTGTTCTGACCTGCTTTTCTATAGCTTTTTTCAAAAAATAGCAGAAACCATTTATATAGCACTTACCATGTGTAGAGGTATCCTTATCCTATGTACTTTTCATACATGAATTTGTTAATCTTCACAACAACTCTATGAGGCAGGTGTTATTATTATAATCATTTCACAGAGGAGCCACAGAGATGGGAAGCTTGCATAAAGCCACACAACTGGTAAGAAGGGATGGAGCCATGATTCCAACTCAATGGTTCAGTTCAGGGGAACTGAATCCGGCCAACAACCAATAGAGGGAACTTGGAAGTAAATCCCCCTTCAGTCAAGCCATCAGATGAGACCACAGCCTTGAGTATCACATTGAGCACAGCCTCCAAGAGATCTTAAGCCAGAGGCACCACATGAAGCCACACTTGATTCCTGGCATGCAGTAACTATGAGATGATTAATATATGCTGGGTGGGTTTTTTTTTTTTTTTTCTGAGACAGAGTCTTGCTCTGTTGCCCAGGCTGGAGTTCAGTGGCGTGATCTCGCCTCACTGTAACCTCCACCTCCCGGATTCAAGTGATTCTCCAGCCTCAGCCTCCTGAGTAGCTGGGATTACAGACACATGCCACCATGCCCAGCTAATTTTTGTATTTTTAGTAGAGATGGAGTTTCTCCATGTTGGCCAGGCTGGTCTCGAACTCCTGACCTCAAGTGACCCACCTGTCTGGGCCTCCCAAAGTGCTAGGATTACAGGCATGAGCCACTGTGCCTAGCCCTAATATATGCTGTTTTTAAAATTAAAAAGCCTAGCTCATGAATTGGCACTCTTAACGACTGTGTGATTCTGCTTCTTTATAAATAGAAGGGACTGGGCTCCCGCATGTGTGATGCTGAGCTTCCATGTTGATTCTGTCTTTATAGGCAGCTCCCGACTGCCTCCTCTCCCATTCTCTAACTGCTCCTCAGGGTAGGCATGTGCCTGTGCCCCACCAGCTTATGAACCCCCTCAGCATGGGCTAATTGCTTGCAGTGCTTGGGGAAGGCAAAGTACACTAGGCCAGCACTTCTCAATCTGTAATGTGCACACAAATCAAGTAGGGATCTGTTAAAATGAAGATTCTGATTTAGGAGACTCTAAATCAGATTCTGGGTGGGGACTGAGATGCTGCATGCCTAACAAGCTCCAGGGGATGCTGCATGTCCATGACCACACTGGGGATAGCACGGCCTGAATCATTAAAAGCACTTTGACTCAGACTAACTGTGGTTCAAATTCCAGTCCATCACATGCAGCTGGGAGTCCTTGACCTCTGAGAAGAGAGACTTACTCAAGGTCACATAATAAATTAGAGTTACCTGGAGCCACAACCAAAACCCAGTGTTCTCACTTCTAGTCCAGAGTCCCCAAACTGCAGATAAATCCACCCTCCTAAGTTCTGAGTCTGGACACATTTGAGTGTGTGTGTGTATATCCCTGTATGTGCCTACACCTGTGAATAAGTGTGTCAGATGTGCTTGTGAATGTGTCTAAACAGCATGTGTACCAGTAGGCTTGTGAGAGTTGTTCATCACCAGATATTAGCTCACCAGATACCAACTCCACTCCTACCCTGTGCCAGGTCCCTGCCCCCACGAAACCCACAGTCTAGGAGGAAAGCAGCCATTAAGCAAATAAACGGAAACTAAAATCTCATTTGTGTGTGCTTGTGCACATGTGAGAGTATTGCTCACACTAGCCCAAGAGTCAGGTGATTTATTATCTCCATTTCACTGCAGAAACTGAGGCAATGAGAGATTGAGTAACTTGCCCAGGAGCACACAGCAATGCTCAATGTGCCTTTCCATACACTGAGCATGCCTACAAGTTGTGTTTGTATTTGCTTATATTTGTGCATGAATGTGTCTGTACACAAGCATGTGTGTTGTCTGTGCCCAGAGAAACTTAGACATCTTCACATATTCCATTAACAAGATTTTCTGGCACCACAGCACAGCATCACAAAAACCACACATACACACACACACATATGCATGTGCTTTAAGTGTTGATGTTTCGGCCAGGTGCGGTGGCTCACGCCTGTAATCCCAGCACTTTGGGAGGCCGAGGCGGGCAGATCACGAGGTCAAGAGATCAAGACCATCTTGGCCAACATGGTAAAGCCCCGTCTCTAATAAAAATACAAAAATTAGCTGGGTGTGGTAGCATGTGCCTGTAATCCCCGCTACTCAGGAGGCTGAGGCAGGAGACTCACTTGAACCGGGGAGGTGGAGGTTGCAGTGAGCCAAGATTGTGATACTGCACTCCAGCCTGGCGACAGAGTGAGACACTGTCTCCAAAAAAAAAAAAAAAAAAAAAAAAAGATGTTGATATTTCAAACATTTCCTAAAACTCTGTCCACAAGGAAATAGAAGTGGAAGGCCAGAGCCTGCAGAGCTGAGCAGATCTGGGGAAGCCCGTGCCACCTGCTTCCCTGGGGCAAGCCACAGCCAGAGCAATTTCACAGCTCATCATCCATTATGAGGCTAAAATAATTCTTTCCCTCCCAGGAAGTTAAATACATTGTTCAAGCGGTAAAAGGCTCGCCCATCCATGCTCTCAGTGGGAATTTACTACCCTGGTGACCGGATTAACACAAGATACAAATGACCAAACCTGGCTAGGTTCCCTTCCCTGCCTGCCCTGTCTCTAAAAATTGAGATACTTGTAAAAATACAATGCCTTGATCTTTCTTTTTTTACACCTTATTGAAGCATAGAATACAACAGAAAAGTGCACAAATCATAAATGTACAGCTCAATGAATTTTCATAAAGTGAACAGATTTGTGTAAACAGCACTCAAAGGAAGGGAGAAAACCTTCCCAGCACCTCTGAAGCCCCTCAAAGCCCCTATAGTCACTCCCCACCCCCCTCTAGGGTAACTGCAATTCACATTCTATCTCCATTGATTAGTTTTGCCTGTTCATGTGCTGTATGTAAATGGCATTGTCTAGAATGTTCTGTCTTGTTGTCTGGTTTCTTTCACTCAACGTGTTTGTGAGACTCATCTGCTTGATGGCATGTGGTTACACATCATTCATTCTCATTGCTGCATAGTATTCCACTGTGTAAGAATATTTCAGAATCATGTATCCAGTCTACTCTTGATGGGCATTTGGATTGTTTTCAGTTTTGAGCTTTAATGAAAAACACTCCTATAAACTTTTTTTTAAGAAACAGTCTCACTCTGTCACCAAGGCTAGAGTGCAATGGAGCAAACATGGCTCATTGCAGCCTCAACCTCCAGGGCTCAAGTGATCGTCCCACCTTAGCCTCTCGAGTAGCTGGGACTACAGGTATGTACCAGCACACCTGGCTAATTATTTAATTTTTTAAAACAGGGGTCTCACTAAATTGCTCAGGCTGGTCTTGAACTCCTGGGCTCAAGCGATCCTCCCACCTCAGACTCCCAAAGTGCTAGGATTACAGGCATGAGCCACCACGCCTGGCCTGAACATACGAAGGCATTTGTGGAGTTGAATTACTGAGTCATAGAGACATATATTCAGCTTTAGATACTGCAAAATGGCATCTATGGTGGTACCAATTTACACAGCAGTGAGTGAGGGTACTGGTTCCTCCAGATCCTTCTCAACTTAGTCTTTTACATATTCTCCGTTTCGGTGGGAGTATACCATGTTAATAAATTTTAAAGCCGGGCACAGTGGCTCACACCTGTAATCCCAGCACTTTGGGAGGCTGGGGTGGGCAGATCACTTGAGGTCAGGAGTTCGAGACCAGCCTGGCCAACATGGAAAAACCCCATTTCTACTAAAAATACAAAAATTAGCTGGGCATGATGGCACATGCCTGTAATCCCAGCTACTCGGGAGGCTGAGACAGGAGAATCACTTGAACCCAGGAGGCGGAGGTTGCAGTGAGCCAAGATCACACCACTGTACTCCAGCCTGGGTGACAGAGTGAGACTCCATCTCAAAAAATACACACATACATACATACATACATACATACATACATTTTAAAAGGCTTCCTCGTCCCTTCCCATTATATCTTTCCTGTTGCAATTGCCAACCATTGTTTATGAAGGCTAGTGGCAACAATAAAACTACAACTGCTCAGTTTACACATGGCACAAGTATAACCACTAGCCACAAACTTCCCACCCTTGAGGGCCATCCCAGCAGTCAATAGCCAAAGGTCACACTGTGCTAACTTTTAAAGCCTTTGGGCAGTTACAAAGAACTTCACTGAAGGTTTTCTTCAGGGGACTTATAAGAGGAAGATCCCACCTCCCAATGCACAGCAACCTTCCTCAGAGCCCTCCTTCCCCATCTCTCTCTCCAAGTGCATGGGTCACTCTCACCGCCTGCTCATCCTTCCCAGCTGGACACACACTCCTCTTAAAGCCATGCGCCCCAGCTCCTCACTCTGCTCTAAGCACCCTCCCAACTATGAGCTCGGCGCCACCGGGTGGCTGTTGGCACAGACCCTGCTACCTCGCAAGCAGATGCATCTTCGAAGGCCTGCATCACTGGCCTGACCCCAGGGCTTCCGGGCCTCTACTTGGGGCTGAGTATGTACCTGTCCCATTTTACCTTACTGAAAATAATGTTTTCCATCTATAAAATGGGGATTTTAGTAGCACCTCAGGCTAACTACCAATTGCTATGTACCAAGCACTAGAATAACCACTTTGGATATAAACACACTTAATTTACTTCTGCATCACTCTGAGGAACTTCTAAAGACAAAATTGAAGCTCAGAAAACTTGGTTAACTTGTCCAAGCTTCCCCAGCCACATGTGTCAAGATTATCATTTGAGCCCAGTTCTGCCTTCTCATGTCATTACCTTTATAACCCAGCTCCTTATCATCATGCCTGGTGGGCTGAAATGTGACACACAGCTTCCAGCCTCATTGCGGGGCCCTCTCAGCATTGGTGTGACTCAGCCAGGTGGGGAAGACCTCTGGGACAGACCATTGTCCCTCCTGGGCGCTCAGGCAGTGGGTGAAGGGGGCTGAGCCCTTGGCTGTAAGTCAACCCGGAAGGTCCCTCAGAGATATTCATCCAATCCCCATTCACAGATGCAAAAACCAGAGCCCAGAGAGGACAAATGACCAGTCTGAGGGGACACAGGGAGAGAGGCTGAGGAGGGGCCGGAACCAGGATCCTGACCCTCCAGAAGATAAGAACCCAGTCCCATTCTGAGAAAGTCCCCACGTCTGGCTTCATTTCCACTTCTTGGTCACCAGTGAGCTCACACACAGCAATGAACAATGTATAAAATCTTCATTCTCTGACCCTCCCCAGTAAAAACTCAGGTCCTACAGGGGATGCTAAGTTCGAGGTGGCTGGGAGGTGGCTGGGAGGGGGAAGGGTGCTGTTTTTAAGAAAATCCTTGAAATCACGTGTCCACCCCACTGCTATCCCCTCCCCCAGGCCCCTGCACTTCCCACATCATCATCATTGTTTCCATCCCATTTAGAGAGAGTGAACATTTCCTGGGATTCAATTTCTCTCATAATAGTTGGAAGGAAACAAAACTATATGCCATAAACATTCACTGCATTGTATGAAAAATATCTTTATGACAGGGGAGGCACCATAAATGCAGACCAAAGTCCTCCCCCCATCCATTCCCCAATGTCTCCATGCCTGCGCCCTCAAATATTTAAACGTCTCATAGGCAGGAATCAAGAGCTTTAAAATAAATATATTTTTGGCCATTGGGATGTAAAATTAAGATTGGTGAGATATAAGTACTCACTCCTCCTCGGCAGTTTTCTCTCAGTGAAAATAAGAGAAGCTAGGCCATTTTTTCTGAGTATGTGTTTAGGGTTGATGGGGAAGAGCTCATTAGTTCAATCTGACATATATACTCAATTCTCTCCATATACACAGGATGGGCTTTTTCCCCCTCCTTGTATTTTATTCTCCAACTGTGAAGTGATATTAAATTTCATCAGATTTGAACAAAATCTATGGTCTTGAAACAGTTTCCTTTAAGGCCTCTGGTATTTATTCAGAACTCATGAATCATGTTCTGATAACACAACCATAATTATTTTTAAAGTGTGATGTTTGTGGCTTTAATAGGAAATGCTTGCAAAAGGCCTTTTCTCTTTGATTGTTTGTAATCTTAGCAGTAATCACCGCTGTTACCTTCTCCGCACCACAGCGGGTGAAACACAATTTCATTTTAATATGAATCGCGAGCTCTTCACCCAGGTTTTAATTAAAGCAATAAAAGCCTTGTCATCTTTGCCCTTTACAGTGTACACAGACTCAGAGGCCAGAATTACTAAGACAGAAATCTTAGATTTCAACAGCAGCAGGAGGGTCGCCTGCCTCCAATACATTTACTGGGGAGGGTTTTTATTTGTTTCGAAGAGCCTCACCCTCCTCTGCCTCTCTGTGCTGCAGTTTCCTCCTCTGTAAAATGGGACAGCAATAGTGCCCACCTACACAGTTAATGTGAGGATGAAATGAGACCACCCATGGAAAACATTTAGCCCCTGAGCCTGAGCCTAAGGAGGTGCAGGGCAAATGTTATTGATCATCGGTATCATCATTTAGTGCTGGAAAAAACAGACCATCTACCCTCATTATTCACATGAGGAAACAGGTTCAGAGTGATACCAGCACAGGTGAAGGCCTAAGAGCAGGGCGGAGCCTCGAACTCAGAGCTCCTGGCTCTTTTTCCCATTCTGGGCATCTGACACTGCCCCCTGCTGGAAGGAGGCTGTGACTTTGAGGCCGCAAGGACCTCAGTGCTCAGGGAGCGGCAGGTCTGAGTTCTCCTCTAGAAGCTGAACAGCACCTTGTCTTCTGGCCTCCTGATGGTACCATCTCCCCACCCTAGTGGGGAGATGCTTGATCCAAGTGGTGAGAGAAACAGACCAGGCAAACTTGGGGATCTGTGAAGGAAGGTTGCTGCACAAACATGATGGTGGTGCTGGAACCAAGAGCAAGAATCACGAACTCCAAGTTCTTGTGTGTCTGTTGCATGCCAGGTGTGGTGTGAGGCACTGAGAAGCCTCATTCTGTAGCATGAGGATGTTGGCCTGTATGACATGATGGCTGTACTCCAGCACACGTTCTGCTGGAGCATCGGGAAGGGATGCTACAGGGGCAGTGGGGCCAGGGGCCACACTGGGTGCTGCGCATGCCCTGTGAGGCTCACAGCCAGCAGGTTCACATTTGGTGGCACACACCGCACCCCAGAGACCTGAGAGCTCCCCAGGGAGCACCTCATGTGTAAGTCCCCAGAATCTTTATGTTCAATTGTGCAGTGTCATTCCCCTTGCAAACAGCTCTGGAGCCACTGGGATTCTCACTCTAGGAACAAAGTACCCTATTTCCCAGCCTTGCCTTAGAACACGCCTTCTGCTTGCCTCCTGCCTCAACAGGAATTTCAGAGGAACTGACATCCTTCTCCCTCTCCACTGCCCCATCCATTCAGACCCCTGCTGATTGTCCCTATAAATCCCATCACACCCAGCCCCATCAGCATCCAGCCCCTCATTCTTCCAGCCTTCAGTTCTGGGTCCCACCTTCCCATCCACCCTACCCCGGCATCCTTCCAGGGCCCTTCAGCTCAGCCACCATGCTGTGCTGGGCAGTGGGCTCCTCACCTCCCAGGAGCTTCTCCCCCATGCAGCTCCCTGCTCCCCAGGCATACCAGGCCCCTGCCAATGCCATGGCCTGCTCACTTCCAAAATCACCAGCCAGCGTCCCACTCTGAATAAGGTGTCCTTGCCATCCAGCTGCTCCCCACTAGCTCTTTAGCTGCACTGGACCCCAGGCCCTGGGACCCGTCTTCTCTCTAAAAGCAGCTTAGATTCCCTGATCCTTTACATTAGTCTCTTTTGAGTAAAAAAAAGCTGTTGTGTCCTTCTGGTGCAACTGCCTGGCAGATCTCTTGCCCTGGATTAACCCACCTGTCTGCCCCACAGCACAAGCACCGGGAGCTCATTCTCCCATGCCCCACAGCAAATACCCCAGACCTCCCCACCACCTCTCACCCGCAGTCCCCTGGCTCTTGGCCCACCAACTCTCTGAGAAGACTGACACCTTCAGGTGCAGACACCCTCTGCTCCCAGCCAACCCATCTACAAAGCCACACTCCTTTTCTCTGCTGTCCTCCACACCCAGCACTCCCAGCTAAGGCCAGAGCCACCACCTCTGAGCAGGATCCAGACCCTCCCACTTTCTCTGAAATCTGAAAGCATCCCTTAGCCTTTCCCCCTCCTAAACCCAGAGCTTCACCCTCTCTCCTGACACTTTCCATTGATGACTAAATATTCTAAAGACTTTTCTTTAAAAAAAAAAAAAAAAGAAAATCCCTTCTATGGAATCTTCATCTCATTGAGCTCGGCCCTGGCCCTTGTCCTGCACAGCTAAATTTCTCACACAAGTTGTCTATATTTACTGTTTACATGTCCTCACCTCACGCTTCTCAATCTGCCCATGGGACCAGAACAATGACCCTGCACATCAAAACTGCTTATACTGAAGCCCAGAGTCACTTCCTTTTCGCTAAGATGACTGGACACATTTCAACTTTCATCTCACCCAATCCCTCAGAAGTGTTTGAGCTAACTGACTCTCTCCTTCTTCTTACATTTTATTTAACTTTCTAAAGTTATAATAAATTCCCATGGTTTAAAACTCCCTAAACATAAAAAGATACGGTGAAAAGTCTTTTTCTATCCCTGCCCAGCACCTGCACAGTTCCCATACCACGCACACACACACAGAGGTACATGCATGTACAACGCGCAAAGCCACTCTAGCGTCCATGTATCCTTCCAAGGTTATTTAATCAAATGCAAGCACTTAGAAATATACATTCTTATCACCTTTTTGTATAAATGGTAGCATACTGTACTGTTTTACATCTTTTTTAGTAAAGCAATATCAAAATGAATAGTCTTGAATATGTCATTTCTCATATGTACAAATATATCTGTAGGGCATATTTCCAAAAAAACGAATTGCTGGGTTAAAGGTCAATGTATTTGCAATTTTGATAGATGTTGTCCATTTACCCTGCCCACAGAAATGTATAAAGTACCTGTTTCCCCATAAGAACTCCAACCGAGTGTGTTATCAAACCTTTGGATTTTGGTCAATCCAATTGGTAAAAAATGGCTGTCTTATGATTTATGAATGATTCTTAGCACTTTTCACATACTTAAGAGCCACTTGTATTTCTTTTTCTGTAAACTATTGGTTCATATCTCCTTCCTTTTTTTCTACCAGGGTTTTGAACTGATCTCTAGCAAGTCTTCATGTATAAGGGTGATTAGTTCTTCAACTATGGTGTAAGTTGAAAATATTCTTGCCCAACTTTTGTCTACTGACTTTACTTATGCTGGTTTGGCCATACAAAAGTCATATGTTGATTTTATGTTAATTTTTATATTTATATTAATTTAGTTTTATGTTAATTTATGGTCCAATTTTAAGTCTTTTCTTCTGAGGCTTTAAATAGTAGAAATGCCTTCCCCACACCAAACTTGTAAAGTATACCTTAAGGTTTGTTTTGCTGGTGCCTTTATGGTTCCCTTGAGTATGTTTAAATGTTTGATTTAACATTTATCAAATCATTTTTTATTTTTAATTTTTGTGTGTACATAGGTGTACATATTTATAGAGTACATGAGACATTTTGATACAGGCATGCAATAAGTAATAATTACATCATGGAGAATGGGTTATCCATTCCCTTAAGCATTTATCCTTGTGTCACAAACAACCCAATTATACTCTTTCAGTTATTTTAAAATACGCAATTATTGACTATACTTTGTTGTACTATCAAACATTAAATCTTATTCATTCTATTTTGTACACATTAATCATCCCCATGTCCCCCCTCTGCCCCACTACCCTTCCCAGCCTCTGGTAACCATCCTTCTACTCCCTATCTCCATGGGTTCATTGTCTTGATTTTTAGACCCCACAGATAAGTGAGAACATGCAATGTTTATCTTTCTGTGCCTGGCTTATTTCACTTAACATGATGATCTCTAGTTCCATCCATGTTGTTGCAAATGGATCTCATTCTCTTTGTATGGCTGAATAATACTCCATTGTGTATAAATACCACATTCTCTTTACCCATTCATCTGTTGATGGACACTTAGGTTTCTTCCAAGTTTTAGCTTTGTGAACAGTGCTGCAACAAACATGGAAGTGCCGATATCTTCAATATACTGATTTCCTTTCTTTGGGGTATATACCCAGCAGTTGGATTGCTGGATCATATGGTAGCTCTATTTTTAGTTTTTTGAGGAACCTCCAAACTGTTCTCCACAGTAGTTATACTATTTTACATTCCCACCAACAGTGTACGAGGGTTCCCTTTTCTCCATATCCTCACCAGCATTCGTTATTGCCTGTCTTTTGAATATAAGCCATTTTAACTGGGTGAGATCACATTTCATTGTAGTTTTGATTTGCATTTCTCTGATTGTCAGTGATATTGAGCAACTTTTCATATGCCTCTTTGCCATTGCAGGTCTTCTTTTAAGAAATGTCTATTCAAATCTTTGGCCCATTTTTTAATTGGATTACGAGATTTTTTTTCCTATAGAGTCATTTGAGCTCCTTATATATCCTGATTACTAATCTCATCAGGTAGTTTGCAAATACTTTCTCCCATTCTGTGGGCTGTCTCTTCACTTTGTTGATTGTTTCCTTTGCTGTACAGAAGTGTTTTAACTTGATGTGATCCCATTATCAAAGGATTTTATTTATCCTTTGATAAATTTTAAGGAACTGTGGATCCAACATCCTTTTCACCTAGATCCCCTCTCTTCTTGAATTACTCTGCCCGTGGTTTCTAAGACTCCAAGTTCTCCTCCTACTTCTCAAACCACTCCTTCTTAATCTATTTCACAGTCTTCTCCTCCTCTACTTTGCCTTCAAATGTTGGAGCTCAACATCTCAGAGTCATTGGTCCTCTGCTCTTCTCGTTCTTCCCTCTCTCCATAAATCTCCTTCACTCCCAAGGTTTTGATATCATGGGCTGAAGATTTCCAAATTTACTTCTCTTATGAGCTCAAGATTTGTACCATCATCTATCTACTTGAACATCTCCATGTGGATGAGCATCTCAAATATAACACATCCAAGTCTGGCATCATCAAACCTGCAAATCCCCAGGGTTTCCCCAACTCAGAAAATGGTACCACCATGCCTGAAAATGGGCTCATGGTAGAAGCCTAGGAGTCATCCTTTACCCCTCCGTTTCTCTCTCCCTCTATGTCCATCACTGTCAAGACCCACTAACTTTATCTCCAATGCATCTACTTCTTTCCATCCCCTCTGCCACAATCTAGATCTTGATCCTTTACTTGGCCTATTACCAACCCTCTCAACTTGGTCTCCCTGTATTCATTCTTGTCATTGAGAGCTTTTAAGACTGCAAATCTGATGTCATTCATGTCATTCAGTCTGACTCTAATACACACACACACACACACACACACACACACACACAAGTTCTTTCAATAATTCCTGTAAAAAATGTGAGCTCTTTAGCAGAAGTGGTATTTAGAGCTAAGAGAGTGGAAAACTCTACACACAGCCAGGAAGGCTGTGATGAGGAGGTGACATTTGCAGTGCCCCTGAAGGAACAAATAGGCATTTGTTGGTTGAAAAACACTAGGGGATTCCCATCAGAGGAAACAATGCATACAAAAACACCAAGTTGTAAATGAGCGCAAGAGGTGAACAGAAGCTCTTGTGTGACCAAAGCATTATATATGGTAAAAAATAATAAGTCATAGCTAGTTTTTCTGACTCTGGTTCTTTACATACTCTTAGTTTAGCTTCCTCTGAAGTACAGCCTGAGATGGGGATGCCTGTGAAAGTGACTTGAAGAGGGCTCTTAGAAGAAGGGCGGGAGGGAGGCAGGACATGACAGGGGAGGAGCTGAGTAAAGATTTGGCCTTGGTGGCTGGAGTCTGGCTGGATTAGCTGGAGCCCATGAGGAGTTGCAGAGTTGGTCACTCCTTGAGATAAGGATATCGGTTTCTAGACCTCCCCTTCTATCCTCTCCTGGGTTCACAGTTCCAATTTTCCAAAGAAAGAGTAGCTGTGAATAGTTAGCAGCCAACACTCACAGCAGCTGAATGATGAGCAGGACTCTGGTGAGGCAGCAACAGAATCCACAATACACACACACCTCATTTACTTCTCATGACACTCTAGGAGGCAGACGCTGCTACTCCTCCCATTTGATAGGAAGCTGCTATCACTTGCATAAGGAAATCTGGCCCATGCTGAGGCATGGAGGAGCTGGAATTTGAATCCAGGTCTGCTGAGTCCCAAGCCCACTTCCCTTTCCTCCTCACCTCGTCCCAGGAAGGAGGAGACTCTTTCTGGGTCACATCATCAGGAAATATCCATTTCTGTAACTCCTGGACAGAGTCTGCTCTCAACAGGAAAGAACTGACCTCTACCAGGTCCTCTACCCCCCTGGAGCTGCTGATGGGGACACAGCCCTATCTGAGAATTATATCTCATTCTCAGGCCACCCCGGCAAGTCTGGTACAAAAGTAACCCAAGGTCCAAGGAGGGAGAGGGAGTGTGATCATTTGTAGAAGCTAAAGCAGCTATGGGAAAATTTATGTGGAGTCTTGCAAAAACCAAACAATGGAGAATGTATTTGCAAAAAAAAACACTTCAAGCCCGTAGAGCGGCGGTGAAAGTTTTCAAAAAGGGACACAGTCAGCTAATACATACCCTAGGGGAACCTCTGTCTCAGCTGCGGTTTCTAAGTAAAGAAGATGGCATCTCAGGAGAAGTGTTACATTAAAGAACAAATTTGTAATACGATTTGAATGTTCTGGGCCAGACATAGTGACTCACGCCTGTAATCCCACCACTTTGGGAGGCCGAGGTGGGCGGATCACTTAAGGTCAGGAGTTCAAGACCAGCCTGGCCAACATGGTGAAACCCTGTCTCAACTAAAAATACACACACACACAAATCAGCTGGGTGTGGTGGCAGGCACCTGTAATCCCAGCTACTCGGGAGGCTGAGGCTGGAGAATCACTTGAACCCAGGAGGTGGAGGTTGCAGTGAGCCGAGATCAAGCTACTGCACTCCAGCCTGGGTGACAGTGAGACTCCATCTCAAAAATATATACATATATTGATTGGATGTTCTGGAAGCAAATGTTTTCCAGAAATGGCTTCCCACTGATATTCACAGCCTTGCATATAACAGGTGTCCAATAAACATTTGCTGATTGGGTGAACCTTGTATTTAACTGTATTTATAAAACATATTTTAAGCCATTTAGAGTGTTTATCCTCTGAATCCTCTAGTGGCTGTGAGGGCTTCATTTTACCCAAATGTTGATGTCAATCCTTAATCCAGTAATTTGGACAATACAATTCTTGCAGTTGATGAGACAACACATTGTGAGAGGGTGTTCACGTGTATGTGTGTATGTGTGTGTGTGTGTGTGTGTGCGCGCGCGCTCGCGTTGTGAGTTCAAGAAGCACTCCAGGGAAAAGAGGAAGGAAATATATAGAACTTTCATCATTCAAGTCTAGAAGCTAGTAGGGTCCCACTGAGCTGCAAGGAGCTATAGGTACCAGAAAAGTCTAAGTTATTTTTCAACAAAATCATCATGAATCATATCCCATATGTTTCCTACATGTGGTAGTTTGTAAAAAGGCCACAATATTTTGCAGCCTTTCCCATCAAGAGGTAGAGGCTATTTCTCCATTCCTTGATCTAGGCTGGTCCTGTGACTGGCTTTGACCAATAGAATGTGTTGGAAGTAGATGTGTGTTTATTTCAAGCCTGGACCTCAAGAAATCTTGCAATTTCTGCTCTTGCTGCTCTGGGAACCCTTCTCCTACCATGTGAACAACCTGGAGCTAGCCTGCTGGAAGCTGAGAGACCATGTGGAACACAGGTGAGCCTCCCATACCAACCAGCCCACTGCTGATCTGGCAATGTATTGCTGCTGCTAAAGTGATCCTAAGCAAGGCCAGAAGAACCACCCAACTGAACTCAGTTAAACTGCTGACCCACAAAATCATTAACCAGATAAACATTTGTTGTTTTAAGCCACTAAGTTTTGAGGTGTTTGTTATGCAGGAAAAACTAACGGATACACTATAAGAAATCTAACTGCAATTGCAAAATTTGTTCACATTAAGATTGGCTCATGCCACTGGCTAGACTTAATTAATCTCAGAGAATTTTGATATCTTCTTCATAAAGTCCTAAGTTAGGGAGACCCTCTGGGTCACAGCATAAAAGATTTAGAAGGACCCTCAGGAAGTCCAACCACCTTGTTCCACTGTTAGGGACATTGAAGTTCAGAGAAGAGCAGGGGCTACCATCACTCATTACACAAATATTTTCTGAGTGCTCTCGGTGTTCCAGACACTATGCCCCACTGGGATACACAGCATTGGACCAGAGAGACCAGATCCTTTCCCCATGGTGGTCACAGTTTAGGGTGGAAATCAGGCATTAACTAAGTCATCACAAGGTAAGTAGATGACCACTGTGACAAAAATTATGAATTTTTGTCACTATGAATTAAAAAGACCTGGTGCCATTTTAATGAGAATCATGGAAAGGGGACCTAACGTGGGTTTGGCAGTCACAAAGAGCTCTCTGCAGAAGTGACATTTAGGCTGAGGCAAGTCAGTGGACAAGGCAAGGGAGGCTTGTGGAGCTCCGAGTCTGAGCTTCACAAGTTTGAATGCCAGCTCTAGTGCTCCCTGGCTGAGTCACCTTGATTGAATCAGCCAACATCCTTGATCTTCAGTTGCATCATCTATAAAATTGACTGAACAATAACGTCTACTCATTCTCGAGGCTGTTGTGAAGATTAGCTGAAATAACCATTGAGAAAAAGGCTTTGCAAGCTGCAAAGTGTTGGGGGAATTGTTGAGGATATGACTGTTAATGGTTTGGGGAGGGTGACATTTATTTGTACCAAGTCTCCTCTCCAAACGACTGTGCTCTCCTCTGCCGAGGCCTAGAGCAGACACAGAGCCCCACTGAGTCCCACTTTTCCTTCTTGGTGGAAGGACATTGCCAATGCTTTCCAGTAGGTTCCAGAACAGAATTCACCATAATATAGTTCTGAAAACCAGGGCTCAATATGTTAACAAAAATACTATTTAAACATTGTGAAAAGGCTCAGATGAGATGTCAGGGCTAACTCTGGTCTGCTGAGATGAGACTTCAGTTGATTATGTACAATTAAATGACATCAGTGTACTCTTCCAAAATAACCACTTCCAAGGCCTGGAGTCTTGCCCACCAGTCTTGCATGTTGGCGCATGTCAATGCAATATAAAGGCAGCTTTGCAGCAGCAGCATTATGCTCACACAGGGACAGGCCAGAGAGGGGCATGGTATGGTGGCCCCGGCATGAGCGATCCTGCAGCGGCAGGGGAGGGGGCGCAGCACCCTGCAGCAGAGCTTCCATGCCCCACTGAGACTACAGTATCTTCCTCACTAGTAGTGCCCCCTAGGGCCACAGGCCCATGTCTTACTCATCTATGGCCTCCATGGGACCTGTCACAGAATAGGGACATAAATATTTGTGAATTAATAGGCTTCTATTGCCCCATCTGGAAAATATGTGCCCAGCCTGATGGCTGAGGGGCCACCCAACTTGGACTGCCATAGCCCCCACAATGGCAGAGACAGAGGGTAGAGGTCAGCTCCAGGGCCGGGGTTGCCCTCCAGCTTCCCAAGTTTCTCAGCAGCTATAACCCTCCTTGGCTCTCCAATCAGTGTCCCGAGCTGGTCCCACCCAGCAAGCACCACTGCCTTAGGGAACCATCCTCCACGATGCCATGCCTGTAATGAGAATACTTCCTGGTATCACATTCTGCCATGAGGACCCTCCCTGGGGTTCCGGCCTGCAGTAAGGACTCTCCCTGGGGCCCCCGCCTGCAGTGAGGACCCTCCCTGGGGCCCCAGCCTTCAGTGAGGACCCACCCTTGCATCACTTTCTGTAGGGATGACATTCCCCAGGGTCCTGGCCTGCAGTGAGGACCCTCCCTGATCTCAGCCTAGAGTGAGAACCCTCCCTGGGGTCCCAGCCTGCAGTGAGGACCCACCCTGGCATCACATTCTGCAGGGAGACCCTCCCTGGACCCTCAGCCTGCAGCAAGGACCCTCTGTGGCATCATAGTCTATAGTGAGGATGCTCCCAGCTGAGAGAAACATTAATTTTCAGAGACCAGGCTCTCAGTGGAAAATCTGATTCCAACTGGCAACTATGACCCCCCAGAGGGCCAGGCTGGGGTTCGAGACAGCCTTGCCCAGGAATGACTCTGCTTCCTTTGCCACCAGTAAGACCTTCTGCTCTCTTTCCTTGTGCCCTGTCCACAACCCTCCCCTGTGGCCTTCAACAACTCCCAGCAGGCAGGAGAACCATGCATGCCTACGCAAGGGCATGTGTGCATCCAAACCAGAACATGTCCCCGTGGGTGCTGTGTGGTGGCAAGAGGCAGGCGGCACCAGAGAGCAGCAGGCACCTCAACTCACTGCTGCTGAAAAGCTGCCCCAAGCGTGGGGAGTATGGGCAATACATTTCAAGTTTCATCAAGTTCCCAATCCATTTTAAGCCAACAGTAGCCAGGTAGTTAATTTACGAACACTATAGTCCCACTTTGATTGTACCTTTTAAGGAGACTATTGCTATTCTTGATCATTCAGAGAGAAGACAGCAGCGGGCTGTGCTGGCCCCATTCTGCACCCCCTACCTCCACCCAGGAACAGCTCAGATCCAGCCAGCCCAAATCTTAAGACACCCGTTCAGGGAGGATGAGGCACCCACCTGGCTGGTTGACAGGAGCTCTGGGTTTCCGTCACTCATCCCCACGTAGGCACTGTCACCATCAAACTAGAATAGAGAGAGAGGGAGAAGCAGCTCTGATTAAAATGCTCTCAGGAAGGCACCAGGAGAAGCAGCCGGAGGAGGGCAGGGGACTGACTGCAGGGGACTGTGGGAGCTGCAGAAGGCAAATCAGAGCCCAGGATGCCCAAAGCCCCATTTCAGCAGGGCTACCTCTAGGGTGGAAGGAGCAGCCCCTGTTCCACGGCCCTTGAGTGCTCAGGTTCATGCTGTTAATCACACTTACAATGCAAATAGGAAAACCTTTCTGCCCTCTATAACTTGTCCATAGACACAACAGGCTGCCTTGCCATGTGCTGAGCTGCCCATCCTTGGAAGTATGCAAACACCTCCCTTGATCAAAATTATATCAGGTGATCAGCTAGAGCTGGAATCCCATGTGCTGGGGGAGGCCAAGAACACCAGAGCCTTGGGATCATGACAGCCTTCCCCAGACATGCCCTCCGGGTCCTGCCATCCTGAGTGGTTTTGGCCCATCACCTATGCCATCCCAGCCCCTAGGGCCACGCCTGGCTACAGGCAGTGAGGACTATGGTAGAGACCATGTACAGGAACTATATCCTGTGTGCAGAGAAGCTGCTAAGTCTGGATTCAGGAAGATTTCCCTGTAAATCTGCCTAAAAAGTCAGGAGCAGGTGCAGGGGAAGAGATGTGGGCTCTGGGACCCCCGCCTCCCTCTTTGCCCTGAAGTGTGATCTCAAGTTGGTGCCTCAACTTCTGAGATTCCTCATCTGTTAAATGGGGATGGTGCCTGTAGGCCCCTCCTCATAGGATGTTGCACTGTAGAGCACTTGACTCAACACATTAATATGGAGAGGACTTAATTCCAGTTAGTTCCCTTCCCTTAAGCTAGGTATCTTAGATAGGGTTCCCTAGAAGGAGAGCCTGAGGCAAGGGTTCAGATGCATGTGGCTATTAAGAAAGTACTCCTTGGGAATAACCTGTAAGTGTGGGAGGCAAGCCGGACAGGAGTGGGTACAGCTAAGCAAGGATGTGGTCTTGCCTGAAGACTTCTTTCAGCCTGCTCTGATGGGGAACTCTGGGGCATGAATTGTATGCAGAGTTAGTACCAACACGAAGCAAGGGGTGGCTGTTGTAGCCCAGGTAAGGAAGTCATAGGCCATGGGCTGCCCTTAGGGGACATGGGGAGACATAACCTTCTGAGCAAGGTGGCCCCCAATTGACCAAGCACAAGTCTTCAGAGAACTATACTGGCTGTGAGCCATTTGCAGGCAGCTTGTGCTCAAGGCAGGTGGGAGATGTCTGTGCTGGTCAGTAAAGGGTTCTGAGTGGGGCACCAATAGCAAACAGCCATTTTATTTTAATTGAACCATTTATTTATTAAGATATATTCACATGGTTCAAAATTCCAAGAGTACAAAAAGCAACACCACCCCACCTCCCAGCCATCCACTGCCCCTCTCCAGAGGCAACGTCTACCAGCTTTTTTATATCATTTCAAAGACTGTCTACATATACACATTTTAGAGTCATTTATTCTATTCATGACAGCATGCTATACAGTTTTGCACTTTATTTTTCTCTTAGCAACACATCTTAGAAAATGTTTTATATCAGAACATAGTTCTTTTTTCTGTACCCAGTATTCCACAGTGTGGATATAACACATATATTCAACTAGCTGAGCACATGGGTAGTTGCATTGTTTCTAGTTTTCTGCTATCCCAATATTGCTCCCATAAATATTTTTGTGCATCTGTTATTGAGCATAGGTGTGAGTTTATCTGTAGGATTCATTTGTGTAATTGCTGGATCCAACTGTATGTGCATTTGTAATTTAGACAGACATCACCCAGCTGCCCTCACGGAGGCCGTAGAAATCCACACGCCCACAACCATGTGAAATGTCTGTTTACCCAGCCGCCTTCACTCAGAGAAGCTTTGCTTGATAACTGGCTCAGATGCCAGCCCCAGCCCCTGTGGGCTGAGAGCCCACCACCCTTTCTACCACCATTTTCGACGCGCCCTCGCCCCGCCTTCCCTTGGTCTTTGTTCCGAAGTCCCTGTTACCTTCTAGCATTCTCTATATTTACTATATTCATTGCTTATGATTAGATTCCTCTTACTAAAATGGAGGCTCCCAGGGATCAGGGATCTTTGTCTATCTGTACCTTGATGTCTCCCAAGCTCCTAGAACAGTGCCTGGCACAGAGAAGGTACTCAATAAATGTTTGTTGAATAAGTAAATAAAGCAGTCACTACCACATGCAGATCACCTCTGACCAGGCCTATCTTCCCATCTAGGCAGTTGGGTTGATGGTTACACCAAAGAGCCTCCCCAGCACAGGGACGGGGAGAGTCCCTTGGTGACTACTGGATGATTTAAAAAAAGGTTCTTCCATGCCTAGAGTTTGGGCACTGACCCCAAATGCAGGACTCCATCCACCACACTGCACACAGAGCTCATGCTGCAAGACCCTGCTCAGAGGCTACCTCCTCCAGGAGGCCTGCCATGCTCGCATCTCCTCTGGCTGTTGCTCTTATAACATAGACTGTCTCCACATTTGTCATCTGTCCCAGAGTGGAAGCAACATGGAGGCTGGAACTGTGTCTGGTCATCTCCAAATCTCCCAGAGCCTGGCATTAGGGATGGGGCTATAAATTAGGCAGGGTGGGGGCGCTCTCAGCAAAAGCTCCTGGGTACTTGACTTGATGTGTGACCATGGCCATTGATCATTTTGACAAAAGTAAAATTTTTTAAAAATCACATGTAACTTATAAGTAGACCCTAATAGGAAGAATAATTGGAGATGGAGGAACATTAAGTTTAATGAAGTGTTTGAAACATTTTATAAAGCAATAGTAATCGAACAGTATGGTATAGGAATATGCATGAGAAACAGAGGGAAAGATGTCCAAAAAACCTTTGAATGGTCACCATTTATTAAATGCTGGTGAGAACAGAGCCACTGCAAGGCAGGGGCCAACATCTGCTTCATTCCCCGATAAGCACAGTAGACAATCAATAAATATTTGGTGACAGAATGAATATTCCTGGTACTGAGCAAAATGCTTTACATAAAAGACCTCATTTAATCCTCACGATGATCCAATGAAGAAAATATTCTTTTCCCTGCTAAAACCAAGCAAACAGATAGAGAGAGGATAAGCAGTTGTCCAAGATCACACAGCTGGGGAGAGATGGGATTTAAGAGTCCCTTGTTGGATTTTTTCTGCTTGGACTCTCCCACTAGCTGCAAGTGCATTCACAGCAGGGACCAATGCTTTTCTAGAGCCTACTATATAATCAATAGTCTGCCTTGGGCCTGGCGCATAACAGGTGCTTGATAAGTGTGTTAGAGGTTCAGGAGAGGGAGGAATTATCCACAGAGAGCAGTGGGAATGGTACTGGAGATGTAGGGCAAGGGGGCCTGGTCTCCGACACGAGTGTGTTAGGGGCAGGCAAGGGGGTGGGCAGTGGATTCCCATGAGGTCACCAGAGCCTGTCTTATTCATTCACTCCTTTATTCAACCAATGTCTAGGAAAGAGCTGCCACGTGCTGTAGTAAAGCTTGCTTCTGGCTTTCAAGGGGCACTTGAGAAGCTGGCAGAGGTTCCCGAGGCAGGGCCTGAGTCTCCTCAGTTCAGTTACCCTTGGGCACCTTGCACAGTGCCCTGGAGCCTGCTGGGCTCAGAACCAGCTGCGGAGCAGCAGTGAGCAGAGGCCCTGAGTGGGCGGGGAGGCCTGTTCTTTGCCCACCTCTGCCAGGGTTCCACCACATCGGAGCCCTTGGAGGGCATGAAGGAATAGTTGGGGGACACTGAGGGTTCCCAGGCTCCCTCTGGCTTGGCTTCCAGTACTCTAAGGCCTGGGGCTTACCCCTGCAGCCCCCTCCTCATTTGGGACCTTTTCTGGCTAAATGAACTTGGAAGCCAAGGGGAGAGGTCACAAAGTCACCTCTGCCCTCAGACACAGCAGGGCTACTTCCTCCTCCACATGTGCACAGACAAGATCAAAAACACCCACATCTACACCCACCGCAGTGCATACACTGTGTGAACACAAAGGTATATGATGTACACCGTGTGCACAGCATGGGCAGCACACACACACACCACAAACCCATGTTTGTGTGGACCCAGGTCATGCAGCACAGCGTTCAACACGGCAGCGTTCAGCTCACTCATGTATCATGTCCATGGGTAACACCAACCAACGCACACACAGCACAGGCATGAGTGTGCACATGTCAGAGACCTTTATACAACTGGGCACACAATAACCACAGCACGCACACAAGGAAAGCAGGGTGTGCCCATATGTGTACAAACATTCCATGCATCTGCAGCCATTTAAATGTAACTCACACAAATGTGAACACAAACATATACTGAATGTGCATACAGAGACATACAAAGCAAAGATGCACATGAACTTCAATTCTATGCATATTTCACAGTTTATCAGTTCCTTGGTCAAAAATCTTTTTTTCATACCACACAGCCTTCCCTATGCTTTAAAATGTGAGAAAAAAATGCAGGGAGAAACAACAGCTTAAGAATTTCCATGAACGCCAGGAGAACATCCTCTTACCAGTGACTGGAATAGATTAATTTTCCCCATTTCATATTCTAATTATAATTCCTTTTCCCATTGCCATCTTCAGTCCTCATTACAGCTGGAAGATTGTTCTGCAAAAGCCAGGCCTTCATCTTCTCTTCCCAAGAGTTTTGTCATGGAAATGAGTTTTGGAATCTGAAAGAACCCACATTTTTGCAAATATCGAATGTGTAGGGATAACCCTTTCATGACGGCCACCGGGGACACAGCTTACAGGGGCTTCTAAGGCATCTGTCTCTCCCCTACCTCTCCTTTCCCTGTGTGGTCCCCTCAGGGAAAAGAGCTCCTCGGCCCCTATTCCAACAGCCAGCCCCCAACCTAAGCACACCATGCTTCCCCAAAGGATTTTTTAAGGAAACTTAGCAAATAGGCAGCCAAGGTGAGGAGCCCTGATCTTAGACAGTCAGATCCCAGGTCCATCTGTGCCACCTTGGGCAAATTGCTTAACTGCTTTAAGCCTCAGTTTTCTCATTCTTATGACCACAGAGTCACTGATTCATGACAGGTATAAATAAAATATTTGTGGGGTAAACAGATGTGATAAGTGGGTAGATGAATGGATGGAAAGGAGGAAGGAGTAAAGGATGGGATGGATGGATGGGCAGATGGGTGGACGAATGGATGGGTGGATAGATGATTGATAGATGGGTGATGGATAGACGGATGATCGGCAGATGACGGACGGGTGAATGAATAGATGGGTGAGGGATTGTACACATTAGCACTGTCCAACAGAAATATAATAAAAGTTACAAATGTGACCCACATATGTAATTTTACATTTTCTAGTAGCCACAGTTTTTTTTATGGGGTACATGAGATGTTCCAACACAGGCATGCAAAGTGTAATAATCACATCATGGAGAATGGGTTTCCATCCCCTCAAGCATTTATCCCTTGTGTTGCAGACAATCCAATTATACTCTTTTCATTATTTTTAAATGTAGTAGCCACTGTTTAAAAATATTAACAGATAAATAAAATATATCATCAAAATTAAGTTTAACTCAACATATTCATAACATGATTTCAACATGTAATCAATATAAAATGATTATTAATGAATGGTTTATTAATGAGATGGGTGGATGGACAAATAGATGGGTGGTTGGGATGTATGGATGGGATGGCTGGGATGAGAGGGAGGAGTGGATGAATGGATAGGTGAAAAGGGATGGCTGCATGAGTGTGAACAGACAAGTGTATGGGAAGAGTATTGGGATGGTGGACGAGATGAACATGGATGGGTGAGATGGGTGTTGGGGATGCGTGGATAGATGCCTGGACGTGTGGGTTCCCGGGTGGGTAAAATGGGTTGAGTGGTTGGGTGGAATGGATAGGCGCATAGCAATGTGGGTCTGGCATTTCCTTCTCACTCGATTCACACTTTCTCTGGAAAATGTCATGGCTACTCACGGTTGCAACATCACCAATTCTCAAATCCTCATCTTTAGCCAAATTACCTCCAGATTCTAATATATAGTTTTCTCCCTATCTCCCCCATTTGCCCATGAGCACCTCAAATTCAACACCTCCAGCACTGAACTCATAACATGTACATGGACTTGCTGTTTCTCCAGCACTCCCCTGTCTTAACAGAAACTGTCACCTTCCACACAGTCCCACAGTCAGTACCCCTGGGGTGACTCTGGTCTCCCTGCCATCTACATCCCTCTGATCCAATCACCTGCAACATCCTTCTGCTGAGCTTCCCTAAGAGTATGCTGAGTGTGAACACAAAGGTATACAGTGCATGTGGTATGCACAGCGTAGGGGCACACACAGGCACCACAAACCCATGTTGGTGTTGGTGGGTCCGTGTCACACAATCCATCGTACACCTTGGCTATCACTAGCGATATTTGGGCAATCGCTTCACTCCTCAGATCCAAACCCTGCAGAGACTCCACATCACTTAGCCTATATCCAGGACCCTCCAGGGCAGCCCCAAGTCTCAGTTCCCGTGGGTCCTCAGCATAGTGGGAGCCTCCAGTGCCCCCACTTTTTTTTTTTTTTTTTGAGACAGAGTTTTGCTCTGTCGCCCAGGCTGGAGTGAAATGGCATGATCTCAGTTCACTGCAACCTCCACCTCCCAGGTTCAAGTGATTCTGCTGCCTCAGCCTCCTGAGTAGCTGGGATTACAGGCATGCACCACCAAGCCTGGCTAAATTTGTATTTTTAGAGACGGGGTTTCACCACGTTGACCAGGCTGATCTCGAACTCCTGCTCTCAAGTGACCTGCCTGCCTCGGCCTCCCAAAGTGCTGGGATTACAGGCATGAGCCACCACACCCAGCAAGTGCCCCCACTCTTACACATCGTCCCACCATGAGCCTGGAACACTCTCCCTTTCTCTATCCACCGAAATCTACCTCTTCCTAGGCCCTTCTTTATTTCTGGCTACAAACTCCAACCTTAACACTGTCTTGCTTGCTTTTATAAACCCATATTCTTGGACCTAACCAAAAGCTTCCATCTAAAATCAGCTTTGGACTTAATTCAACTCCTATGTGCAGTGTAACATACTGGGTAACAGCATTGATCTGACGACTGGTTCCACTACTTACGAGCTCAGTGACTTTAACTTCACTTTGCCTTCCTTTCCTCACCTATAAAACAACAATTATGACAGCTACATTCCTACCTCATAAGGTTCTTGGTATCTGTTATCAGACATCAGCTATGAGTTAGCATTATTAAGCATTATGTTACAGATATTAACTATTTTTGACAGGTGCTTAATAAATGTTACCTATTATCATTGTTATGATATATCAACTCCTATCCCCTTATCAGCCCCCATCTCCCTCAGTCTAGCAGATGACATTGTCTCCTCTGTCACTGAGGAATTGAAGCCATCAGATATTCCCTCAATTCTCCCAACCTCCCCTACGTTATTTACATCATGCTCATCTTGACTTCCTTTCCTTTAGTCTGAAAAGGTATCTCTCTCCTGTTCAAGGTCAGCCTCTTCACCTTGACCCTGTCCCTCCCATGTCTTCTACCCATTTGCTCCCACTCTTGGTCCTGGGTCTAAGATCTCATTCAAATGTGCTGAGGCGAAATGAGACCAGGCAGTGCCTTTGTTGTATCGTGTACCAGGCACATATCTCGTGCTGAGGAATATGCTCCCAGCCACTGGGGAATCTACAAGTGAATTTTGCCACTGCCCCTTGGGAAATCTATGCAAATAGATCATCACAAAGGCACTGAAAAGAGAGAAAAGCAAAGGGACTTGGAGGCAACAATCACTGTTCATTGAACGATCTCTTGTGCGTGCTTACTATGTGACAGGGAGTGTGCTAGGTGCCAGGCATGCCAGAATGATGATGACACGGCCCCTGCCTTCAAGGAACCCCCAGTCCTTTGGAGAAGATGACAGCTATGGAGGGAGAATAAAACCTTCCTATTCTCCAAATCTACAAAGGAAAAGATGTTCTTTGACCACAGTCCCAAGCTGCAAACAATGAATCCCCAAACCAGCTTAAAGCTCATCCTCATTTGTCACTGGGAGCTTTACAGCCCCACCTCTGAAAGTCAGTCAATCAATAGTCTTACTCCCAATAGCCACATGTCCACCACGGAGACAGCCAGCCAGTCTCAGAACCTCCTGCTCTGAAAGTCCTCCTATCCCAGGACCCCATGCTTCCCCAAACCCTGAAAAGATCAGCCTCTTGCTTGATTTGGGGAGACTACCCTTGCGAAGTATACCAATGAATTCAGCTTCTTGCTTTCGATATTGAATGATGCCTTCTTCTTTGACACATGTGACAAAGGCCAGGATAAGGTTAGCCAAGGGGAGCAGAAGCAAGGCAGAGGGTCTTTCCAGAGAAGCATCCTGAAAAAGTGACTTGGAGGCTCCATGATGTAGGAAGCAAAGGAGGTGACTAGGCAAGGAGCAGGGAATATGACATCCAAGGCTGCTGTGAGCACTGGCCAAAGAGCACCTACTGTATACCAGCCCTTATCCCAGAGCTGTGACCAGCCATCTCACTGGAACCCCCTAGAAATCCCAAGGCTTCCATGAGCAGCAGCCCCACTGTCAAGATGAGCAAGGTAAGGCTCAGAGTGGTTGGGAACTTGTCCAAAGCCACCCAGGAAGTCTGAACTTGGCCTTGATCCCAGGTACCAAAGCAGCAGCTGTTCTGTAGAAGCTGTTGCTCCTCCCCTCTGCACAGAGACACAGATCAAAGCCTAGGGATGCACAGCCCTCAGCCTAGCCAGTCACAGGCACTGAGAGCTGAGCCTCACCAAGATCTAAAGAGGAAACAATCAAAGCAGCACACACTGCTCCCGCCTGCCCCACATTGGGCGGTGAGAACGCTCATTCTGCACAGATAAAACACAGCTCTAAAGAGAGAGACAGCTGCAACCTAGGTCCTGCCGAGAGTGCGGTTTTATGTGGAAGTCTCATGGGGAAATACACATCAGGGCCAGGAAGATGCCGGGGGAGGGGTGCAGGCAGAGAGCCCGGCACAGATGGAAGAGGAACAGGAATAGAGCACGGCCTGGGAAGCCTCAGTCTCAGCCTGACCCGGGCCCTGTACACCAACTCCAGGTCCATCACCACTTGGAGAAACATGATGGCACAGTGGATACAAACACAGGCCCTGGTCTGGCTGCCAGGGTTCAAATCCTGGGCTTGTTGCTTTCAAGCTGTTGGTTTTTTTTTTTTTTAAACTACATTACTGTGTCTCAGTTTTCTCATCTGCAAAATGGGTATGACTATCATTTGGATTAAATAAATATACGGAAAGTGCTTAGAACATTGCCTACCTAGAGAAGGCACTCAATCATTGTTAGCTATTTCTTATTTTATTATTGAATCCTCCTAAGAATCCTGCCAGTTGCTATAACTACCTCTCTTCTGTAGATGAAGAAACTGAGTGGGGCTTTGTGCAAATCTCTGAGGTCTTAATCATGGAAAAGACCCTCGATGCCTGTGCCCACTGTATGTAATTTGAAATAAAATTTGCAAATTAAAGTCTTTATAAGAAAGTCCAACTGCCAGGGCCGATTTTTCCCAACAACGATGATTTTCATGCTTTGTTCCTAAAATATCAGATATTAACAATTCTTCAAAAATGTTTTTCTCCTGATTGGTGTGCCTGCTTTGCTGGGCACAACGCACATTCGTATTCTGCCTGGTGATAAATCCTCCCCATCACAGAGGCCCGGAAAGTTTAGGGGATCTGCCTAAGGCCACACAGCCAAGACCTGCCTGAGCTGAGTCTGAAGTCCAGGCTGCTGACTCCTAAGAGTACATCCTGGCTTCCCACCCCCACTGCCTCCAAGCCACGTGAACCAGAGAAGGTGACCTCATGACTATAGGCCTGGGACCTTAACTATCAGAAGCAAGGACAACGCCTTGGGCACTGCCTGCCGCAGGAGCTGGGAATGTCCCTTGTAAGCAAGCTCAGTGCTGTGGGCCCCTTCAGGACCCTTGTCCCCACCCCCAACAAGAGTTGGCTTGGATGGTGCCACCTATTTCAGTCAATAAAAGGCATCGAGGGGTAGTGTAAAAATGGCAGTGGTCACTATAGCACCACAGGTGAGGGCTGCCAGGTACCTGGGCTCCTCTGGGAGGTGGGAATCATTGCCCCCTCCCACCTACCTCGCTCTAACTGTGCTCTTTCTAGACCTCTACCATCTAGAATGGTGGCCGCTTACCACACGTGGCTTCTGAGCACTTGAATTGTGCCTAGTCCAAACTGAGATGTGGGTAAGTATAAAGTCCACACTGAATCTCAAAGACTTCAGAGCAAGAATGATGACGATGACAACAAAAAGGAATGCAAAATACCTTGTCAATATTTGTATATTGATGATGTATTGGAATAATATTAATATTTGGGATATACTGGGTTAACTAAAGTATTACAATTAATGTCACCTGTTTCTTTTCACTTTTTCTGAACATGGCTATTAGAAAACTTAAAATCATGTATGTGGCCTGCATTGTATTTCTACTGGATGGTGCTGGTCTAGACACTGCCCTAGTCATTATCTGCTCCTGACCCAGAACCCCAGAGACGGAAGAGCTGACATCATCAGCAGTAGCCGAATCCATTTCTCTGTGATAGATATGGGAGAAATGGGGTTTGCAGAGGGAGAGTGACCTGTTGAAGGCAAGAGTCTGGTAACGAGGCATTCATTCATCCAACAAATGTTAACTGAGGCCTTAACTATGTACGCTCTGGGTACTGGGAAACAGCAGAGAACAAAGTAGAGGGCCACATCCCAGTCTAGGGCTCTGCCCTGAAGCCAGTTTGCAGGCTGGGGGTGAACGTGGTGATGACGCAGGAATCTCGCCCCAGCCATGGGATCCTGGGGACCTGGGCAGCTGGACTCAGCACCAGCCCCTCAGCCCCTCACAGTTGGCTGGATCGCAGATCTCATAAGCTGCAGGCAGGAACTCCAGCTCCAACCTAGGGCAGCTCTGCCCCCAGGACCACCAGTGAGTCCCATCCCAGTACACTCACCAGCTGCAGCTGCCCAGAGGGCCGGGCCTGATGGGCAGGGCAGCCCCCTAACATAGATAGCATGGAGGCCTGGCAGGCCTGTATTTCTTCCTTCCCTGGTACTGCCACTGGTAGCTCACACACCGTCTGCATTACTGCAGATTTATGGCAAAAATTATCCTCTCTCTCAGCTCCATTTAAAGCCATTTGGAGCTCTCTCCCATCCCCGATTGTAAATCTAATTGCACATTCCAAACAGACAAGCGCTCATTAAGCTTTAATTATGCACATGTTGTTTTCAACAAACATTTTCATTTGGCGCTGTGAGGGGGAATGGTTCAAAGAGGGCTGCAGACGCTGCCTGGGGCTGGAGGGAGCTGGGCTGGGAAGTGGGTCAAGGTGTAATGAGATGAGGCCATCCAAGGGGCAGGGCCAGGACCTCATCTGATTGGGCTCGCGACTTTGAGGCCTTTCTCTGGGCTTCTGCTGTGGGGGATGCCAATGTACGTGCTCTCGGCTGGTCTCACCCACCGGCACTCCCCACGTCCCCAGAGTCTCATCGAAGCCAGGCCCATGGACCTCTCCAGTGACAGGAGGGAAGGTAGGGACCCACAGTCTGGCTCAGAAGGATAAAACCCCCAACCAAAAGCCAGTTTCATCAGAGCCTGTGGGCTCGTCCCTGCTCCCACCCACCCGCCACAGTGCAGCTGGAGGCCTCCTCTTCAGCACCATCTTCCCTTCCCTCATTCGTTCACTCATTTATTCCACAACCATTGACTGAGCATCAGTTGGCTCAGGCAGTGCAGGGTCAGTGGGGACCATGATGGGTAAGGCCTCTGCGTGGCTCTCCCCAAGTCACTCTCCATCAAGTCCCATCCCCTCCACTGGGGAAAAGTTTTAATTCTTGGCCACAACATTCACTTGAGCATCTGCCGCCTGCCAGCCCAACAGTCCAGGCTGCCTCCCACCCATCACGCGCCCATCCCCTCTTCTGCCTTTCCAAGCCCCCTGCCCAGATCACACTCTCCCCCACACCTCATCCAGACCTCTGCAGCAGCTGTGTCTCCACCTGAAACTCCCTGCTTTCTCTCTTCCACACCGTTCATGCCCATTCAACTCCTGTGCTGTCCTCCTTCCAGAAGCCATTGCTGATAGCCACTCTTGGGCTGGCCTGGCCACCCCTCTGCCATGGGGGCACCCCGTAAAACATGTATTGGACCCTAGCGCCATAATATCACAACAGCCACATGTCTGGCTCCTAAGACCAGCCTGCTCACTATATCCCAAGACACCATCACCTTCAAAGATGGAAAAGACAGGCACCACTCACTGTGTGTCCTTGAAAAAGGCCTCCCCCTTTCTAGGCCTCAGTTTCCTCATTCATACCTGGAAGGGTTGAATGGGTGATGCCCTCTGAGCCCCTGGGCCGTTCCATCAGTCTTAAGTTTTATGGTCTGCCCAGGAGCTAGGCCACATTCTTCCCACCAGGAGTCATGGAGGTGACCAAGGCATGCTGACAGTGCCCGAAAGGTGCACACACAGGGTAGGAGACAGGAGTGGTAGAGAACCCAAGGCCACTCCTCAAAAAGCTTCCAAAAATACAAGCAAGTGAAATCAGCATGTGCTTTAAAATGGAAATCAGATTCCATTCAGCGTCTGGATAGCTACCTGTTGTTTCAGGTACCAAACAGACTCTGAGTGTGAAATCTACAGACAAGAAATGTACTGGGAAGTGCTATAGGGAAGTGGGGGAGCAGGACAGGCCAGAGGGACAAGCCAAACTGTGATGTAGTCACAACGGAGGCCTCCACCTGTCCCAAGGGGAGCTCTGGAACTGGGATGGCCCAGCAGAGGTGTCCCAGTTTGAGGCAGGGAGCTAAGCATTCTGTATCCCCACATGGGATGGCCATCGGATCCAGGATGCCCAGGGGGTGAGTGTTGATGACCTTGGCCAAGGCTTCCTCTTTCCACCAAAGGCACCATGGAGCTGCCCAGAGAGAGGCTCAGCTGATAGGGGCAGCAGCCAACACTCTAAGCAGCTGACAGAATGTGTGCCTGGATCTGAGGAGGGACTAGGGTGACACGCAAGAGCATCCACTAATGGCTATGATCATTTACTCATTAGAACGAATGCATGCAATGTTTACATCACACTAACAACAAGCCAGGCACTCTTAATTGAATGACAAACATCCGTTCCTATAATCCTCACGACAACCTCACAAGGTAAGTTACTGAGGCTCCCATTTTACAGAAAAGGAGACTGAGGTCGAGGGAGGTTATGTAGCTTGCCCAAGGCCACACAGCTAGGAAGGGGTGGAATGAAGATTCAAACCCAGGAAGTTCAACTCCAGAGCCTACACTCTAATGAGAAGGCTGTACTCCTGCCAGGTCTTGCCCCGTTACCTCCCATAACATGGAGCTGGCCAGCTCCCAGCTCTCCCTAGAGGCTGGGATGCAGTCAGCAGTCTAGAGCCTCAGGTTGCCCTGCGCTGCCAATATTTGTATTTGACAATTATCTATCATCCAAGCAGTTGGGAACAAGTCCCAAAACTGATTCTTACCAAAGGCAATTAACTAAAAGCCGCATGAGCGTACGTCGGGTTGCACTGTGGTGTGGGGGGAACGAGTGTGACTGAGACAATGAGCAGATGATGTGGAAGATATTTTCTCCCCAGCACTACAAAACAAGCCCTCAATCATGCCACAAAAGGCTCGTGTTGTCGGAAGGGAAATATGTCAACGACAGCGTTCGATCTTGGAGCGGTTCAAAAAGAAGAAGAAAAGAAATCTTTGAAATTGTAATTTGACCTAGAAAGGTTTTTCTAGGTCATCTGAACTTGGCACTTATGCCTCTAACCCCAAACCTAACACAGACAAAGTGCCAGGTTCACTTCCTTCTGTCAGTACCAGATAACACAGGAAATGGTATTTGTAAACACTGCTGATATATTTTTAAGCGCTGTCTCAACGTCGGCCTTTGGACTGGGAGCTGCGAGAACACTGGTGCAGCACAGCTCTGGAAGCAGGCAGATCTAGGTTCAAGTCCAGGCTCTGCACTAAGCTGCTGCATGGCAGTGGGCAGGGATCTTACCCCTCTCGTCCTCAGATTCCTCCCCTGGAGAACAGGAATGGAACAGGCAGGGTTTTGCATGCTACCTAGCAGTATGCAGAGAAAGGCCAGCTCCCCGCTTTCACCCCAGTTGCCTTCCCAGGCAGAGAGCCACCCCTCTGTTCTTGACTATTGAACCCTTCTGACCCAGATCTGGGCTGTCTCCTGGAGACCCAGGAGGGCAGTGGGGGGCTCTGTCCTAAGAGGCCTTTTCTCTCCCAGAAAACAGAAAACTGCACTCCAAGGCATGGCATGTGCCAATGAGTTATTCTAATTCATCTTCACTGTGGACCCACTAAGATAAATAATGAGGCCTCAGGGCTGGGAGGGCTTTAATCCTCTGGCTTCTGCAAATCCCACTGGGGAAACCAAGGCCAGGGCTGATGGATGGCCCACCGTTATTGGCAAGAGCATGTCCAGGGTTACAACCACCAAATTGTTGAGTCCTGTAAGCCTGCACCTCCAGAAGAAGCCAGATTTAGCCCAGTTACTGTCAAAAGCCCAAGGGCACGGTGAACATTCCTGTCTTCCCCAAGCCCTGACCTCAGCACCTACAATGTACCTGGCCATATGCCAGGTGCAGAGGGGCACTAGGGACCTAGAACCAATTCCCAGGGAAGCTCAGGTCCATAGGGAAAATGGGTATCTGCATAATGGCACCTGGAGGGGGGTGATAAAGCACTAAGGTGGAGATAGGCCAGGTGAGAGCAGTTGGTACATACCTGTGAGGTAGTGGGTCCAGAGTGAGCAAAGGCTGGGCAGCCAGGTTGGGGGAAAACCGGTATGTGTGCTGGGGAAGGGGAAGAAGGGGTGTCTAGAAGTCACTGAGGTAGGCTACAGTACAGAATGTGAGAGAGAAAATCAACATCCACTAAAGAAAACAGGTGCGTGTTTAAAGCAATATTCTTAAAGAAAGAGTAATGGAAGGATGCCCAATCTGGCCAGAGAGTGAAACATTCCGTGAAGCCACAATTAAAGCAGTGTGGCAGTAACAGAAAACAAGAATTCTAAAATCAATGAAACAGAAGGAAAAGTACAATGTTGGACCCAACTAGGTATGGAAACGTATCAAGATTAAGGAGGGCATTTCAGAGGGAAGACCACGTAAAGACACAAGGGGAAGCTGTCCACCTGCAAGCCTAGGAGAGAGGCTGATATGATTTAGCTCTATGTCCCCACCCAAGTCTCATGTCGAATTGTAATGCCCAATTTTGGAGGAGGGACATGGTGAGGTAATTGGATCTTGGGGGCGGATATCCCCCTTGCTGTTCTCGTGATAGTGAGTTCTCATGAGATCTGGTTGTTTGAAAGTGTGTAACGCTTCCCCACTTGCTCTGTCTCTCCTGCTGGCCATGTGAAGTGTACCTGCCACCCTTTCACCTTCTGCCACGGTTGTAAGTTTTCTGAGACCTCCCCAGAAGCAGAAGCTTGTACAGCTCACAGAATCGTGAGCCAAATAAACCTCTTCATAAATTACCCAGTCTCAGGTATGTCTTTATAGAAGTGTAAGAACAAACTAATACAGAGGCCTCAGATGGAATCAACCCTGCCAACACCTTGATCTCATACTTCTGACCTCTAGCCCTGTGAGAAAATAAATATTTGTTTAAGCCAAAAAAAAAAAAAAAAAAAAGAGGGCATTTACTTTATGCCAGGTAACATGTGATGTGCTTTGCACATGATCTTCTGCTCAATCTTGACAACGGTCCTAGGAGGAAGATATCATCCAGTTTTACAGAGGAAAAAACAAGCCCAATTTAAGCAACGTGCTCATAGCTCACACAGAAAGTGGCAAAGCCAAAATCTTAATTCTGCTAAAGCTCACGCTTATAACAGCTACTATATTTTGTCTCCCCTTTTGCAAACAAAGAGACAAGGGCTAATTATATAATAAACAGAATGGGGACAAGAGGGTTATCCTGTCCCTATTTAGGAACAGTGAACTAGATACCCACTGCAAGACACCAACCAAAATGCATGCACTCCGAATGGATTAAAGAGTTAAACATAAAAAGTCATGTTACAGGGAAACAATCAGAAAACAGAACAGAATGTTTATCAGATCTGTGGAGCAGGATAACTTCTTCAGCCCTCGAAGCAATCACAGAGGAAGAGAGATTGACAGATTCAAATATATATGCATTAATATCTTCTGTGGAAGAAAACATAATAAAACCAAAATGAAAAGGACATCAGACTAAGAAAATATCAGCACCAACTATAAGACAGTTAATATATACAAGGTAGAAATGGCTCAGTCACATTAAACAGAAAGCAAGATGCCAACAGACAAAAAGACATGGGATTCAAACAAAAGTCACACAAGAGGCGATATCTTAAGAAACAAATATGGAAGGGAAAAAAGGGACACCTGATTCAATGGCAAGTGGGGAAATGCACATAAAATAAACTTACTGCAATGCAACTGGGATATTTCACACCACTGCGGACATGGGAAACGGGTTCCAGCCTAATGGAAGACAATATGGTGGCCACTCTTAGGCAGACACAGCTAGCCAGAGGCAGGGGACGAGCACTCAAGGGCTTAAAACAGTCTTGCTTAAAACAGCCTTTTACTCTGAGTGCTGGGGATGGTAAAGTGATATACAGAAAACAGTCTTTTTTTTTTTTTTTTTTTTTTAAAGATAGAACCTTACTCTCACCCAGGCTGGAGTGCAGTGGCATGATCTCAGCTCACTGCAACCTCGGCCTCCTGGGTTCAAGCGATTCTCCTGCCTCAGCCTCCTGAGTAGCTGGAATTACAGGCATGCGCCACCATGCCCAACTAATTTTTGTATCTTTAGTAGAGATGGGGTTTCATCATGTTGGCCAGGCTGGTCTCGAACTCCTGACCTCAGGTGATCCACCCACCTCAGCCTCCCAAAGTGCTAGGACTGATTACAGGCCTGAGCCACTGCACCTGGTGGACACACAGTCTTTGTCCCGGAGCTCATGGTCTAGGGAAGGGGACAGGACCAGGAATCAGAATATGGGTGGGTGATAAGTAGATGGGAAGCCAGGTTCGTGGGGCCTAGACAAGGGCCTTGTAAAAAGACTTCACGGAAGAGGTGGCTTCTAAGCAGATCTACCCGCAGCATGCACACAACTAGCCAGGCGAGGGCAGAGGCCAGTGGGAACAGCATTTGCCAAAGCCTGGGAGCTGGAGGGAAGGGCCCATTCATGGAATAGTAAGGCGGTGCAAGATAAGACAGAAAGGCAAGCAGGGCCTTATCACAAGGGAGCTTCAAGGGCCACACTGGGGAGATGAGACTGAAACCCGGAATGTGGGCTGCACTTCAGAAACTGGCCTCTGGCTTCTGGGTGGAGAATGGGTTGTAGATGCTAACTAAGATGGGGAAACGGGAGTCTGAGCAGGGCTTGGGCAGGGAAGAAACACTGGCTAACACAATAATAAGTAAAACAGCGTGGCAGTGATTCAAAACTAGAAATTTATACTGATGGCTAGAATGAGAAGCAGGTTTGGAGCCAGAATAAAACCATGACAGCCCCAGCATGTTATGCAGAATACGGCCTTGAGAGTCTCAGAGATGAGTGAAAAGTGCCAAGGGCAAGGGATCACCCAGGAGTCAGAAAGGGGGTGACTCATGCAATTTGCAAACCCTAATTTCCTCTCCTTGGTCACACACTTCCTTCTGATTTCTTTCTTCTGATGATTCATTAAAAAAAAATTCTCCTTTTAAATTCACATCAGAAATGTCTGAGTACCTCGGCTCACCCTGCCCTAAGCTTTAACCCCTGCCCCTGAACCAGCAAAACCCAACATAACCCCAGGTGGCTAAGAAGACACTGGCTGCCAAGAAACCAGAAGCCAGCCAAGGGGAAACAACGGGTTTCAGGCTCTGCGATGGCTGCCAGAGGCCCCCATGGGCCCTCCTGTGACCCAGGAGGGTTTTCAGCAGCTACTCACATGCACAGATCCACAGCTCTCAGCCAGAACTCGTGCAGTTTCAGAATTTGTTTGAATTTCAGAAAAGTAATGAAGTGCAAATTCTGCAAATTATGCCATAGCTTCAGTGGAGCCTCAGGCAACACCTGCAATGGAACACATTCATATTTCTGCAGTGGAACATATGAATATTCACACAAGTGGGGTGAGTAAAGATTACAAAGAGCCTCGCGTCAGCTCAGGTCAGATTTTGGGGGCCAAATGAGTTTGCAGCATATTGACAAAACAACTTCTCGTCGCAGGGCTTTTTGGATTGTAGATAAGGCAGTTTCAAGCGAATCAAGCACCAGGAGTCACGTGCTAGAAGGCTGTCCCTCTGTATGCCCATTTTACATAGGAAGAAACTGAGGCTTGGAAAGTTAAAGGGAATTGTGCAAGGTCTCATAGCTATTAAGTGGCTGAGCTGGGATCCAAACCCAGGTCTGACGTCTCTCCCCACACCCTCGTGGATCCTCCCAGAGGCTGAAATGGCAGGCAGAGCATTTAATGTGACAGAGAATGTAGACAGCACAGGGAGTGGGTCAAGGCCAGGTGCAATAGGAATGGGGCTGCCCAGGTGCCCAGAGAAATCACTGGCACTCCTCCTCAGCTGGCCCCTGCCTGGTGTCTGTCCTCCAAGGCAGGTCCAGGAGCCTCCAGCCACCCTCAAAGGTCCAGAGCTCCCTCTGCACACAGGACCCATCCTTCATCTTTCCGCAGAGGTTTGTTCGCTGAGTGCCCCCTTCATACCAGCTCCTGGGGGCTGGGACACAACGAGAAGCAAGGTAGACACAGTCCCAGCCCCTGCAGGCCTCAGAGTCCACTGCAGGAGGCAGGCAACAAACAAGCAAACACACAAAGGTGGTCACACGTTGCATTGTGCTAAGTGCTGTGCAGCAAACACAGGAAGTGTGGAGACAGGGTCTCTCTGTAGAGGCAGCAATTAAACTGAGGGAGCCCAGAAGAGAGAGAAGGAGGCTGTCAGGCAACAAGTAGTGGGTGGGAGCATTTAAGGCAGAGGGAGCAGCAATGCAAAGTCCCTGAGGTCCACAAGTAGAAGCTCTCGCATGCAGGGGGAATAACAGGCAGGACACAGTAGGCAGAGGGGCGAGGCAAGGACGTGATTTGGGGTCCTAGGGCCACCATAAGGCACTTGGATTTCATCCCAGATGGGAAGCCCTTGGAGAGTTCTTGCAGGGGAGTAACATGCTTTAATTTATAGTTTAAAAGATGACTCAGCTAGCCACGTGGAGGATGGATTCCATGAGGTTCCATTCTTTGAGTCTCAGCTTTCTCCTCTATAAAATGGATGCATGAGAAATCCTGTGAAAAGCATAGCTCAGGAGTGTCTGGCATAGAGTTGACTTCCAGAAGATGGGAGGACAAAGACAGTCTTCTAACCTAGTCGCAAACCAGGAGAACCCAGTCATCAGTCATCCATAGTCGCCCCCCTGCTCAAAATCCTACTAGGCTCCTCTCTGTCCTCAAAACAAAGATCCACCTCTTTCTCTTGGTCCTAAGGTCCTGCTTGACCTGGTCCCTGCTGATTTCTCCAGCCCCATCCTTCACCCTCCCACCATCTTCCACAGGGCCTCTACTCTCCCGCCAACTGAGCCACTCCTGGGGCATGCCAGGGCCCTTTCCCCAGAGACAAGTCCTTTACACTGACCTTGCCACCAGCCTGCCCTGCATTCCTACAGACGTGGACACACACCAACCCGGATCAGCCCAAGCAATGAGAGGCTCAAAGAGTGGCTGAGAGTGTGGGCATACATGTTGGAGCATGCGGGTTGGGAGTGGAAGGACTATGTTAAGAGACACCTCTGCCTGTGCATGAACGTGATGACAGACAGGTACAAGGGGCGCCACAACAGACAGGAGGAAGGGGTCAGTTCTGTCTGAGCAGACAGAGGCGGCTTCTATGCACTGGGTCTCAAATGATTTTCTGACTGAAGGTGATATATTAGTTTCCTAGGGCTGTTGTCACAAATCACCATAAACAGGTGACTTAAAACAACATATTCTCTTACAGTTCTGGAAAGCCCGAAGTCTAAAATCAGCCTCACTGGGCTAAAACCAAGGTGTCATCAGGGCTGGCTGGTCTGTAGGCTCTAGGAGAAAATCCATTTCCTTGCCTTTCCCTGTGTCTAGTGGCTGCTTGTGTTCCTTAGCTTGTGGTCCCTTCCTCCATCTTCATAGCCGTCACCCCAGTCTCTGCTTCCATCCTCACATCACCTTCTCCTGATTCTGCAACCCCTCCTCACTTATAAGGACCACTGTGATCCTATAGGGCCCACCCAGACAACCCATGATACTCTCCCCATCCCAAGACCCTTAATCACATCTGCAGAGCCCCTTTTGCCATTTAAAGTAACATACACAGGTTTCAAAGATTAGGACCTAGCTATACTTAGGGGTCATTATTCAGCCACCCACAGTGAGTCCCGTAAGTACCGACTAACTGTGTCTCAGTCTGCCTATATGTCTGGAGAGGGCAGAGAGGGAAGTACCTGCTGTGGTAGACTTTACTACTGCTCTCCAATATCTGGCTCTCCTCTCCTTCCTGGCACATAGGACACTACACCTCAGGCTCCCCTTACCATTTATTGGAGCTATGCGTCTAGTTTAGACCAATGGGTTATGAGCAGAAACAACGTGGGTCTCCTCTGGGTAGAAGTATAAAAAAGCAAACTTGAGATCTGCAGGCTTTCTCTAGAGGACCAGCAAGGTTCCAGATGGTCGAGACTTGACCAACCTACAGCCCTGAGTGATCTGTGGAGCAGAGCCCAACCCCTACTTCTCTGCTGATTGTCATGGAACACATAGTAAGAGCAAAAATAAGCCTTCCTTATGATAAGCAACTGAGATTCAGGGGGTTGTTACGGCAGCATAACCCTAACATGCTCAGTTAAGTTTAGGCCAGGGGCAGTGGCTCACACCTGTAATTCCAGAGCTTTGGGGGGCCAGGGCGAGAAGATAGCTGAGACTAGGAGTTTGACACCAGCCTGAGCAACATAGCAAGGCCCCGTCTCTTAGAAAAAAAAATTACTTTTCTGCTGGGCGCAGTGGCTCACGCCTGTAATTCCAGCACTTTGGGAGGCCAAGGCGGGCAGATCACGAGGTCAGGAGATCGAGACCATCCTGGCTAACATGGTGAAACCCCATCTCTACTAAAAATTTTAAAAAAAAAATCAGCCGGGTGTGGTGGCACATGCCTGTAGTTCCAGCTACTCGGGAGGGCGAGACAGGAGAATCACTTGAACCCAGGAGGTGGAGGTTGCAGTGAGCCAAGATCGCACCACTGCACTCCAGCTTGGGCGACAGAGCGAGACTCGGCCTCAAAAAAACAAACAAACAAACAAACAAAAAATTATTTTTAATTAGCCAGGCATGGTGGTATGTACCTGTAGTCCTAATCAGGAGGCTAAGATGGGAGGAGTGCTTGAGCCCAGGAGTTTGATGCTACAGTGAGCTATTATCATGCCACTGCACTAGAGCCTGGTTGACAGAGCAAGACCCTTTCTCTAAAAAAAAAAAAAAAAAAAAACATAATAAGTTTAATAGTAATGGTCATTTGCTGATCATCTACCATGAGTCAGGCACTTTATCTATATTGCATGTAACCCTCATAATCACCACCCAAGCAAGGTCAGAATTCACTACTTTTGTTTTGTTTTGAGGTGGAGTTTCATTCTTGTTGCCCAGGCTGGATTGCAATGGCACGATCTCAGCTCACTGCAACCTCCGCCTCCTGGGTTCGAGTGATTCTCCTGCCTCAGCCTCCCGAGTAGCTGGGATTACAGGTGTGCGCCACCATACCCGGCTAATTTTTTTGTATTTTTAGTAGATACGGGGTTTCACCATGTTAGCCAGGCTGGTCTTGAACTCCGGTACTCAAGTGATCCACCCGCCTCAGCCTCCCAAAGTGCTGGGATTACAAGCGTGAGCCACCACACCGGCCTATCTACTCTATTTTAAAGGTAGAAAACTCAAATACAGAGAGGTAGACGTGAAGGCTATCTACCTAGGAAGTGGTGGAGCTGGGATTCAAACCCACAGCAATGTGGTTCCAAAGCCAAACTCTTAACTACTGCAAGGGTCCCTCCTGAAAGGGACCACAGGCTTCCAGACCCTTCTCTGGCCCCAGACAGCTATCGCCCTGAAGGTCAGCAGGGGCTTCTGGCCAATGCAGGTCAATCATGGGGCCAGAATCCTTAATGACTACGTGAGCCCATCCCTGGGGCCTGGAGCCCAGAAACAAACCCCCCTCACCCCAAAATCTAGCCTGAACCTCTTCTGATTGCTGGGCTGGTTCTTACTCATGTACTCATGCGTCCGTGCACCAAAAAAGTATTTGCTGTGCATCTACTTTGTGCCAGGCACTATTCTGGGATCCTGGGAGACAGCAGTGAACAAAGACCCCTGGAGTTTACGCTCTTGCATTGGAGATAGAAAACAATACACATAGTCAATAAGTGACTTACATGGTATATGGAAAGAAGAAAGAGTTGAGCAGGTGAGGGGTATTGGGAATGTCGAGATGGAGGGTATGCACGTTTAAACAGAGCAGTCAAGGTGGGCCTCATTGAGGAAGTGATAGTGGAGCCAAGACTGGAAGGAGGTGAGGGAGTGAGCCAAGTAGATGTGTTGGGGAGAGCATTCCAGGGCCTGACAGCCTGTGTACAGGCCCTAAGATGGGAGCTGCCGGCAGGTGTGACCTCGGTCAGCAAAGAGACCAGCAAAGACAGGCAGAGCAAGCAGTGGGGAGGGGGAGGGGAGGCCAGAGAGGCAACTGGGGATGGAGTGTGCCCCACAGATGGCACTGAGATTACCCCTCCCCAGAAAGAGGAAGCCAGCACTTTTTCCACCGGCCTTATCTGATGCTGTGGTTGGGGAGCCAGCGAGGGCAGGCGAGAGGGCTGCAGAGCTCAGCACATCCGAGGAACCTCAGCAGGGCCTCAGAGCCGCTGACATCCGCTTGGCCTGCGGCTTCTTCCTGTGGCTTCTGCATCTCAGGTTGCCCCGATGGCTGCTATTTTTGCTCCTGTTTGGGGTTCTGTGGTGGGCTCGTCTATGCATTGTTGAGTTTGCTCTGCTCAGAGCAGATGTGAGGGGTTAAACATTCCAAGTGTCTTTGGGAACACTTACAATCCAGCAAGTGGGAAAGAGGAGGATGTTTGTTATACATGTCATCTCGTCAATCCTCGTGACCCTCCAAAGCAGAGAGGCTAGGTGGCTTGTCCAAGGTCACAGCCAAATCAAACCAGTTTGAGGATCCTATTCCAGTCTGTCTAGGTCTGAAGGCCCTTAATTTGCAGGGAGGTCTTTTGCATCTACTGCCTAAATTAACATTTCTGTGCTGTCTGGCCTTGCAGCACGTGTGAGAATAAAGGTGCATCATCGTGGGTGATGTCCTCCCAGAGCATCACAGCACTGATGGGGAGGACAATGACAGAAGCGGGCACAGGGAAGGGGACCCTGGCTCTGATAGTTGCGGCTAGACGGTGGGGGCAATCAGAGAAGGCTTCTGGAAAGCCGTGGATGTCGTGACCACACCTGCGAGAATAAACAGGAGTCCAAGGGGTAAAAGAACCATTCCAGACAAAGGGGTCTGAAAGTAAAATTAAGAGGCACAATAGCTTGGTCAGTGGGGAAGCGGATTTAGGAGGTGGCAGGACAGTGATTCTGCAGGAGGCAGAAGCTAGCTTGTGGACTGCAAAAAGTGAGATCAGACAGGTGCCCAGCTCCCCCAGGTGGGTATATTAAAGGTATCAGAACAGATCCAGCTGATTACAAAAGACAACCAACCACAGGCTTTAAGCAGGGAGGGATGTGCGCATCAGGTGGTTCTCAGAGATCCCACTGGCTGCTGCGAGAAGAACAGACTAAGGAGGAAGGGTGGAGGCAGGGAGGCCTGGGAGGAGGCTCCTGCGGTCATCCCGGTGACAAGTAATAGTGAAGCGGGGAGAAGTCATTGCACCCTGAAGGTACAGCCAGCAGCAAGTGCAGTTGGATTAGATGCAAGGAGTAAGGCAGAGAAAGGGGTCAAAGATGATCCCACATTTGTGGCCTAAGCCGAGGGGTGGACAGTCATATATAAAAAGTGGGCACAAAGTAGAAGGGGCATTTTGAGGTGACGGAGGGTGTGAATCAGGAAAAGGGCCATTGAGAGTAACTGTTTCCTTCTAGATGAGCCCCTGGGGTGAGGACATGCAAATCAAAGCTGCCTTTCTACACCAATCCCCCCATGACTAGGGGGCTGCTGCTCCCATGGCCTCAATTGCTCTTCACAGCAAGGAAGACCCAGGGAGGTTAAGTGAGCTGCCTCAAGCCTCACAACTAGAAGTCAAGAGACCAAAGGCTAAAAATCCAGGTCCACCCAATTGCTACTCCAGGCTCATCTCAACACCCAACAGCAGGAGGTTCCCGAGGCCCTCCCTGGAAAATGGCTCCCCAGGCCCAGGAGAAGCTGGAGAATTCACTCCCCATCTCCCCATCTATATTTCATGCCTCCCTTTGCAACTGTCCAGATGTGTGAACATCTGCCAGGCCCCCTGGCTAGACGGAGATGGCAGCTCCTGGGCAGCCCTGGGCCTCCCAGTGGGCGACACAGAGGCTGCCCCAGCAGGCCCGGGGCCTCCCAGTGGGTGGCACAGAGGCTGCCCCAGCAGACCCCCAGCTGCCTCCACTGGAAACCTCACCTCCCTGCCCCTGCTCCCAATTTCATTAATTACCGGTTTGTTCATGCACAAGGCAGCAGGGGAGAGTCATCAGGGATGCCGCCGGCCGAGGAAAGGAAATTAATTTCAAACATGAAGCTCATCCTGCTCTGGAGGCTCCCACATACCCGATTTCCAACACAGTGGAAGAGCAGGGGTTGAAGCCATCAGCCTGGACTCTTCTTCTGAGGGAATCAAAGGTCCAAAGGGGATGAAGAACTGGCCCAAGATCACACAGCAATTACTAATGGCAGGAAAAGCCCTGCAACTCAGGCCTCCCACTTCTGCACACCTTCATTCTTCCCATAAATATTCAGCAGGTGCCTGCCGTGTTTGGGCCCCTGTGTGCCAACAGACACCCTGGTTTCAGGCAAAAGCTCTCCAGGGCCTCTTCCCTCCCCAGGAGAACACGTTATTTACTGAGCACCAACAATGTGCTTTACATATTTTATCCCACTTAGTCCTCCTAACAATGTCATTTTATAGGCAAGGAAGCTCTGGCTGAGAGAGGTTGCTGTGCTGAGGTCACACAGCAAGTAAGGAACAGAGCCATGACTTAAAACAAGGTCTTAAACCTGGCTCAGCTTCTGTTCTCCAGGCAGGGAGCATGTGTGAGGGTGCAATTCTCAGCCACTCTCTCCCTTCCAAGACTCCTTTCCTTCCAGCACCTTCCTTCCCAGCCAGGGGCTCTCAGCAAACAGGTCGTCAGGTAGCAATCTGAATGCTGGCTTACTGGCTGGCTGTTTTCCCAGGGCCCCACCAACACAGTGCTGATGAGTGGTATTCAGTAAGTTGTTCAGGAAGTGTTAACACTAAAAGGATCGGTTGGTTCTCTTTCAAAATGGCCAGTCAGTCCTTGCCATGAACTCCTCTCCCAGTCAAGAACCCATGGAAGTGACCAGAAACACAAAGAATTCCTATTAGCCAGGGCTGTGAAACAGACATGGCCCTCCCTTCAAGCTCCCCAAACAGATTCCAGAGCCTCTGACTCTTAAGCACAAGAAGAGAGCTCCCTGGATCACACACGCAGATGCACACAAACACATGCCGTTGTGAGCCACGCCCTCCTCATGAGCTGAGCCGACATCCTAGGTCATTTGTTCATTCATTCATGCCTCATTAATGAGGTCCTTCCACACACCAGGCAAAGTGTTACACAGTGAGTGTGTGCACACGTGCATGTGTGCATACATATACACATGAACACACGTAAATGCTTATACACACACACCATCATGACAACACAAGAAAGTAGGCATCAGTGTCCCCATTTTATGGATGAAGAGACAGAAAGCTCAAGGAACTTGCCCTATGTCACAGATTGTATTTATGGCCGAGCTGAGATATGTAAGCAGTGCCTAACCCAGACCCCAGTATACAGTAGGTGCTCAATAGCTACATTCTGTGTCCAGCTGGCTCCTCAGGCTTCCCTTGCAGACCTGGGCCCACTGCCTCCTGCAGGCTTTCAGACCCAGAGTGGAGAAGGTAGAAACCATCCCAGGAGGCACAGAAGCTGGTGTTTCCTGGTCTCTCCCAGTTCACCCAGGATGTTCCAAATGACGGAAAGCGGACCTGAGCGGGAGCCTTCTTTTGCTGGGACACACATGCACGAAGCCAGATTTCAACAATGGCTGTGATAAATCAGAGCACGAGAAGAGGTCGGGTCTCCTGGTCTGCTGGGTGCAGCACCATCAACAGCAACAAGCCCCGCCCCCAACCCAGTCAACTCCCATCACCAAGATAGCCTCCCAGGCACAGCTGGGATGGCCCCTTCACGTTAGGTTTCTGCATTTGAAATCTCTGCCACCTATTAAGGGCATGTGTGTCCCCTTAAGTCCCCTTAGTTCCTTTCTCATTTGTTGCTGTCCTTTCTTCTACGAAAGTATGCTGCGTAGAGATCCCAACTGGTTATTTTTTAATGTCCTTACTTCACAAACGGAAAAGGTGGCATTCACCAAATTTGGCAAGAAATTTTTATTGATTCCCCAAACTCCAAAATCTAGTGGAAGAGGCAGCTCGGGTATTCCTGGTGACGTCCTCAGCTGCTTCTCACCCGTCTTGCCTTCTTGGAAGGCCCCTGTCACTCTTCAGCCCAGGTATCTTCTGGGCTCCTCCCAAGCCATGGGCCATCCCCATTACTGCTCCCATTGTTTCCAGTCTGAATCAGCCAGACCCCCCAACCCACACCTGGCCAGGCCTACTGCAGGGTGTGCTGAATGAATGAATGAATGAATGAATGATCCTGAGCAGCCTGGGCACCAAGGCCACAGCCTGACCCTGCTCTCCAGAGGACAGCCCAAACCGCCTCCAGAATTCCTCTCCAAGAAGGAGCTGCCAACTGCAGGCCTCCTGGCCCCTCTAAAGCATCTTCATTCCAGAATGTGACAAGCACCAGTCCAGGTCCCTGCCTGCCCCCATCCAGACATCACCTATCTTCAGCCCACAGTGACGGCCTGACCACCTCCACCTCATGGGGCGGTGGGCACCCGCTGCTTACCTTCTGCGGAAACACACCTGCAATGCACCAGTGTCTTGCAAGTAGAAGGAGCCCGAGTCTCATTCCACAGAAGCCCAGGCAGCGAGAGAACGCGCCCGCGACAGCCTCTGTGCGAGTCTGCTGCATAATCAGCAGAGAAAGAGGAAAAAATGCCAGAAATAGCAAGCTTTATAAGCCCTCCTGACAACTCTTGGTCCTCTATTGGCTGGAGGCCCAGCACCCCCACCCCCCATCCCATTCGTATAAGGTGAAATGGAAAAACCTGTTATTTAACCTCTTTTATCAAAATCCATCTCCTATTCCAATTTGGGCCTGCGTGTTCGGAGCTCCTGGTGGCGGTCTCCACGCCAGGTCTCGGGGAGCAGAAGGGGAGGCAGCCCCTAAGTACAGCGCGGCTCCACGTCATTTGTGGCTTAAGAGCCTTCCCCACTCACACACGCTGCCTTGGGAGGGGTGTTGCACTGGAAGAGCCTTCGGAAGGCAAATTGGCAGCACCTGTCAACGTGTGAAACTTGCATGCCCTTTCATTCAGCAATTAGACTTCTGAGCATCCATCCTGCAGAAATACCTGTACTCAGTGCATGGATGCATGCCCAAGGATGTTGCTTGTTACAGAGAGAATTAGAGACAGCTAAATGTCGAAAGCCAGGGTCTGGTTGAATACACTGAAATACATCTGATGGAATGAGGAAGGTGTGTAGGTACTGACTTGGAACTGCCTGCAAGAAAAAGTCAAGGACATGGTTCCATTTTTATAAAAACAATAACGGTGTATATGTATGTGTTTGAACATGCACTATAAAAGATACCAGGCTGTTAATAGCAGTTACACTAGGGAGGAGGAGATATTTTCAGTGGCTGCTTTTTTCTTTCTTGTTTCATTTTTTTTTTCTTTACCACAAGCGTGTATTACATTTGTAATTTAAAACAAAAAAATAAGAACCTCCCCTGGTTCCTTTCCACTCTTCTGAAGCCATCAGGCCAAAGGCCAAGGTCACCCACCACAAGCCTTGATCGGGCTTGGGATAAAGCTGGCCCCGGGCACTAAGGATTAACCAGCAGTCTCTCATTAGCTTTCGCACAAATGCAGTTAAACTAGGGCTCCATGAAGAAGGCAGACTTTGAAATAAGACAGAGCTGGGTTCGAATCCTAGCTCTGCCTGCTGGAATGGCTAACTTCCCTGAGCCTCAGTTTCTTCACCTGTAAAATGGGGATAATAGTACCTATTAAGTGTCATGTACTATGCCAGGTGCTATTAAACTAATTTTAATTTTTTGGACATTTCAGTAGCAGCAAAGGCTGCTGAGGAAGCACCACAGAGCTGAGAGGATCCAGACTAAGCAGGAAGCGCTCTGGGGAATCATCCTATTCCTGAACACTTGTAACAATACTAAAGTAAGTGACAGAGAGAACGGCCTGGGAATAGCAAATGTCATGTGATAAAGGGGGCTGGTGCCCAGCGTGTCTGCAGGAGGAGGGAGAGGCTGGAAGGGGGATTACAAAAGGCTCCAGAAAGGAAAAAAGTCTTGCTTCCCTGCCTCTGTACCTTTTTCATGCTGTTCCCTCTGCCTGGAATGCTCTTCCCCTGACCTTCACACAACTGACTGCTTCTCATCCTTCCAGCTCTGCTCAAAGATCTCCTTCTTCCCCAAAGAGAGCTCCTCTAATCTCACCTGCACCTGAGTTACTTTGTCCATAGCACACTCCTGCAGCCAATCGTTTCTGTTCATGTGTTTGATGGCTTTTGTTTCTGTGTTTATTGTTCTTCTCTAGGCTCTGAGCTTCTTGATGGTCAGGATCGTCTGTCTTGCTCATCTCTGGGTCCTGGCTCCCAGCATGGGGCCTGACACACAGTGCGTGCTCACCAGATAGAAAGTGCACACAACCCATAGATCCAAGGCACATGACACTCGTCTCAAGGCAAAAGAGAGGTGCATTTTGCACCGCGATACAAAGATGGATGAAAATTTCAGACATACCAAAGATTTAGAAACACACACACACACACAAAGCTGTAAGCATGCAAGAGGAAATTGTCCATGAATATTTATATAAGCTTAGGATGATAAAGAACTTTCTAGGCTCAAATTCGTGTGGACAAGGATATTTATTGCATCATTATTTATAAGAAGATGAAAATGACAATAAAGTCCATCGATAGAGGATTGGATAAATCATGGCTCTCCATAGAATGGAATACTATGCGGCCTTGAAAATGATGGGCATTTGTTGATGTTGCAAGAAGCCATGTTGCTTGTTGAATGTTAAACTTGTTCATCAGAAACAAGAGATAAGTGAAAGGTATAATTGATTGTCAGAGAGAAAACACAAAGGTAAAAATCTTTCAAGTCTCATTTATTTATTCATTCACTGAAAAAACTTTTTTTTTGTTGTTCCCTCTGCCTCCTCCCTACTTCACATAGGTCATAATTCCAGAAGCTGGAGCAATGTGTGATCAGGACACTGCCCCTGTCCTCACAGGAAGCCCAGCTTACACACAGAGGTGAGTATAAGGAAGACAGTACTCACCGGTAAGGGTCTCAGGGTGGTCACCTGGGCGAGGGCCTCATGAAAAAGGTGTCAGTCAAGCCGAGATTTGGAGAAGGGGCAGAGTTTGAGTACACAGATAAGGAATGAGGCATTTTAAAAGGCAGAAGCTGGGTGATACCAGACAAGCACAGAAAGCCCCTGCATTCTTCATCAAACTCTTACTGAACCCCACCATCTGTAGGAGAGGGAGTTTATAGGAGCTAGGCCAAGGCCCAGATTCTGGACTGAATTCTGCCAAATGTACTGGGAGGAGGCATTTGGGGTTGTGATCGTACCATCCACAGGTGTACAGGTGAGAAAGCATCCTCCCAACCCTGACTCGTGCACCCCGAGAGCACCAGCTCCACAGAGAAGGCAGGGCTGCGGCAGGTGCACCTGCCTGGCAGGTTGGATGACTGAGGCTTAGCAAGGCAAATCCAAGGCTGTGAGACCGGATTCCAGGTGCAGTGCTCTTGCCGTTGCAATAAATATTCAGGTGGAGGTATTTAATGTGGGTTGGAGGGGGTCCCATCGCTGTGGCCCCTCTGCTCAGCTCCTTCTGGTGTGGAGACAAGAAGGGCCTCTGCACCATGAAGAAACTCAGCATTTTTTTAGTTCTTTTTTAATTTTTCAGATTCTGAGGCAACGTGATGGTTACGGTTCAAAACAAAGAGAGATGACTCAGCTTCCTGTGGAGAAGCTGCAGCCTTTTGCAAATGATCTTTCAGTTTTAATGCTTCTCTCTTCTTATCCATGGAGGCAGCTTGTCCAAGCTGCTTGTTTTCTTTTTTCTTTTCTTTTTTCTCTTATTTATTTATTTATTGAGACAGGGTCTCCCTCTATTGCCCAGGCTGCAGTGCAGTGGCATGAGCATAACTTACTGCAGCCTTGAATTCCTGGGCTCGAGAGATCCTCCTGCTTCAGCCTCCCAAGTAGCTGGGACTACAGGCATGTGCCACCACACCCTGCTAATTTTTGTGTTTTTTCTTTTTTTGTAAAAATAGGGTCTCACTATGTTGCCTAGGCTGGTCTCTAACTCCTGTCCTAAAGCAATCCTCCCGTCTTGGCCTCCCAAAGTGCTGGGATGACAGGCATGAGCTATGATGTTACTTGTTTCCTTGTTGTTCAGCTGTTCCCAGGGTGAGGGGCAGGGACAATGGCCAGGCTCTGTGGCCAGAATGCCTGGGTTTGAATCCTGGCTGTACCCTTAGATCTTGGCCAAACTTAGATCCTCTCTGAGCCTCTGTTTACTAATGTTAAGATGGGAATAATAGTTCCCTCCTGGTGGGGTTTTTGTCAAAGCAGCTGTCATCGATGGAAAGTGCCTGGTCTGGTCCATAAATATCACTGTTAATAGCCAACAGCCACCATGCTGAGGTTCTACTGTGCTTTGATGATCTCATTTAATCCTCACACTTGCACAAAACAAGTTCCCCTTTTACAGATGAGGAAGTTGAGGCTCACAGCAAGGAGTCAACTTCCATCTTCTTATTGATGAGGGTCAGTGCACACAGCCCAGGCAAACTCACAATTGAATCATTATAAGCTTTGTCCTTTGATTTTCACTACAGTAGCAACCAAGCCCATATCAGCCCCTTGCTGTCTTTATTCACAAAACGGGGACAAATCTTCTGAGATTGCTGAGATGTTCCAGCCAAGGTTTACCAAAAACAATTCTGTGAAGGACTCAGGAACCTCCCATCCTATCACATCATTGCTTCCTCCAGGGCAAGGAGGAACCCACAGAGAGCTGAGCTCTTCCTGTGCAACATCCCAAGGAGAGACCAGAAGCGAGTCAGGAAACCTCCTTAAGTCAATAGAAAACACCAAAGCTGAGAGGGTGTGAGCTTACGCAAATAAAAAGAACAGGGCTTTAGGCCAGGTACAGTGGCTCGCGCCTGTAATCCCAACACTTTGGGAGGCCGAAGTGGGTGGATCACATGACGTCAGGAGTTCGAGACCAGCCTGGCTAACATGGTGATACTCCATCTCTACTAAAAATACGAAAATTAGCCAGGTGTGGTGGCACATGCCTGTCATCCCAGCTACTCAGGAGGCTGAGGCAGGAGCATCACTCGATCCTGGGAGGCGGAGGTTGCAGTGAGCCGAGATCGCGCCATTGTACTCCAGCCTGGGCAACAAGAGCGAAATTCTGTCTCAAAAAATACTCAAAAAAAAAAAAAAAGGCTTTAAAACCACCTATTATCCAAATGGCCACCCTGCACCATGATATTAACCCTGGGACTCTCGAACCTTTGTCCTAGAACCAACTTTTTTTCTTAAATGCAGTGCAGGTGAACATAAGGTAACCCACAACAGCCCAAACCCAAGCTTCCACGCCCCCTTCCCTCACATCACCCTGAAGCATATGCTGACAGAGCAACCTTAATAGTAACTGACTAATTTTAAACCCTGTGATTACCAGGGTTGATTTCCATGGAACCTTCCTTTCACAGTACTGAGAACCTCTCATGAGCAGTAATTGCCAAGTTCAATTTTAGCTCTGTCATGCCCAACCATCAGTGCTAACTAAGGCAGCTGCTTCATCGCCAGGTAAGCTGGTAATGAAGTCGGCTTCACAGCTTAATTTCACAATATTGTGATGCCCCCGTCAGCACCTGTTAAGTGCTGCGAAGCTGCAAGCTTCTATTAAACAAATCTCACGCAAGGGAAGTGACTAAAGCCGCTTTGCGCTTCTAAGGTGCCCTGGTCTACATCCTCATGCCCACTGGGATTTTGTGTTTGCTTAATCCCATGTGCCTCGTCTCTGCAAAGCACTGACCACTAAAGTGCCACACCACACCCCTAGGGTGCCCTGATAGCTGCCTCATCCTCTGCAGTCACCTCTTCTCCCTCCATCCCTGCGACTCTGGCTCAGCCTCTCACCCTTCTGGCCTGGATCCCCATAGCAGCCCCTTAGCTCACCCTCCCCCATTTATTTTCCAGGCCAATTAGTAGAGTTTTCCTGGGGGAAAAAAAAAAAGTTGCCAGGTGCGATTGCTCACACCTGTAATCCCAGCAATTTGTGAGGCCGAGATGGGAGGATTGCTTGAGATCAGGAATTCAAGAGCAGCCTGGGCAACATATCGAGACCTATCTCTGAAAAACAGACAAAAAAAAAAAAAGCTAGCTGTGCATGGTGGCGCATGCCTGTAATCCCAGCTACTCAGGAGCCTTATGCAGGAGGATCACTTGAGCCCAGGAGTTCAAGGCTGCAGTGAACTATAATCATGCCACTACACTTCAGTCTGGGTGACAGAGTAGGACACCAACTCTTCAAAAAAAAAAAGTGACGTCCCACCATTTAAAATCCTTCCACGGCCCCACTGTCCTCAAGGTAGAAAGTCTTCACATTGTGTTTTCTTTCAAGGTTCCTGATTGAGCTCTGCACCAAGCTCCTAGACCCAATGCCCCATCCCTCAGCCACACTGTCCCAGGGACTTGCCTGCAGTACCCCAAGCCCCATACACCCCTGGACTGCACTATCCAGATGAACAAGTCCCATGACTTCATTTTCCCTAAGGAAAAATGTCTCATACAGGGCATGACTCCCTGCCCTTTAACTACAGAAGGAAACCTCTGCAGCATATCTGAGCATATCCCTGTGGTCACTCAGCAGCAGCACCGACTGAATCACATAAGCACCCCATAAGACACTCTTGGGGTGCTTAGTAAGCATCTACTCTGTGCCAGGCACTGGTACTTTCTGTCATCTCTTTAATCCTTAGACAATCTAGCAAAATGAAATGAGTTGTTTTTCTTTTTGGGTGTGCCAACAGGCTCAGAGGAGTTAAGTAAGCTCTTGAGGCCACACAGCTTCTAAGCTGCAGGGTCAGTTTAAACTCATGTCTGACTATACGAATGGTCTCACCAAATGAACCCTCGCTTATCTTCCAACCTCACCGCACATATTCATTTGTGGGACTTACACAATGCCACATTCCAGCCTCATGTTGTTAAAATGCCTCACTAGTCTTGGCATCCGTCCTACTCTTATACAGTTCCCATCCCCTCCCCCTGGCTGGGTTCTGGCAGCAGAACTGTACTTTGAGTGCAGTGGAGCATGCTTGGGCTGACTTTGTGCTAACTTCAGCTTTTGCCCAGAAATTGGCGGAAGCTAGACCAAGGTTTTGCCCTTTCTTCTTACTCAACTCCTCCAGTCCCAATATGATGAAATCCCTATGCAAACCTTACCACAAATTAAGTAGATGCAATTATTATCCCCATTTCACAGAGGAGGAAACTGAGGCATAGAGAGGTTAAGTAACTTACTAGATGTGCACAGCTAGTAATTGTCACAGACAGAATTGGAACTAAGGTCCTAGGACCTAACGTGCATGCACAGCACCACTATGCTATGCTGTCCCTGAGTCACTGATCTCCTCGTTTTACAGATAAGGACACTGGGGCTCCAAGAGACAAGGGGGTTACCCAAGCTGGGGCTTTGGCATCCTGTCTGGATGGCTGCAGAGGCAGGTGAAGCCAGCGACTCCAGGAAGCTCCACCCTCAACTTCCAGCTAAGGCAAGACCATGCTTCTAGAAGCGAGGGCACCTGTCCACTCCTGCCAGAGCTGCACAAGGAGGCCATAAGGCAGAAACACAAGGGCTGGAAAAACCCCCTGGCCTTCAAAGCTGCCTCAGATGCCCCTCTACCACCCCTGGACCCATTGTGCTGGGGGCAGGCGTCACAGACCAGTCACCCCCTCAATGCAGGGAGCGACAAATGCTCTTTGCCTGCCATGTGGTGGCTGGGCCTCCAGTTCAGCTAAAGCCAGTGTGGAAATAAGTCCTGGGGCATGAAGATGCAGGTTCGAATGCCAGCTCTGTCAAATACTAGCTGTGAATCCCGGGTAAAGAGCTGAGGCTCTCCGTAAAGTGGGATATTAATGCCACCACCTCGCTGGCCATCTGAAGACTGAAGGCGCTCACAGGCTCAGCGCCCTCCCTCTCAGAGTAGATTTGCTGCCATTTCAGTGCCCACATCCAGCAGTATCCTGATAACTCCTAGTGCACCCATCAGGACATGGGGCAGGAGCCAGGATTGCTTCAACTTATCTCATTTGAGACGTGCTTTCCGGGACAAGCATTTTACTATTAAGTAATAATAAAATCTGAGGTTGAATGGAAACCCAAGGTCAGGACTGAACTTCTCAGTCCTACCTCAGGCAGGAGGGGAGGACTAAGGGGTCCCGGTGGGTCATCCCACAGCGGGTGGAGTTGTGAGTGGGGCCCGCATCTGTGCCAGGCCCTTCTCCTGGCCATCACTGGGACAGGCTGCCAGTCCACATGACATATCCCGGTTGCCATGGTTTCTATTTATTCTGGGGAAGAAAGTTCCACTGACATGGGTCCTGGTAAGAGGAGAGTTTGCTTCACTCCACCGTGCAGTCACTGGGGTGCCCGCATTGTCCACAAGCATTAGACTGAAGGTGCTGAGGTTAACAGCCCTCAAAGCTTCCTCTTCACTTGACCCAGGGAGGATGGGAGCTGGCCCTATTTCCAGGTGAGAAAACGGAGGCTCAGGACTGGGCAGCTACTTGCACGGTTTCATGGAGACATTGGCAAGAAGCTGGAACCCACACTCCAGACTCCTCCCATTTTTCCAATCTGTGCTGGTTCATTTATGATCATGATTCTGGCACCCAGTGATGCTAGGCCTTTTCCAAAACCACAGCCCCTGATCTGCCTTCAGAGAAGCTGTTGAAGGCTCCAGGGACATCAAAGGCTGCTTATGGGACTGGGCAGGCAGATCCGCATGGGGACTCGATGCTGCGGTCGCCCCCAGGATGGCCCTCCCAGCCCTGCACATGGACGTAGAGGCTGGCTTAGGGTTGGAGACCTGGGGTGTGGCTGGGGAGGGTCCCCAAGTCATTCCTCTGTGCACCCTCCCTACGGGCCTCCCCAGCATCTGATCACCTCATTCTCAGTCCATGGTTCAAAGACCACCAGCCAGCAGGACTGAGTCCAAAACCCCTCACTTCCCTCACACACCAGTCCCTCCCAAATCCTCTGCAACTGACCCCTTCCTTGCTTCCTCCTCCCCCTTCCTCAAACTGAACTCTGTGCCCACAACACCCTTCCCAATGCTCAAATCCCTCCTGGGTCTCCTCTCCCAGCCCACAAAACCCAGGAGCTGCCCGTGGGAAGGTTATCAGCCACCTCCCTCCTGAGACTGCATCGCACGGAAATGCTCAGGGGACCTTTGCGAACCAGAAGTTCCTTTCCCAGCCCAAGGTTGCCGACACTTAAAAGAAACTGGCACTTTCTTGGAGTGGTCAAGTGTGCCAGGCCCCTCCTTCCACAGGACCTTCGCGCGTGCTCTTCCCTGCCTGGAATGCTTCCCCCGTGCCCATCATCTAGCAACTCCTAGTCTTCCCACAGTCCCCCCAGAGCTCTCTGTTGCCTGGTCTCCCGGCCCTGTGTGGCTCTCCTTCATCACACCTGTTCTGCTTTAGTTATGTTTCATCATGTGATTATTCACTGGCTAGACTAGAGGCCACATGCCCACAGCACAAGGCCTGTCTTGTTCCCTGCCACAGTGCCTGGCACACAGCAGGGACTCGATGAATGTCTGCTGTCTGAAGAGTGGGGGCAGCTGTGTAGATTACAAAGATGACCACTAATCCTAATCATAGCCTCCTGTCCTGCATGCATGCCCTTGGCACCGTGAGGCTGCCACTCCTCTCATCATCTCTCTCTTTATGCTTTGAATATGGGCTTGGCCATATGCTTGTATTTGACAAATGGGACAACAACAAAGGTGACACAAGCAGAGGCTTGAAAAGCACCAGGACACTGGGGTTTGCTCTCTCTTGATGCACCAGGGAGCCTGGGAGCCCCAGGTGCACATGCCCGAGCTAGCCTGCTGGAGGACAGGAGGTCATGTGGGGAGCTGAGCCAACAACCAGCCAGCCCCCAGCCAGCAGCATGCAAACTGCCAGCTGCACGAGGGAGGCTGTCCTAGATCACCCAGCTCCCAGGCCACTGGCCAACTGACCATGATGCAGGGAGGGAGAGCCTGTAGAGACAACCAGCCTAGCCAGGAAGCCTTGCAGCCAACCCATGGAATCATGAGCTTAATGAAATGGTTATTGTTTTAAGCCATTAATTCTGGTGGCTTACTGTGAAGCAATACACAACCAATACAGGAGCTAATATAAGAGCATTTGCGCTGATAATACTCACAGCCAAAGAACATGTGTCTGGTCTACTCAACATCAAGTTGAAAACAACAAAGCCTCTTGGGGGCTGGGAAGCAGCTGGGATCAGGAAAGTTCAGACCCTGAGTTTGAGCCTGCTGGCCTATGACATTGCCTTGAGCTGGGACAAGGTGGGCACTCACCTCTGTGGGTAGGTCTGCCTGTCTCTACCAGTGGGAATGACAAGACGCCATGCCAAGGCTTCTCAGGTTGATGGTCTGAGTCTCAATGAGGAACACATGAAAGGGTCTCCAAAAGGAAGCTAAAGACCCCTGTGCATGCAAGAATATGTGGTGCAGAATAAAGACCATGACTTCAGAGCTAGACGGATTCAGGTTCACGATCCACTCTGCTTCTTTTTTTTTTTTTTTTTTTTTTTTTGGGATGGAGTTTCACTCTTGTTGCCCAGGCTGGAGTGCAATGGCATGATCTTGGCTCACTGCAACCTCCTCCTCCTGGGTTCAAGCGATTCTCCTGCCTCAGCCTCCTGAGTAGCTAGGATTACAGGCATGCACCACCACACCCAGCTAAATTTTTGTATTTTCAGGAGAGACAGGGTTTCACCATGTTGTCCAGGCTGGTCTCGAACTCCTGACCTCAGGTGATCCACCCACCTCGGCCTCCCAAAGCGCTGGGATTACAAGCATGAGCCACCCCACCCGGCAGATCCACTCTGCTTCTTACAGGCTGTGTGACCTTGGGCAAGTTTCTCTGAGCTTCAGGTATCCCATTTGTGACATGGTTAATAGTAATACATAATTTGCAGGGCTGTTGTAGGGGTTAAATAAGATAGTACACAAAAGACACCTAGCACAGTGCTTGGCACATAGTAGGTATTCACTGAACAGTAGTTCCTCCTCGTCCCCGCCCCAACTCCACTGGTACCTTTCATTCGACCATCTTATCCCCACATAGCAGCTTAGCACTAACAGTTTCCATGTTTGATATCAGCATATCGTGCCAGGTTCCAAGCTGTGACTATAGCTTATATAACATCCTACGCAGGAGAGGCTTACAGGGAAGATGGCGGAGAAAGAGTTGGATGTTCCCAGCTTTGACTGGGAGAGAAAACTCAGGCCACAGAGGTGGGGACAGAGCAAAGAAGACTGAAAATAATTCAGAACCGAATCCTCCCCACAAGGTCCTGACGCACCCCAAGCCCAATCTGTCTTCATCTGGGATAATGATTTGTGCTCCTTCCTCCATTCACCCCCAAGGCACCAGTGCACAGAATGGGGCTGGCTGCATGGGAAGGGTAGAGAAGGAAGGCTCACCACAGTGGCCAGACACCCAGCTGTCACTAAGATTCCTGGACAGAGCATGATTCCAGGGATGCTGTCGGCAGCTTAGCCTGGCCTCTGCCCCACAAAACACTTACAGCAAAAATAGATGACCCCTGTCTGGAGTAGCCCAAATGTCCAAAAAATGGTCTACAGAAAGGGTCCAGGATGGACTCCACCCACCCCAACACACACCCCCACATACACACACACACACACACACACACACAAACACACACACAGATGAAGTCTGAATCCAGGGAGGGTGGACAATGTGGAGAAGCTGGCTCAGAGTTGGGATGGGAAGAGGGTCCCAGGACAGAGGGCATGACACTGCACCATCACGCCTGCCCCAAAGCCCTCCATGGCTCCCCATACAGAATCCAAACCCCAGAGCCTGGTAGTCAGTGTCCTCCCAGCCCCCTCTACACGAGCCTCTGCCCATCCAGTCAGGTCTGCAGTAATTCCCAAGGCCTCCAGCTCCCCTCCCCTTTCCACACACCCCCTCCCTATGTGGTATGGTCCCTTAGGAAGAGAAAGTATGTTCCTGGCAAGCAGGCTTGGGTTCCAATCCCACTGTGACCCCGGCCCAGTGCCCTCACCTCTCAAGCCTCAGCTCCTCACCTGCACGGTGGAGGTGGCTTTCTACATAGGATTGTTGTGAAGATTAAATAAATAACGTAAGTGAAATACCCATCCTGTGATGGATGCTAAATAAATGCCTCTGCCTTTCCCCATTCCTCTATGTTCTCCTCCTATGCTTCTTGGAGGTCCCACCTAAAGTTTCCCTCTGCCAGGAAGTCCTCCCTGAACACTGCAGGCCTCAGTGGTAATTTCTGCCATTTCTGACTGAGGGCAGGTCTCTCTCTCTCTCTCTCTCTCTCTCTCTCTCCTTACCTTGGGCTCTGAAATAAGAGCTGCCTCTTCCTGTGCAGACCCTCCCCCCATCCCCACCCTCACCTTCCATCACAGCCTGAGGACCAGAACAAAGGACCAACCAAACCATCACCTTGTGAACCTGCAGCACACGCAGCTCCCAGAAAGGAGAGGCGGCCACCCCAGGGGACACAGCAGAGTCCACATCGGAGCCCGAGTCCTGCCTCCCAGTCCACCCTCCTCAAGGCCATCCTCAGGCAAAGATACTGTGACTGGATGACCACGAGTTCCACCCAGAACCCCTCTTTCAGGCTGTGCACCCACACCCCGGGGGCTGAGTGCTGATGCCCACAGCTGCCCACAGCTGCTCCCTCTGGAGAAATACCTGCTGGGAGGTGGCACAGGAGGCATGATACCTCTCCCTGTCCTGGGCAGCCCATGGCCAATGACTAACTGACATGTGGGCTGCAGAGGCAACACCCCAGCCTCCAGGTGGGACCCGCTTTCTCGTAACATCCCTGCTCCAGGGCCTTCCCCCTTTCTCCTGCAATCACTCCCCACCAAACCTCTCGCACAAGAACCCTCGTCTCAGGCTCTGCTTCTAGAATCTCAGCCTAACACAAGCGCCTTGATTCTCAAAGCATGGCCCCCTGAGCAGCAACATCTAGCCCTTGTTAGAAATGCCAGATCTCTGGACCCGCCCCAGACCTACTGAATCAGAATCTGCGTTCTCACAAGACCCTCATGTGATTCAGGTGCTCTTCAGTTTCAGCTGCGCTGGCCTGAGGTAGGCAGTCACCAGCCCTCTGTGGGGATCAGCCAACTAACCTGGGTATTAACCACACCAACCACTCTGTCATGGCAATCGTATTGCTAATGTGCATGTTATCTGCTATGGTCTGAATGCTGTGGTCCCCCCAAAGTTCACATGTTGAAATCCTGATGGTATTGCAGCTACAGAAATGAGCTAGGTAACGGAGACATTCACCACCTGTGGGGGTCAACGTGGTCCCCTTTGCTCCAGGTGAGTGTGATGCCCAACTTTACCCAGGTAGAAGCTTCTCACCCTTCTGTTGAGCTCTAAACTCTAGTGAACTTACTTGGTCACTAGAATTCTGTTTCTCTTTGGTGCCCCAGGGTCTGCGTTAGTCAATTATAGCCTTTGCCTCTACTTCCTTCTTGAAGGGACTTTGCCCCTGCCACCAGACAGCCAGGAAATGTTCCCCAAAAGCAACCCCGGGGAAGGTGTTAGAAAGAGGGGCAGATGAGATTTGTCCAGGCCCCTGGAGGATGCACGGAGGGAAGCAAGGCCCACTGATGTCTCTGCTTAGAGGAAGAAGCCGCTGACCTGCCCTCAGTCAGAAATGGCGGGGGGGGGCAGCAACCCCTCTCCAACCCCTTGCCTTCACCCAACCCAGGGTGCGGGCCCCCAATCCTGGTGTGAGCCCCTCAAAGCCCCTCCGAGGGGATGTCCATGACCTTTGCAAAACTAAATGCAATAACCAAGTCCTATGTGCAGAGAAGACCCCAGGGCCAGCCCCAAAGGCTGCAATAATCCAGACGTGTGTTTGGACAGGAGGCACCCTGCAAAGCTCCGTCAACTCTGCCTGTCGCCTGAGGAGGGAAGCGGTTCACCTTTTGCTAATCGTCCTAATTCATTTTTTATTACTAACTTCCCTGTTTTCTATTTGCTGTCTGATTGAAGATATTACCGAAGGCATTTAAACAGCATCAGACCGTACCACAATGGCAAACATAACTCTTTTTATTGAAATCTGCATTAATATACATATAAGTCCCTGAGATCACAAAGACCTCAGGGTCCACATGCTAGACCCTAAATGAAGGCAGATTTGGCAAGAGATATACACAATGGAAGGGTGTTCCGAAGGTAATAAGCTGTGCCAGGAGGGCAGGATAAAATGGGCACTTTCTCATGCTTCTGGTGAGTGGTGATGACCCTTTTGGAAAATGACAGGTCAGCAGAAATCAGGAGCCATAAAAATGCTCACTCTTTTTTGACCCAGAAATTTTACTTCCTGAGTCTTCTTTGATACCCCACTCTCCACCATACCCCAGATCCAACTCATCCCCAAACTGCATACATCTTCCCTCCTGTTACCTCCCACGCCCTTACTTCTCTTCATTTCCACTCCACCACCACAGTCCAAGCCAGAGTGGACCAACAGAACTTTCTGCAGGGATGGAAATGTCTGTATCTGCGCTGCCCAATAGGGGCTAAAATACCCACATGTGGCTAGCGAGTACTCGAAATATGGCTAGTGTGAATGAACTAAATTTTGTTTTATTTTCCTGTATTTTCAATGAAAAGAGCCACACACGGCTACTGGCTACCTTACTGGATAGCATGGCCACAAGCCATCATCAATTCTCCCCTGAGCCACAGGCACCACCTCCCAACTATTCTCCTGCCTCCACTCTTGCCCCGTCCAGTATTTTCCCCCACAGAACAACTGCAAAGATTCTTCTAAAACGCAGCACACCTCCAGGACTCCCACTGCTCTTAAGTCAACGTCCAAGCACCCAGACATGGCCTCTGAAGCCCATGTCTCCTATGGACATTGGGCAGCCCAGCCCCAGGGAGCCCACAGTGTCAGAGATGCCAGATGGGAAGGGCAGGAGCACAGGGGAGGATAGCAGTGAAAGCCTCCAGGAGGGGGTGGCGCTTGAGCAGAAATTTAACAGACGTGTATGTTTAGCGAGGCGTGGTGGCACATGCCTGTAGTCCCAGCTACTTGGGAGGCCGAGGTGGGAGGATCGCTTGAGCCCAGGAGTTGGAGACCAGCCTGGGCAACATGGTGAGACCCCTTGTCAAAAAATTTAAAAATTATCAGGTGTGGTGGCCTGTGCCTGAAGTCGCAGCTACTCAGGAGGCTGAGGCAGGAGGATCGCTTGAGCCCAGGAGGTCGAGGCTGCAGTAAGCCATGTTTGTACCACTACACTCCAGCCTGGGCAATAGAGCAAGCCTCTGTCTTTTAAAGAAAAAAAACATAAAAGATGTATGTGTAGGAGTTTGCCTGGTGGGTGGGAAACACTAAAACCAGAGGCCTGGCAGTCAGAGTCGCTCTGAAGGCTCCACCCATGAGCAAACGACAGAGATTCCCCACACTTCCAAAGCCGACATTCTAGTGAAGGGGATAGAGGAGGGAGGAGAGAAGGACATAAACAATAAACATCAGGAATAGGTAGAAAGAAAGCGATGGGTAAGGGGCTTCCAGAAAACCATGGTAGGGCAGTGCAGTTTGCAAGCCTTGAGTATTAAGAAGGCAAAGTGTCAAACACTGCCCTTGAATCTGCACCGTGGGATCATAGCAGGTGATTTCCCTCATTTCCTAAACTTTTTGGCAGGTAACATAGTGTTCATAATTTACAGTTTAATTTTTTTAAAAAAGAAGAGTGATAACTTCAGGAGAGAAGCCACCAAAAAGTCCTGCTTGCTCAACAGAAACATTCCCATGGGCTGGAGAGAGATTTTATTATCTCCGAAGGCCAGGCCAACTGTGCCCCAGATACCCCAGCCCAAGCAACTGGGAGTGACGCCTCCCTCCTGACAAAGGCAAGGTCATCATTCCCAGGGAGATGGGAAGGGGACAAAACAGGGGCTGCATCTGCCAGCCTTGCCCCAAAGGGTCAAGCATTGATTAAAAGCCATGAGGACAAGGATTTCAAACATCATCCCTCTTGAGTCATATCTCAACTTTCCTCCTTGGACTCAGCTAGAGATGGGCCTGGCATGTTTCTACAAGGAGAATTATAGAATTCACATGGATTAACACTTGCAGGCCCCAAACACTGTGTCCCTCACATATATGTGTTTAATCCTCCTGGCAACAACATATAAACAGGGTAAGTGAGGCCCAGAGAGGGTGAGTGGATTATTCTTAGAAACACAGCCTGGGCTATGTTACGGTGGTCATCTCTGAAAAATATAACCTGCCTCATTCATTCATTCAATCTTTCAACAACTTTTTACTGAGCACCTACTATAGGTCAGACACCATGGGGATGCAATGGTAAACAAAATAAGCATGAGCCTATTGCTTCTTAAAGTTTATTATCCTGAAGGGGGAGCAACCAAGTAATTTCACAGATATATGATGCCACGAAGAAAAATACTCAGAAGCAGCTGGGCGCATTGGCTCACGTCTGTAATCCCAGCGCTTCGGGAGGCCGAGGCGGGTGGATCATGATGTCAGGAGATTGAGACCATCCTGGCCAACATGGTGAAACCCCGTCTCTACTAAAAATACAAAAAGTAGCCGGGCATGGTGGTGTGTTCCTGTAATCCCAGCTACTCGGGAGGCTGAGGTAGGAGAATCACTTGAACCTGGGAGGTGAAGGTTGCAGTGAGCTGAGATCGCACCACTGCACTCCAACCTGGGCAACAGAGCGAGACTCCATCTCAAAAAAATAAAGAAACAAATAAAAAATTAAAAAATAAAAATACTCAGAGGCTATGGTAGACAAAAAGAAAGACAACTGCACAGATGAGCAGGTCAGACTCTGGGAAGACGAGGATGAAGCTGAGGTCAGAGGCTGGGCAGGAGCCAGCCATGTAAAGAATGAGGGCAAGAACATTCCAGGCAAAGGGAACAGCATGTGCAAAGCCCCTCAAGCGCAAAAGAACAGGGTGGGGGGATCTGAGAAATAGCAAGAAGGCCAGGTGACTGGAATGGAGTCACTGAGGGGGACTGACTCTGACTTTGCTCATCACCATGTCCCCAGCATGAAGCCTGGTTCCTGGAACAGAGGCTGGAAATGCAGGCAGAGGCAAGCTCACGTGAGGACTTATGGGCCAAAGGAGTTGGATGTTATCTACTCACCAGGGCAAAGCACTGGAAGGCTTTAAGCAGAAACCTAAGAAGATGTGATTTAGGTTTGTAAGAGTTCATCAAGCTACAACAGAAAGCCATTGAGCAGCTTTGTGGGGGTTTTTTTCCCTGTTTTTGTTTGTTTGTTTGTTTGTTTGTTTTTGAGACAGGGTCTCACTCTGTCGCCAGATTGGAGTGCAGTGGAATGATCTCAGCTCACTGCAACCTCTGCCTCCAGGGTTCAAGTGATTCTTCTGCCTCAGCCTCCCAAGTAGTTGAGATTACAGGCACGAGCCACCATGCCCAGTTTTTTTGTTGTTGTTTTTTTTTTTTTTTTTTCATATTTTTAGTAGAGACAGGGTTTCACCATGTTGGCCAGGCTGGTCTTGAACTCCTGACCTCGAATGATCCACCCGCCTCTGCCTCCCAAAGTGCTGGGATTACAGGCGTGAGCCACCACGCCCGGCCCCACTGAGTAGCTTTGTATGGAGAAGAGACAGGATCCAATTTACGCATCATAAAGACATTGATGGTGGCCACCATGGCTCCTCAGCTCATCCTGACCTTTGGTCACTGGATAGTAAATGTCTCCAAACTCCATGGAAAGCGAAGTTTCCCCAGCTGGCATGTGGAAGGCAAAGCAAGACAAAGAAGCGAATGACAGGGCGTGTTGACAGAGCGTCAGACAGAAGCATGGCCATAGGCAGATGAAAAATTGTCCCACAGGACACCTCGACAGGCCGTGACTTGCTGTTAGCATTGAGCCATTAAGAAAACACAATGATGTGCTTCGCTGATCCTGAAGGACGTAATCCAGGTCGGCATGCAGACATTTAGTGCTCCGTCCAAAGCAGCAATAAAGCGACCAACACAAGAGCAGCTGCAGGAAACCTGCACTGTGCAAGTGGGCGGCCAGGCCCTTCAGTGCTTTTTATTCCTTCTCTCATTTAAAATCAAAGCCTGGCTCTTAGGCATCTGTAGACAGATTTGGAAAGGGAATTGAAGCTAACTACACCAGGTGCTTAAACATACATCATTACCTCATTTAATTTCATAAACAAGTAAGCATTGCTCATCACATTTTGTATACGAGAAAACTGAAGTCAGAGATAATAAACAGCTTTCCAAATGCCCCTGGCTCCCTTCTTCAGCCTCACATCTTGACACTCTCAGCACCTTCTATGCCTTTGCATATGTTGTTCCTTCTACCTGGAATGCTTTTCCCTACCTTCTTCACTTGGCCAAGTTCTACTCACCTTCAAGCACAGGCAAGTGTCCCTTCCTCTGAGAAGCCTTTTCTGACTGTCCCCAGCCTAGCCTGGTGGTCCCACACTCCCCTGTGCTACTTCAACATAATGCTTACCACACACATTTGAAATTGTTTATTTCTGTCTCTCTAATAAGATCATGCTTCTCAAGGAAAAGGACCATGTCTTAATTACCTGTTCCTGCCTGGCACCTACCACAAAGCCTTGCATACAGCAGGCAGTGCATGCTCCTTGGATGGCTGTATGAAGGAGGGATAGAGGGAGGGAGGGAGGGAAAGAGGGAGGGAGGGAGGGAAGGAAGGAGGGAAGGAAGGAAGGATGGAAGGAAAGAAGGAAGGAAGGAAGAAAGGAAGGAAGGGGAAGGGAAGGAAGGAAGAAAGGAAGGAAGGAAGGGGAAGGGAAGGGAAGGGGAGGAAGGAAGGAAGGAGGAAGGAAGGAAGGAAGGAAGGAAGGAAGGAAGGAAATTAACTCTTCATAGGTGGCAAAGCCAAGAGCCAAGATTTGATCCCAGGCCAGTATGACTCCAAAGCATATCTCATGATGTGTGTGTGTGTGTGTGTGTGTGTGTGTGTGTGTGTGTGTGTGTGTGTGTGTTATATAGATCATCAGAAAATGTACACAGTGTGGAATATATTTCTGAGGACTCCATTCGTCCTTCCAAAAGAGATGCCAAAAATACCAGCCCACAGGGGAAAAAAGTAGGATGATGAATATGGGGGAAAGGGTTAACCAAACCCTTTTCCTTGTTGCAAGAGAATTTCACCTTTGTTAATTGCGGAGCATAACTCCCCTGGAAACCTGAGGAAAGTGGGACGTTAACTATGTTACCAGGCAACTCTGCTTATGGTAAAAATGACCCCTGATTGGTAAGTTGCATTTGAACTGGGAGGAACTATAAATAAGTTATAAATATCTGAAAAAGAAGCCATAATTTGGGTTTTCCTAGATGCAGAGAAATTTGTACCTGACATGTCCCTGGGTCCTTGAAGCTAAGCCTACGGAATTGTTACAATGGATATGGCAGCTGGGACAATAAGGCTTCTAAGCCAGGGTGGCTTCCACAGCCACCCATTGTGTATCTCATTCCTTTGCACTTGAACTAGATCCTGGGAGGGAGGGGGCAGCAAAGAGAATAGCTCCTGGCCACCTTCGTGGACCACTGCGGAGACTGTTGCAAGAATTACTTGTGCAGAAGAGAACAGCTCACGTGCCTTGCTGGCAGGCTGTGTCAGGCTGTGTCCCAAATCTTTCGAGGAGACTGGTGCCAAGTGTCCCCTGTGTTCATCTTGTGAGTCTGAATGTTTCATTGGTCCTTAAAAACTCCCTGTGGGAATTGCAATGAGAAAGAAGGGAACTGATACAGGAGAGAAAAGAGACAGCCCCAATGGGAACAAGCGCTACACCGATCCTGAACTGAAAAGCTCCTTAGACTGTACAGTGTATAAAGGCACTAAAACCTAGTATAGGGTCTATGCTCGCTGTTCTACAGAGGGCTCGGTTCACCTAAACAGTGCCTGGAGGAAGAAATGAGGGAGGGGAAGACTTACTTGCTCTCCCACAGACCTAACCACCAACCTGAGATGCAATTGTGATTATGTGAGGAAACCACGACTCAGAGAGGCTAAGTGACAGGTCCAAAGTCATACAGCTTATAAGTGTCAGGATACGAACCCAGGCACTTCCATCAAACTCAAAGTCACATTTGGATCCAACATCTGGATTTGCATAAAAATGAACTTCCATCTCAGGTGGACATAGAGAACAGAGAAAGCATGGGAGTGGGGGTGGGAGACCTTCCTAAATAATGTAAACAGGAAATATTTGCAGAATAAATGAGACATAAAGGGCCCAGGGTCCATCTTCCACATCATAAAGTTCAGTTCAAGCCAAAACACAGCATGATGAAACAATAAAATATATGCGTGGCATTGACCCTGGGTTATACTACTACTGAGTCGATTCATTTCCGACAAGTTTCTAAATCATTCCTGCAAATCAGGCCCAGCTTCGAAATAAGCACATTTTAATTAGCTGTAATGTAAAAAGCACTCTAGGACAAGGAGCCAGTGATACACTCTTCCACCCCTGCAGCAGGAGGAAGTGAGCTCCCCCTGGCACCCTGACAGCTGCAGAGCAAGCTCGGGCCAAATTCCAGCTCTGCCTAACAGCCCCCTCTGCCACCCTTCTGTTACTTGATTCATCTGGACCTCAGTCTTCTCACCTAAAAAAATGGGGACAAATGTGCCCAGCATAGTTCTTAGGAAAACTTAAGGCACATAAGAAAATAGGAAAAGGCTGGGATCAGAAACGTTATGAGACTGCTAGAAACTAAGAAGTCAAAGAAACAGACTGACAGCGAAGCCTGTGAGCACTAAGGAACCGGCACCCAACACCTAACTGAACCCCAGAACATTCCCAGAGAGAGGAAGCCTGCGCTGGGACCCCTGTGCCCGTCCAAAGCCCTGGGAGAAGCTGTTTGTTGGTTTTGCCCCCAGGCTAATGCCAACCAGAAGAATTCTCTAATTGAAATGAGAAATCTGCCTGGGAGACTCCCTCCTGCGGGTGAGCACAAGGCTGGAAAAAGTGCACCAGCGCCCTGGGGGTAACTGCTGGCCTACCCGAGGGACAAAGAGGCCCCCAAGGACTTCGTAGGCTCATCCCACACCGCAATAGAGTCTGCACTCACACACCACACACAGAGCGTTTCTACTCAACATCCACCCTGCCCACCCACGCAGTCACGGCTTTCACCCATGTTGAGGAAACTCACAACCACAGAACAGATCTAGATGCCCCCCTCCCATTTACAAATTTAAATGTCAACCGAGAATCACCAGGCATTTGTAGAAAATATCAGCATAAAAGAGAGGCCTAAAAGTGAACAGAAGAATCACCAATAAAACAGAGTTAAATGCAGGAAACAAAAGACCACTTTTTTAAAAATCGAATTACCATCTTCAAAGAGATTCAAGATAGTCACATATCCATAAAAGAAGAATAGACCACGATGATATGAGATCAATCAAGAAACTCAGAATTCTGGGAAAATAAAAAAATGATTCCAGAAATAAAAACAACGAATGTATTAAAAGTAAGGAACTGAAGAAAGGGTTTGATGGGAAGTACACCCTCCACTCCCTTTTCAGTGGACACCCCGGGACACAGGGCTGTGTGTGGAGAAGGGAGAGGGACAGAGAGTGAGAGGGACTTCACTTGTGTCTTTCCTCTTCTAAAATACTTCTGTGTGTCTTACAAAGAGCAAAATCAATTTTTAAAAAATAAAACAGTGGCAGGACTCAAGATAAAGAGGAAAATGGTAGAAAAATGAGGTGCAGTTGGGAGTGAGTTAATGAACAGTAGCCACACCACAGCAGCCTATGTTATGGCTACAGGTGACCCCTCCTTTGCCTCTGAGCTTCCTGGGAGCTCAGTGATGGTGAAAGGCAAAGCCAGAAACACTGACCTGCATTGAGGCTGGGCAGGGCAGATGGCCTCTTGTTGAACTAGACAGGACTCCAGCCCAAAGAGAAAGCCCTGGCTCTTGCCCAGAGGTGACCTCCTTAAGCATGGCCCAGAAGCTCCTTGGAGACCCATCTGGAGTCCTCCCTAACACACAGGAAGATATGTGACAGCTCAGTGCAAGGACTCTGGAATCCCACCCTGGAGCATCTAAGAGCATCTTTGAGCCCCTAAAAACTCCATTAATTACCATTTGTCTTCCCTTGGACCCAAAAAGTAACTATCCTGCCTTTCCTACGCAGAGCAGATGACACATCTCTCTCACTTCATGAGACAAAGAAGAACCTTGAGCAAGTGAGTGACCATCACTAAAAGTCATCCACATGCTGGCCCTTGATTTCCTGGGAAATCTCCCTGAGATGGTCACAGTGGTACTCTCCAGCCCTCTTCCATATGCTCATCCCCCAACCTCAGGAATATCAGCGGCTGGGCTTGCAGCTCGCCCTTCAATGGGACTGCCCTCTACTGCAGTGAACTCCTTCACCCAAGGGAACTGCCTGCTGTTCATTTTTAGGCCTCTCACTTATGCTGAAATGACCAGATGATGCAGAAATCAAAGGCTTGGGCAGTCCCCTCACCTCCATCTGGGGCAACACTAAAGAGCCACCTTAGCGCCACAGCTCCCTGTGGGATGGCGTTCTTCAGAACCACAGGTCAGGCCAGGCCAGCTTCTCCCCGGCCCAAGCACGTTTCCTCCTGTGTCCCCTGCAGGTGCACCCCTTCCGCCCACCTCACCGCAGAGAACTTCCCCACATAAACCTTCCACGAGCAACTCTCCATCTCAGAGTCCTTTTCCAGGCAACCCAATGTGAGACTTTCCCCATGGTGAAGAAGACTCTCCCCACAACCCACCAAGGGGCTTGAGAAGGACACCTAACCATGTCCACACCGGGGCTCCATGCCCCAGGCCAGCAATACATCTCTACTGTCCTCAGTTAAGGCAGGACAATCCTGCCACGTTCTAGTCTAGACCAGAGGTTCTCTAAGTGTGGATCCCAGACTGGCACCATCAGCACCATCGACTTGCTAGTAGTGCTAACTTTCAGCTCCTCCCCAGGCCTGCTGAGTCAGAACTTCTGGGAGTGGAACACAGCAGTCTGTTTTAACTGTGCTCCAGGTGATTCTGGTGGGCTAAAGTTTGAGAAGCAGAGTATCTATCATGGGCTACTGGGGGAAATCAAATGCAAGTCATTAGACTTTCCCATCAGCAGAAGACCAAGAGACAGTCGTTGAGGATGGTCAGAATCCAGCAATGTGATGCATTCCATACTTGTGCACCGTACCCCTGGTTCCAGGCACAGTCCTCTACTTAAAGCCCCACAGGCTGGGGTGCAAGGCTCTTCATAACCATCTCTGCTGGTGTCCCAACTCCCACGCAGGCAGGTTTCCCCTCCTTAGGCTGACAGTATCCCCAAAGCACCCCTACAATGGCTGCTCCCTCTGCCTGGAACACCCCCCACCACTCTACATGCCCCCAGGCAGCCCACCTGGCATTCCTGTAAGACTGCCATTGTGAAACCTTCCCACACTCCCGGCATTGGCACTGCTCAGCCAATTTTATATTTAATTATTACTCTGCATTTTAAGCCAATTGATTACAAATCCACATAGCCATTCACCCAGTAAATAAAACTTTCCTCTGGAGTTACTGAGCCTCCAGGACAGGGCTGAATCCCCAGCACCCAGTAGGCACTCAATAAAAACCTGTTGAACATCTGAGAAACCCAGCAGTAAACAGGCCATTAAATATTGAAAAACCACAATCAGGTTGCTCATCCTGGCAGGCACCAGAATTAGCAACTGTACGGCAGCAAGTTTTAAATATCAGGGAAATTGATCAAAATGTATTATCCTGTGTCATACAACATCATTTCATTAAGATATAAAATTACAATTTACCACAACTCATTAGGTTAATAATCACTTACCATATGTTTTTACTGTTGCTCCCAAACCATGCTGAAAAATCATCCTGTAGGTTTGAATCCATGTAAATAAGATGACTGTCAACCCTGTGGATACAGGATTACTGAAGGGAGACAGTGGACTGAAGCCCTGGCCAGAAAGCACGGTGCCTGCTGTGGTGCTGCAATTCGCTTCACCACCATCTTCTAGTTTACCTGCGCTAAACTTTCTTCCCACATCACTGGTTCTCAACCAGGGGCAAAGTCTGGAGACATTTTTGTTGTCACGACTGGGGGCAGGGTGATGCTCTTGGCATCTACTAGGTAGGGGCCAGGGATAGGACTAAACATTCCGCAATGCATGCAGCAACTCCCACAACAATGTTATTAGGTCCAAAATGTCAATAGCGCCGAGGCTGGGAAACATCATTCTAGATTAGACAGAATTTCCATACCTATTACTTTAATCTGATCTTTGCAGCAACAATAGAAGGCAGGCATTTCTGTCCCCTTGTACAGATAAGAAAACTGAGACCTGAACATCTAAGTGATGTGCATGAGGTCACCTGCCCAAGCCAGTGGACTGGGCAGCTGTGATTTGAACCAATTTCTCTGCCTCCAAAACCCACTTTCTCTGCTGCACAGATTCAAGAAGGTAACAGAAGGTGGAGGAAATGAGCAACTCTCTCCCAATTCATAATCCTGGACACTCCAATAAGAGGCTCCTTCAACCCAGAGGCTCAGGAAAATCAGGTCTAGGGATCAAGACATGGAAGCATCCAGCGTTGGGACTGCCAGCAGCCCAGGGCCAGAAGTGGTGGCTCATGCCTGCAGTCCCAGCGCTTCGAGAGGCCAAAGCAGAAGGATCATTTGAGCCCAGGAGTTTGAGGCTACACTGAGCTATGATTGTACCACTGCACTCCATCCTGGGCAAGAGAGCAAGACTGTGTCTCTAGAAAAAAAAAAAGAAGAAGAAGAAGAACATGGCGGGGCAGCTGTGGAGCATCCTCCAGCAGCTGGTACAGAAAAGCAAGTTCCTCTCGCATTTTAACTTTCAGTTGGGCTGCTCTTTGTGGATGAAAATGAAAGCATTTCCTGCTGGGGCCAAGTGCTACACATACATGGTCTCCAACCCTCAAGCTCCAAAGGGGAGATGTCAATGTCCCCATTTTACAGATGAGGAGACTGAGTCCAGGGAGGTTAAATAACTTGCCTGCCCTGATGGTGGTGAAGGCAGTGTTCAAACCCAAGTCTGCCAGGTTCCAGAATCCATGATGCCTTCATATCCTGAGACCAACTCTAGGAAATCAGAGAAGCAAAATAGATTGCCCTACAGAATCACATGGGGCAAGGAGCCACACAGCAGGGGGACTGCTGGACCAAGGGGGAGGCACAGGACCTTGTCCTTCATGCAGGCTCAGCTCCTCTTCCCGCCTACAGGCTGCTCTGTGTGCCAGGCTCTGTCCTCCGAGCCCACTTGGGGAAGCTCCTCTAGGAATGGAAGGTCCGCCAAAGACTCTGTGCCTCTGCGGGGTCCTGCCCTGGCTCCTTGTGCCCCACAAAGTCTTCAGATGACAACAGCCAAACAGATGCTAAGTTCCTCAAGCCACAGGTTACAACTGCCAAGCCCTAGATTCATTCATTCATTCAGCAAATATTTGCTGAGCATCTATGTGTCAGGCTAGCGCTGGGAATACAAAAGTAAAGGCAGACACAGTGGTTCCTGTCCTCTGAAGGATAGCAGGCCCATCTCCTCAAAAAGCACCATTCCCACCAGCATTCCCTCCCAGTGCACCCTCCACAGTTAGAAATGACATTCCCAGCCTTTATTTCATTATATTTCCACCCCCACACCATCCCTCTAGGCTGATGGTCACCGGTTTGCCTTCCCTTTGCACACAGGGAAACAGAGGCCCAAAGAAGGGTGCTGACAGGCTCAAGGTCACCCAGCAGATCGGGGGCAGCAGTGCCAGGCTTGGGCTGCTGGTCCTGCCATGCAAACATCCTGGGGTCCTTCCTGGAGGAGCCTCCAGCACAGGTTGGGGGAGGAGCTATAGGGAGCATGTTTAGATGGAAAGTAAATGAGAGCTTCCTAGCAGAGATGCAGACATCCATCTAGCGTTCCCTGGGACCAGCCATCTCAGCTCTAAGCCCACCCATCCCAGGGTACCTTCCATGGGACCCATTAGCAGCCACCTGTGCCCCTGAAGAAAGGAGCTGTGGGAATCTCACCCACCAAGTATGCCGGGCAGGCCTCACATAGGTCAAGTCCAGATCAAGTCCATAGTTTAACCCCACTTCATGAATTTTTGTCAAAAAGAGTCCTCAATCATTCATTAACCAAGCTTGTCCAGATCTCATCCTTACAAGATGCTGTGCCCAGAGCTGTGTGGGTGGGAAGTTGAATCCTTCACCCACCAGCACATATTTACTGAGCAATTATGAGTCAGGCACGATGCCAGGTGCTGGGCAGAATTCCTGCCTGCCAGGAGCCCACAAAAGCCTGTACACAAACAACCAAACAACTGCTACACAAAGTGTGGTCCTTGGATCAGCAGTAACAACACCTGGGTAGCTCATTAGACATGCAAATTCCTAGGACCCCATGCCAGACCAACTGAATCCAATCTCTGGGGGTGGAGCCCAAGAATCTGTTTTTACAATCTCGCCAGACAAAAGACACGGAATCAACCCAAATGTCCATCAGTGTTAACCTGGATAAAGAGAATGTGGTACACATACACCATGGAATACTATGCAGCCATAAAAAGGAACAAGATCATGTCCTTTGCAGTGGCATGGATGGAGCTGGAAGCCATTATCCTCAGCAAATTAACATAGGAACAGAAAACCAAACACCGCATGTTCTCACTTATAAGTGGGAGCTGAACAATGAGAACACATGGACACAGGGAGGGGAACAACACACACCGGGGCCTGTCAAGTGCCGGGGGGAGGGAGGGAGTGAGAGCATCAGGATAAATAGCTAATGCATGCGGGGCTTAACTCCTAGGTGATGGGTTCATAGGTGTAGCAAACCACCATGGCAGACGTTTACCTATGTAACAAATATACACATCCTGCACATGTATCCTGGAACTTAAAATAAAATTTAAAAAAAATCTTGCCAGCTGATTCTTCATGTGTACATAGATTTGAGAAACACTATTCTAGACCACAAGGCCTTCCTCAACTTCCCTATTTAACAATCACAAACCAGCCCCAGGCCTTGGGACTCCCAACTCTCTTTCCTGTTCCATTTTTCTCCAAAAGTCATATTCCCATCAATCATGATACCATATATTTCACCCATATATTTATGACTTCCCACACTGATAAATAAGCTCCAGAGGGCAGTGATTTGAGTGACTTTTGTTCACTGCTGCAGCATCAGTTGCTGTGCACAGTGCCTAGCACCAAGAAGTGCTCAATAAATATTTTTGGTAGAATGATGGATGGCAGAACATGCCACATCCTATGCAGTATCAGTTCTTGGGGAAGCCTGGAAAGAAAGAGAAGTTTGCTGGCTGTGAAGCACCACATGGGGAAGGTGGTACCCAGGTTGGCCTTGATGAAGGCCTTCATCCCTTCAGTCCAGGGACGAAGGATGCTGGAACGGAGATGCTAAGCCTCTTCCTGGAATGGGCCCCAGATGGTTGATATTGTTGTTATCTAATTAGTAGCTGGTATGTGCCAATAACTGTCCTAACCTGTATCACCTCACTTAACCGTCCTGAAACTCAGAGGTAGGCAATGTTGTCTTTGAGAGAACACCAAGACTCAGAGATATTAAATGATTTTCCCCGCCCACAAAAAGACTTGTATAAGAATGTTCACAGTAGCTTTACTTATAATAGCTCCAACTTGGAAACAAACCCAAATGTCCACCTGCAGGTGAATGGATAAACCAATTGTATTATATTTATACAATATAATATTACTCAGCAATTAAATGGAACAAACTATGGATATATACAACATCGTGGATGAATGTTGAAGACATTACATTGAGCAAAAAGAAGACAGACACACAAATGTTTATGCTGCATATCAAGTTCTAGAACTTAAGCATGGTTAATATACCTAAATTGAACTTAAAGAAAGCATTGGTAACAGAAATCAGGTAAGTAGTTGCCTCTGGAGGTGGGGATAAGGCGTGCTGTCTATAAAGGGATGTGAGGGAACTTCCTGGGATGACGGAAATGTTCTCTATCTGGACTGGGATGCTGGTTACATGAGTGTTAATATTTATCAAAACTCATGGAACTGTACACTTAAAATCTTCATGTTATTGTATGTAAATCACATCTCAGTAAAAAATGAGCTAAAAATCATTTGCCCTAGGTCACTAAGCAACAAATGGACATTTGAACCCAGGCTTGCCCAGTTCTGATGGCTAGTTTACACTAGTCTGCCATAGTTGAGCAGGGATCCCCCAGCTGTCCCCCAGCCTGGTAAGATGCCTTGCCAAAATCTGAACCAGGAGTTCATAGTTACCCTAAGAAAGATGTTACAGGCTCTAAACCCCTGAACCATGACAGAGACTTGCAAAAAAGCCAAACAAGTGTCCTGCTGGGAGTCAAACCTGGGCTCAGGCCTCATCTTTGTTCCTTACTTGCTGTGTAATCTGTGAGTTACACTCCTCTGTGACTCAGTTTCCCCTTCTGTAATGCAAAGAAGGAGGAGACCAATGGTTCCCAGCATGGAGCCACAGATCCTGGGAGCCATGGGGCCACAAATCCCTATGCTCAAAAAGCACCTTTATTACATTAAATAGTAATGAGTCTTCTTCATACCTGTTAAGCTATTTTTCTAATGCATGCTAATATTGTGTTTAATAAAATACACATCTATTTCAAAGCAAAAATAAAACCATAACAGCTTTTCATTAGTGTGCATTTTCTCAAACAAAAGATACCAAAAGAACAACCAATGTTCGTGACTTTGGTTTAAAGAGGCTGGGAATCTCTGTGTAGAGGATCGCTAAGGGGACAGTCGCCAAGGGGATGGTCGCCAAGGGGACGGTCGCCAAGAGCCCTTCCAGGTCAACTGCCCCATAGGTGTCGGGCATCACTTGGGCAAATGCTTGCCCTTATGTATATAAAGCCTGGCTCCCTGTGCAACGAGCCTCTTGTCTGCGGACAGAGCCCCCCATGTGTGGGTGTGTCCACCCCACAATGTCTGGATTCAGCCAGGCCTACAGGCCCCAAGTGTGGTCACTACTGCACCCTGAGCCTGTTTCCCCTCCAGCTTTGATAGTGACTAGTGTAAAGGTGGAGCTTGGGCATTTCCCTCCCCAACCCCTCCCCATCCACTTCTTGAGCCAGAAAAGGGGAGTTCCTGATCACAGCCTGGCCCTACCCCCCAACCACCACCACTAAGGCCATGCCCACTTGGGAATCCCTTACCAAAAGACCTCTAGCCCCTAAATGAATACAGTGACCTCTCCCCTCCCGCCTCACCCTGCTCTAGCCTGAAGGACTGAGTAGCAGATTTCACATCCAAGTGCAAAGTCAGACCTTCCTTTCACCTATCAAGTGGCTCAGCTGCATCCCCACCCCCATCCCTGCCCCGCCCCACTCTGGACACATCCTCAGCTATGGGCCAGGGGTCCTACATCCCACACAGAAAGAAACCAGAATCGCCGGCTTCTCATTCCCTCCCTGACGGGCCCTTCCCGGCGAGATTCGCACAGGTTCTGGTGCTGAGTCAGAGGTTTACAGAGCATCAGAATAAAGCAGGGGCCTCGGCTGAGTCCTGCCTCCAAAGGCCCCTATTTGGGACAGCCCCACCCTGGCGAGATTTATAGAAACACCACCCTCAAACGGAGCGCTCCAGGCTAAACCCCCACCCACTCAGACTTTGAGGCACAAATGCCCAGCCCACCCACACCCGCAAACCAGAGGCTGGTACCTACCTCGCCAACTTCACATTTTGAAAAATAACAAAGCCAAGGGCAGAAGACAGACCAGCTGCCCCCACACCCAACCTTCTCCTCCCTGAAAACTCCACTTGCTACTTTTAATCTATTTTCCTCCATCAGACTGGAGGCAGCTCCCGGCCTTCTCCTGAGGCTACCATCCCCCCTCATCGGCTTCTAACTTTGCAGGTCACTGGACAAAAGAGAACCACCGCCACTCTTCGCGAGACCTCACTTGTCGCCCACCACCGCCCCACATCGCGCAGGCCCTAGTGGCCTGGATGCTTGCTGCCCCTGGCGAACTGCAGGGAGGCTTTGCCAGAAGCCGCTCCCCTGGGGCCTGAGGGCGCACTCAGGGAGGCCCAGCCCGGGAGGCCCCGGGATCCGCGCCGGGACGCCTCTCTCCTGCCTCATCCCCACTACCAGGGGCCTGACGAAAAGCCTGCGAGGTTGGGGAGAGACCCTGGGGGGCGCCGATCCAGCCACTGGACGCGCACTCACCCCGCATCGCCACGGAGCCCACGCGTCTGCGCCAGGGCTGCGGGAAACCCACGCGCGCTGTTCAATCCGGGCTCCGAGTGACGAAAACCCGCGCTTGGCTCCAGCCGGCCCGGGACCGACGCACCGACTGGCGGACGCGCGGACAGTCTGGCTTCCTAACTAAGTTTGAAAGTTCCCTCTCCGGCGACCGAAGGGGACGCGGACTGCTTAGAGGCACCCAACCCATCCAGGCTGGGCCAGACCCGGCAGTGGGACCTGACGCCTCGGGTTCGGGGTTCCAGGCACGCAAGCCTCCATCACTGGGAATGCGCCCGGCGCAGCGCAGCTGGGACCTGGCTGGGGTGGGGGGATAGATCCTGGAAACATGGAGGAGGGAGGGTGTCCGGCACTACAGCCCCAGCCTGGAGGGACGCCGGCTCACCGCTCCCGGGAGGACACAGGCCTCGATTGGCCGCAGCCTACTCGGAATCCGAGGCCCCGCCAGGCAGTGACGGCCAATTAGTAAACTGCCCAATTAGTGTGCTGCGGCGCTGAGAAGTTAAACCTCGACGCGCGAGTGTGGATGACCGAGGTGTGGCCGTCCCTGGGTGTGACCGCGTGTGACTGTGTGGCCGTCAGGACGATCTGTGTCTGAGGCTCACCGTCCAGGGGGGTGGCTGTGTGTGACAGCGTGCGCCTGGGTGAGGCGTTGTGGCTGCGAGAGTGTGACTGTCGGGCGACTTCTTTGTGTGACTGTCCCCCGTTGTGCCTGGGTGTGACAGCGGGTGGGGGCATGTCACGGTGTGTGGGGCATCGGAGCGTCTGTGGGTGACTCGTCTGTGGCGGTGAGGCTGTTTGCGGGTGAGTGGTTGCGTGTCGTTGTGTATAAGTGACTGTCAGGGTGACTTGCGTGGGACGGCGGGACCGTGTAAGCAGTGCCTGGCCGCCTGCGTGTGGCTGTGGGTCACTGTGACGGCTTGTGAATGACTGCGAGGCTGTCAGGGGGACGCGAGTGAGGGGCCACTGTGTCGTCGCACGGGTGGCTGTCGGGATGACTTCTGCCCGCGATCCCAACAACTCAGGGCGTGAGCGTGGCCGCGAGGGGATCGATGTGAGCCGCCCGTGCCCGTCGGCGGGGCTGATGTGCGCGGCCCCGTGTGACCCCGGGAGCGCCTGAGTCCCGAGCTGCCAGGTGACTCCGGCCCCGCCCGCCGGGGACCCCCGCCCGCCCCCGCCTACCTTGCCGCCGTGGTAATAGTCCAGGTGCGCCAGGCCGGCCGGCTCGGCCCCGGGCCGCGCGCCCACCGCGGGCGCCGAGGGGTACAGGCGGACGTCCATGGCGGGCGCGGCGGCGGCGGCGGCGGCTCCCGCGGGCAGTGCCTGGGCGGGCGGCGGGTGGGAGCCAGTGTGCGAGCGGGACTGCGAGCGCGGGGGGCGGGCCGGGGGCGGTGCCCAGAGGAGCGCCCCGCCCCCGCCCCCGCCCCGCCCGCGCGCGCTATTGTTCCGGCCTCGGGCGCTGCCTAGGGCCGGGGGCCCGGGGGCCCGGGCCGGGGCGTGGAGGTCCTTCCTCCGGGCTGGGCCGCCGCCGGGTCCCCCGCCCGGCCCTGCATCCCTGAGGGGGGCGCGCCTGTCCAGACGGCGCTTTTCCGTCCCGCCTTTCGCCACCCACGGTGAGGAGAGAAGCCCGAACGGCACCCCTCCCCAGAAGTGGGACACTCCCTTGCCCTAAATATTTGAGGCGGCGCTAGTCCCCGCCCCGCGGCGTGGGTGCGGGGGGAAGAGGAAGGTGGTGACAGGACCACTTTGGAGATGGGTGCTGCCTTACCTGGGGGGACGCAGGCCAGCGCCGGAGGATGCTCTTAGCATGCCCGCCCCCTCCTCGTCTCACTGATCTGAGTCAGCTTGACAGCCCCCCCTGGAGATTGCCGCGCTTAAACTCTCACTCACATATGGGGAAACTGAGTCAAAAACTTGCAGCATCAGTAATGGAGCTCCAGGCGGGTGGGCTCCGTTGCCCCCAAAGGATCCAGAGCTGAAACCACTTGGAGAAGGCAGCAGGACCCCACCCCTTTTAATGATAGGGAGGGGAGGGCCGCAGGAATGCCTAGAGCCCGAAGCTCTGAAGAGGGGTCTAGGATCTGCCCACAGTCACGGTCTCTTGGAGTGAGGAAAGGAAGAAAATGAGATTGGAATGGGATGGCTCTGATGGTGGGTCAGAAAGGTGACTGTGAAATGGGGTTCCTCCCCAACCAAAAAAAAAAAAAAAACCCTCTAGTTCTTGATATCACTTGCTGGTTGCTAGACTGTTGCACCCCCATCCCCCTTTTCATGCAAGAATTGTCTACACTAGCAATCTCCCCTAGCAATCTCACTGCTCACTGACTGCTCCAGGTATGTCTGACTGGGAGAGGCCAGGAGGCGAAGTCAGCCAGAATGGCATTCTTGTGTGGCACCAGGATATAGGATGCCATTGGGAGAAAAGGACTTGAGCTTCCTGCCCACTCAGGAGCTAGCTTAGAACTTAGTTCTCAACTGCTGCTTGGGCTTTGCTGGTCCTGGCCTAGAACTAGGACCATAAGAAAGATGCATTAACAAAAGATAGGTGTGGGAAACAGGCATTCACTGAAGGCTTGGGAACAACAGAGGGAAATTATAGCTCAGAAAGGAAAGAACTTCCAAATAAATTTCAGCAGTCATTGTTTCTAGAAATACAATGCCACACCTCATCAGAAAAAAATTTCCATTGTCCTGTGTCCATTTTTTTCATCTGGATATCCAACTGACCAGCACTCTTTATTGAAAAGATCACCACCACCACCACCACCCCCCTACACACACACACATACTCTTCTGCAATGCTAACATTGTCGTAAATCAAGTAGTCGATATGTGCATAAGACTGTTCCTGAATTCTCTATTCTGTTCTGTTAGCCTATTTTTCTCTCCCTGTGCCATTATCACAATGTCTGGATTACTGTGGGCTTATAAGTCTAAATGTCCCATGAAATAAGCCTACCCATTTTGTTCTTTTAAGACTGCATTGGCTATTCTTGATGTTTACACTTTCACAGAAATTTTGGAATCAGCATACCTATTTATATATATACACACAAACACACTAACACAATCTTGCTGGGATTTCAATTGGTATCACTTTGAACCTTTAGATCAATTGGAATAAAATTAACATTTTCAATAGTAAAACTTCTTATCCATGAACATGGTATGTCCCTTCATTTATTTTGGGTTTTTAAAAAAGTTATCTCAGCAATGTTTTGTAGTTTTCTACGTGGAGACCTTGCACATCTTTTATTAAATTTAGCCCCGGGTGTTTTTTGTTGCTATTATGAATGGCTTCTTTATTTTATTTTCTGTTTGTTGTCAGTACAGGGTTGTTGTTTTACAACATGTCCACAAATTCTTTGACACCTTTCCCAAGAAGTAGAGTCTAACACTCTTCCCCTCGGGAAGGGATTAGTCTTAGCGAATGGGTTTTAACAAAAAGAATGTGACAGAAGTGAATCTATGTGACTTCTGAGGCTAGCTAGATCATAAAATTAATAGGGCTTCTACCTGGCTCCCTCTCTCAGGACTTTTGTCTTTGGAACACTAAGCCATCATATGAGAACTCTCTCTTAGGCTGCCATGCATTGAAGAAGCCCAAACTAACCCACACAGAAAAATCATATGCAGAGACCCTGATACTAAGTAAAGAGGGATTCCTAGCCAGTCCCCAGCTCTGCCAGCTCCTGCTGTTCCTGTTCCATCTGCTATCTGACTGTACCCACATGAAAAAGGCTGAACTGTGCAGATGAGCCCTTCTTGAATCCAAAATGCACAGAAACCATGAGAGATAATAAATGATTATTGTTATTTTAAGCCACAAAGTTTTGGAGTGATTTGTTACTTAGCAATATAGGTCTGAAACATAGTATAAATAGATTTTTAAATAATGCCCTTGTATCCAGCAACATTGCCAAACTCATTTATTAATTCTAGTAATTCATCTGTAGATTCTTTGGCTTTAAAAAAAAATTTCTATCTCATCTGTAAAAATGAGAGTTTTAGTTTTTTCTTTTCAATTCTTATAAGTTTTGTTTCTTTTTCTTGCCTTGTTGCACTGGCTAATATCACCAGTATAATTTTGGAAAGAAGTAATAGTAGCAGACACTCTTGCCCCATTCCTGATTTCCTGATCTCAGAAGGAAAGATATCAATAGTTCACCATTAGTTATAATGCTTGCTGTAGTTTTATTTTTGTTTCATTTTGCTTTGGTGTTTTTGTTTGTTTGTTTGTTTTTTGAGACAGAGTCTCACTCTGTCACCAGGCTGGAGTGCAGTGGTGTGATCTTGGCTCACTGCAAACTCCGACTCCCTGGTTCAAGCGATTCTCCTGCCTCAGCCTCCTGAGTAGCTGGGATTACGGGTGTGTGCCACCATGCCCAGCTAATTTTTGTATTTTTAGTAGAGACAGGGTTTTACCATGTTGGCCAGGATGGTCTTGATCTCCTGACCTTGTGATCCAGTTTTTTTTTGCAGACACCTCTGTTGCAGGTTGAAGAAATCAGTCTTCACAGAAATACTCTGGGTCAGGAAATAAGACTGCTGTGGCCATTTTACAGATGAGAAGAGTGAGACCCAGTGAGGAATGCACATCCTGACAGTTAATAGTAGAGCCAGGACTACACCTAAGTCTGGAAATTCCACCTGGAGCACTTCCTACTGCCCATATTTCCACAGTGTTGGTCCCACTAACTCTGGCCAGAGGTGTAGAACAATGACCACCAGAGTTTGAAGATGCATGTGCAATGGGTCAGCTACAGGCAGCTATTTGACTTCTCTGGAGCCTGCCAGCAGCAGCAACAATCAACCCTGCCAATCACGTATATCCACTTTCTTCCCTGAGGAGGGAGCCAGCACCACGGAGGTATCTGAGAAGTCCAGCAGCAAAGTCCAACAAGGCCCCAAAGCTTGATCTTGCCACTTCATGTTGGCAGTTGATCAGACAGGAAGCTGATGACTCAGTTCCCCCAAAGAAACACCAGAGCCTCATCTGTTGTCTTGAAGATGGTAGTGGGGCTTCAGTTCTCCTCTCTTCCCTTTGATTGCAAGGAAAAATCTGTGAGAGAGGAAGCTCAGATCTCAGCCAGTAGCCCAGCTGGTCCAGTCTGGAGACCCAGAGTATCTGTTTGTTCATCTTCCACCTCTCAGTTTCTGACATCATAAATAGCTGAGATATCAGAATATAGATGGGTTTTAATATGTTTTATTAACCTTGAGGTATGGTAAGGACAACACACCAGGAGATGATTGCCATGGAAAAGACAGTTTGGTACTCCCAGGTGTCAGGAGGAGGGGACATACCATGCCATTGGGGGCCAGTGGGGAAGCACCAGGTCAGTCAGGAGGCAGAGGGAGAGGGGAGAACTGTGGGCAAGAGCCTTTACTGTGGCTTCCGCAGGAAGGAGCAGACAAGGCCGGGTCAGCAGGTTTAGGATTGGCTTGTTCGAATAATTTCAGCAGCTCTGGGGCATAGGGGCTGTCCCTAGTTGTCTGGTACTGGCTCTGGAGTAATTAGAGCAGGTAGATAGTGAGTTGGAGTGTGAGAGCCCAATAATACAGGTGGTTGGAGGCGTAGGCTCTGTATTGGTTTGCATTAGAAAATTATGCTAACAGGCTCACAGGTGAGTTGTTGACTATTTCTAGGTATTGGCTAACTCTAGAAGGGGCAGTCCCTCCAGGGTCTGCAAGACCCCAGATGTCAAAGTATCAGAATACAGAAAATAAGACATGGTTAGGCCGGGCGCGGTGGCTCACGCCTGTAATCCCAGCACTTTGGGAGGCCGAGGCGGGCGGATCACGAGGTCAGGAGATCGAGACCATCCTGGCTAACACGGTGAAACCCCGTCTCTACTAAAAATACAAAAAATTAGCCGGGCGTGGTGGTGGGCGCCTGTAGTCCCAGCTACTCGGGAGGCTGAGGCAGGAGAATGGCGTGAACCCAAGAGGCGGAGCTTGCAGTGAGCCGGGATAGCGCCACTGCAGTCCAGCTTGGGCGAAAGAGTGAGACTCCGTCTCAAAAAAAAAAAAAAAAAAAAAAAAAAAGACATGGTTAATACAAGATGTGTCCACTTACCCATGGGATCCAAGAGGGAAATGAGTCCTACTCCATCTATTGCTCCTTTACCTAGGAAATGTCTTGGCTTTAAATCAAAAGGACTAATCCCTAAAAAACAACTATGGCAGAGGAACTAAATACCCAACTGTGGGAGCACTTAGATCTAGTAATGAATCTTCTTCCTCTTTCTCCTTATAGGCACGTGGTAGACTTGTACTCCCCCACCCACTTGAATTTCGGTGTGACCATGTGACACTTTAGCTAATGGAACATGAACAGAATCGGTGTGTGTCACTTCCAGGTGGAAGTTTTAAGGGCCTGAGAAAATATTTAATCCTATTCTCCGAGCCATAAAAATCCTAACAAATGTCGACTCATTTTTTAAGACCTAATTCAAGTAACATTTATTTGGTTAAGACTTCTCCAAGACTCCAACTTAGTGCTCCAATTTGCTGCTCCAATAACCATCTGCACACAGGACTACTAGTGTGAATCTCAAAGAACTGCAACATCACATTTGCCCAGTGAGTTTCTCCAAGGCGAGGACAATAGCTCGCTCATCTCAGTGCCACCAGTGACTAGCACAGGGGCTAACAAAGCCTGGATGCTTCCTGCCCACCTCTGGGGAGAAGACCTTCCTACATACATACACACACACACACACACACACACCTTCCTACACACACACACACACACACACACACACGTGAAGAATTTAATTGTTCAGATTCCAGCTCACAGATGGGCCATGTTTGCCAGTGAGGGAAGTCACAATTCAGCCCTCCAGTGAGGCCCTGTCTACCATCTATCTCTGTCCCCTCCTTCCCAGTAGCCAGCATGCCTGTGGTGGGATATGTTAAGCTGGATTGAGGTGCAGAAAATGGAAGTCCACAGGGAAAACCTCACTTCAAAAGCTCAACTTATCTTAGTTGAGGTCAAAAGCAGATCCTGAGACACAGATTCTGGTGCAAGTAGTTTACGGGAGCGCAGTTCCGGGACACACAGATAGTGGTGTGGGAAAGTGAGACAAGAAAGGAAGACAGTCAAGAAAGGGCATATTATCTAACAAATTCCTACTGTGGGCAACTGGAGCCTAACTCCACTGGGGAATTCTGGAAACAGCGTAGAGCGCATACTTGGAGTTATCCCCTTAAAGAACAAGGAATTGGGGTTTTACCCACCCACTCTCTTAACACTCTTGGTTAAAGCCTCCTGTCTGGGGCATTCATTCCTGGCAGTTCAGCCTGAGAGGCACCACAGGGCTGTGGCAACCAGAGAAAGCCCATAAGCAAAGAGAGGCAGGCAGGTACAAGCTATACACATCTCCTCCAGGAACTTTGTTGGTGGGTAGCTGTTGTCTGAGGCAGCAGTGGGCATTCCTAGAGCCCTTGCCATGGTGCCCTCTGGCCAACAGCATGCCAACCTGTCCATTATTTCTGACAATGAGCCAAAGAAGCCCACAATTTGTACTCAAAGTGTCTGCTGGACAAAAGATCTAATGGACCAACACGTGTGTGACAGACTTTGGCACAAAGTGACTTACTCTGGCCCTTGCATATAAGAATACCAGATGAGAGGTCAAAGACTCTGAATGCAAGTCCTGGACTCTGCTCAACTCCCTTAGCCAACAATCCCATGAGGTAGGTAGTCCCTATCTTATACTTGAGGAAACTGAGGCACAGAGAGGCCAAGTAACTTACCTGCCATTAGAACAAGCTGTAGCCAGGATGTGCAACTAGCCAGTTTGGCTTCCAAATTCACACTCATAACTACTACACCTCACTGCATCTTTCTGATCTGTCATACAAATTTCAGGTTAAGGTAAAAAGAAAACCCTATTAGTATTTTACTTGAAATTACATTTAATTGTTCAATTAACTTGGGGAGAATTAAATTTTTTATTAAAAGTTGTTTTAATTCAGATAGATAGGAAACTATTAAAGTTTTCAAAGTTGATATTGTATTCAAGAAAAATTTTTAAACTCTCTTATTTGCTCTGTTTTTCTATAGATTCCCTTTGACTTTCTGTGTAGATGGTCATGTTGTCTGGAAGGGGGATTGATTCTGTTCTTCCTTTTCAATCTTCTTACCACTTCTTTCTTTGTCTTTTCTTATTGCATTGTCCAGCACCTCTAGAATCAATGTTAAATAGAAGTGGTGATACCAGGCATTCTTGTCATGTTCCTTACTTCAGTGAACCTACTTCTTATATTTCACCATTAAGCCATTAAGTAAGATACTTACTGTAGCTTTTGGTAATACATTTTATCAATTAATAAAGTTTCTTTTTATTCCTAGTCTGCTAAGATATTTTTTTCTGGCATGAATTAATTGTAGTTTACAATGTGGTTTTTTTTTGGCATCTATTGAAATAACCATCTGGGTTTTATCATCTAACCTATTAATTATATGTATTATATATAGAGATATTATTTATATTGAACCATCCTTGAATACCTTGGGTAATTGTTGGGACTTCTATTTGCTTCTAATTTTATTATTATTATTACAAACAGGGTCTCACTCTGTCACCCAGGCTGGAGTCCAGTGGTGTGATCATAGCTCACTGCAGCCTCGAACTCCTGGGCTCAAGTGATCCTTCTGCCTCAGCCTCCCATGTGACTGGTATTACAGCCATGAGCCACTACCTCCAGCCATATTTTATTTTCTAATACACTGCTAAACTCCATTTGAAGTTATTTCACTTAGGGTTTTTTTTTGCATCTATGTTAATAACCAAAATTGGTCTAAAATTCTGTGCTATTGTTGCCAAGCTTTATGTGTCAAGGTTATACTGGTTTAGCCTAATGAATGGGAAAGAAGAATTTTAATAACCGATTCAACTTCTTAAATTATAATTGGATGATCATATCATTTTTTCTTAGTAAATGTTGGTATGCTTTTCTACAACATTGTTCATTTCACTTAGCTTTTCAAATGTATTGGGTTAAACGTGTCTTTAGTATTATGATTTTTGAAATGCTCTTGTATCTGTTACATATGCTCTTTCTCTTATTTTCTTAATCAATCATACTTAAAGTTTGTCTGTCATTAAACTACATTTTTATTCTATATTTCTATTTTCTATATTCTCCAAATTTTTTATAGTAACTGGGAAGAAAAATTAACATTTTTGCAAACAAACAAAGATAATACACATAAAGCACCTAGTACTTAGAAAACATTTGGCAATATTGGTTAAATTAATATAAGAAAAATATTTTTTAGCACATGCCAGGGACTAGAGACTCAAACTATGATTGCGACATGATTTGTGCTCATAGCTGAATTGGGGAGACAGACAGGTAAGTGGTCAATGAAGTATAGTATGATAAACATAATAGAGTTAAGTACAAAGTGGATTGGGAACACAGAGGAGTACTTCCTGAGGGGGGTGATGCTGAGCTGGGCACTGTAGGATGGCTAAGAGTTAGGCAAGTGAAACAGATGGCTGTTTCTTATCCTTGCTTTTGGACTCATCTTCAAGTGGCTCAGCTCTGAGCAAGGGTGACCTGCCCGGACCCTGGCTCCTTCATTTTCACAAGAGAATGTCTACTAATGTTTCCCCCTTCTAAGGATGACAATACTCCACTTTGGTCCTACATGCCCCTCTGCTGCTGTATTTTCTATCATCTGCTATAGCACAGGGGTGGACGAAGGAGAATAAAGATAGAGTCAGCTGCTACTTCTCACCTTGAAGAAGACCTTTGGCAATGCCCCTTATGGTAACGACCATTCCCCAACCGCTGGTGGCTTCATAAGCAAGCCCACTTTAAGGGGCGCATGAAGACAAGAACATAAAAATAAAAGATGTACTACTCTCTGGTCACTCCCTTCCAAGTCTCTACTGGGCTTTGGACGATCGTTCTGTAGAAGCCTAAATATCCTTGCCCAAAAACGTTCAGAGAAGCAGGGCTTTTAATAGCCAAAATTAGACAGAGACAGTAGTCGAGTTAATGGCCATGAGAAAAATAAAGGCTTTTAAAGTCCTGGAGGGCTGACAACAACCATTCAGCTGTGGCCTCCCTCAAGACAATATGTTTACTGAGCACTTACTATGTACTAAGTGGTTGGCATGTATCATCTCACATAATCTACCCACTGTGAGGTTGTTGCTAATGTTACCATCCCCAGTTTACAGGTCAGGAAAGTGGAGCTCAAAGAGGTTAGATGGCTTGCCCTACAAAACACTAGGCCTGAGATTCAAACCCAGAGCATTTACATTTACACACCATCTCCTATCGGGACATGTGTCCAGTGCCTGAGACACATGAGACACAGGCCCTGGGTGACTAAAGAATGAATTGATTAAGTAAACAGAAGAATGAATGGCCATGAAGACTAGAAAGCAACACAAGAACGTTATTTTTGCTCTAATGGTTGGTAAGTGGGGGAATTGACCGGCAGGAACATGAGGAAACTTTCTGAAGTAACCCTAATATCCTATATCTCGATGAAGGCTTAGGTTACACAGGCAGTCACATTCCTCAAAACTCAGAAAATGTACATTTAAGGTTTGTACATTGCATTGTATGTAAATTTCACATTTTAAAAATTGTAAACAAGTATTAGACTCTAATTGATGGTACACATGCTGATGTAGTTTAGGGGAAGTGAAAGGATGTCTGCAACTGGAAATGCACTTCCAAAAGAAGGCAGCTTGATGAATGGATAGAGAAACAGATAGATGGATAGTAAGTATGTGATAAAAGCAGGAGAGGAAAGTAATGGTGGAATCCAGGTGGTGGATACACAGGTGTTTGCTGTCATAGCCTTTCCACATTGTTTATTAAACTGTCATCATAAAATGTGGAGGGAAAATACCTCGTGTGTTATGGTGGCAGTTGGGTAAACATTTGTGTCTGCGTCATGCTATTTACCATGATTTCCACTATAGAAGAATGTAGAGGTAGCCCTTCCTCCTTGTCTTCCTTCCTTCCCTCAGGGTCTCCCTCATCCCATCCAGCGAATAGCAACAAAGGGTCAACACTGGGTTGGCAGCAAATCCAAGTTCCACTATTCCCTGCTCACCTCTGCTCATGCCACATCGATTTCTTCCTCTGAGGGGCGACTCCCTTGACCTCAACTAAAGGCAATGTAGCGTTGGATGGAGATCACATTTACATGAGACCGCACCCTACCGTCCACCTTGGACAGCAGGAACCTGACATCTGTTTGCATGCCCCGGCCCAGCTCTCAGCCTGGCATGCAGCGAATCATCCAGTAGTATTTGGTAAACACAGAGACAGAGACAAGGAAAAGTGTCCTGTGTCCAGTGACTGGAATTCCAGGTGATTTTTTCCCCAAACTTTATTTAATGTTGTCCGATTGCCTTTGAGATAAGAAAAACCCTCAGCTCACCCAGGGCCTCCCACGATGCCCTCAGCAAGGCTTTTCACCCAACTTTTTCATCAGGAGGGGAGGAGCCAGCATGCTGAATTGCAGTGTTCTGTTTGCTGCTTGACCGCGTGTGTATTGTTGGCTTACTTATTTTTTTCTTTTGTTTGCAATATGGTTCCTTTAAAATATCTAGAGAAGGAAACCACTCTACAAAAAGAAATTTGAATTTTTGCATGCCCGGTTACCATCTGAAATGTCACTTGCACGTTAAGTCTGTGTCCCTGAGTTGCTGTGGCAACCTCAGCAGCACTCTTTGCCCGGGGTGATAAAGGGGCCCTTTGTTAGCCGGGAGACCAGGTCTGGGTGCAGGGACATCCTATTCAGCCCGTCCTAACAAAGGAGCACACGTCCCTCTCTCTGAGCAGGCCAGCCGCCGGGCCTGATTGTGCCTGTACTGTCGACAACCTTCCATGGGGAGACTGGAAAAGAAACCCCCTATTACTGGCATCTTTGAACTAAAGTTGTTGGTTTTATTTCTTTTTCTCTCTGTGCTGCTTGCTGTACAAAAACCCCTGCAAAGGGCCCCACTCGTGCTTTTGCAAAGAAAAACACCAATTGTGAGGCCTCCCTAGGAGAGGGATGAGGCTCCCAATCTTAACTGAATCTCCTAAACTTGGTTATTAAAATGGCAACTCTAGCAGCACTGGGTAAGCAGATGGTTCTTCAAATTTTAGCAAGCAGCCTGGGCCTGGCCCACAAAGTGGTCCTGGCTGTCTCTGGCTCTGTGGTGGCCTCTGTACCCAAGAGCAAGGGGCTTATACCAAGGGCAGGCCCCCCATGGACTGACATCAGACCTGGGGGCTCAAACTTCATTCAGCCACGGATTCTTCTCCCTCAAAGTTGCAATGTAAAGCAGGGCAGTGCCTTGCTCAAGCTCTCTGAGCCGCTCACATAAGAGAGGCGCCTGGGAGTCCAGGATCTTAACTTCCAGGCCTAGGCTCTTGAAGGTCACAGGTGGATGGGGAACAGCCCCCAGGCCTTGGCTGCAGCCTGTGGCCCTCCTTCCACTCCCAGAATCATGGGCTTCCACCCACAGCCCCTGCCAGGTTAGGCCCGGATTTTCCTTTCCTCTCACATTGCCCCAGTCAGAATCATTATTTACACTTCTCTTTCTGGTACCATGATGTATGTGAGAGCTGAAGCTGGGAGCTCCCACATAGCCAGAAATGGTTGTTCACGGTGCCCCAGGGCCAACACAGTGCCTGGCACACAGCGTGTGCTCAAAAAGTATTTGTTGACCCAGTGAATCATGAATGAGTGAATCTATCAGAATGGATTCATTTCATCCTATCAAGCACTCTTTTAGATTAAAACCATTTTCCTCATTTAGTTCCATTTCCTGCTGTCCTCTGCTGCCAGGTCCAGAACTGGAGCAGGCTACCAAGTTTACAGATGTGATCCCTGCTGGAGAGAGGCTGTGTTCAGACAGATGTGTGGACAGAAATGGCAGTGGAGGGCAAGGAGTGCCAATGGGGGTTACCCAGGGGCCACAGGGGCTGGGAGTGGAGGCTGCAGGAGGCAAGAAGGGATGCAGAAAGACTTCCAGGATGGGGACACTCCCAAACGAGGTCTCAGAGATGACCAGGAGCCGGCTGAGCAAAGCAGAATTCTTTAGTCAGAAGACACAGTAAGAGCAAAGACAGGGTGGTTTGAAGTAGCCTGCTATACACAGGGCTCCCCATGAAGCTGTCTATTGGTGGAGAATCCAGGGCATGGCAGAAAGGGCCTGGATACAGCTGGAGGGGCAAGCCAGAGGGAGGACCCCAAGAGCCAGATTTAGGAGCTCAAAGCCAAGTCGACCATGTACAGTTGTATAGGTTGTGTACTGTGTAAAGGAAGTGAATGAAGTTGAAATCCAGCCTATGGTCTGCTGGCCAAACCCTGTGGACACAGTTAAACCCTTCACTTAAAGAGGCAGCAAGGTCAGCTTGCAAAGGGGTCAGTAGCTTATGTTTCCATTTCCAGGGGTGGACAGTGGTGTCCTCAGCTCCACGCAATATGTGTGTGGTATGGGGGAAGGAGGCACTACATCTGAAGGGAGGCCATGCAAAAGAATCAGGACAAATGAGAAGGCCCTGGAGAACTATTAGCAGCTTCTGGGGCTGCCAGGGATGGCTGGACATGCACCCTGCCATCTGTACAGGGCTTGAAGACACAGTGAAAATGCTCAGCTCTCAGGTCGATCCTAGATTAAGAGTGAAGGGAAGGCAGAAGGGGGACAGATAATGATAAAAGGAGGGAGTTCTGGTTTTGGAGGTCTCTAAGGGATGCAGTTGGAGGAAAGCTGAGAGGGCTGAGGGTGGAATGGTGAGGACTTCCAGTTGGATTTTTACATTAATGACGGGGAGTGACAGTCCTAAGGGGAAGACAGTCTCTAGGGCAGTGGTCTCCAACCTTTTAGGCACCAGGGACCGGTTTTGTGGAAGACAATTTTCCCACGGACCGGTGGTACGGGAGAAGGATGGTTTAGGAATGGAACTGTTCCACCTCTGATCATCAGGCATTAGATTCTTATAAGGAGAGTGCAACCCAGATCCCTCACATGAGCAGTTCACAATAGGGTTCGTGCTCCTATGAGAATCTGATACTGCCGCTGATCTGATAGGAGGTGGAGCTCGGGTGGTAATTCTCACTTGCCTGCCATTCACCTCCTGCTGTGCGGCCCAGTTCCTAACAGGCTACAGACCGGTGGAGGTCCATGGGCCTAGGGGTTGGAAACCACTGCTCTAGGGTGTATTGTCCACAGTGAGTAGGGGCTGGTGTTTGAAGAAGGGAAAGTCCAGGATCAGGGGTCTAAGGGTGGGCTGGATCCCCAGGTAGGAGAATGAGGGCCTCAGGCCTCAGGCCAGCAGCTAGACTTGGGAGGAGGCCTGGACATGACTTCCTCCAGGAAGGGTAGGGGTGTGATCTGCACTGTGTTGGGGATGCTTAGCCTTGCTCCTTGCACATTGCAGATGAGTTATAAATATTTGTTCAATCAATGACTAAGTTGATAACATCAGTGATCCAGTTCCCTGGATCTGTGTGAATGTGATCGGTGAATGTCTGAGAGGTTTGAAAGGGCAGCTTGTGCCAGGGGAGGTGAGTGTGTGGATAGTGTGTATCTTCTGGGTAACATTAGCTACTGCAACAAGTAAGCTCCGAATTTCACTGGCTTAATCTCAGAAGTCTGTTTCCTGCTCACTGATGACTCCAGTTCACTGAAAAGTCCAGTTCCTTGTTTGCTGACAGCTTTCCTCCATGTGGTGATTCAGGGATCCAGGCTTCCTCTATCACTGGCTCCACCATCCCCCTGCTTCACATAAACCCCAGCCCAGAGGAGACACATCACTTCTGCTCACCTTCCCTTGATGAGAACTTCTCATATAGCTAACCCCAGATGCAAGGCAGGCGAGGAAATGTAGTGCTAGACTGGAAAGATGCCTCCTCAAAACAATTTTACACCATGGAAAGGCCAGCAGAGATTTTGGGTGCACTGACATAAGAAGTGACAGAAACAAGAGGAAAGTGGGGCCTCGAGGCACACATTTGTGCCAGTGGCCAAGGACATGAGCAGCCACCCTGAATTCAGTTCTTGGCCTTGCCTGAGATTCTAACTGGAACATGGAGACGATGTGTATATAGGGAGGGAGGAGAAAAGCATGAGTGGCTCTCTCACCCACTGATTGCTATATTTGATCCTCACTTAGTCTTGGGAGATGGAGCTCCTTTAGCTCATTATCCCTCTTTTACAGAGGAGCAAACAGGTTGAGAGAGAGTGAGCGAGCCTTGGGCAGGGTCACTCCTGTGAAGCCGGGACTAGAACCCAGGGCATCTGTTTCCCAGTCCTGTACTGGTTCACCAAATACCCTAAGTCTAAACTGATTCTCCAGAACACATTTCTGTGTTATTCTGGAAAAACAATGTATAGTCTGCAACATCACAATTTTGTTCCCAAGCATCGAGAGAGTGGCACATGGCCATCAGGCAGGACGATTTCTTTCAACTGACAGCTTGGAGGAGGAAGCTTTTATTCCCGGGGCCCCCAGGGGAGGGGTTTGGCCAGGCCTCTGCTGTGTCAGGAATTCTTCCATTGTAGCTTACCAACTTTGTTACAAAGTATAAGATCTTTTAACATATTTTTAAACACTATCAATTCTGCTCTCTGTTCCTTGCATTTCTTCTTTGTCCTGAAGCTCAACCCGGGCAAAAACATTTTTCCCATCAAAAATTCAATGGGGCTCTTACAAAGTGACAGCAGATTAAATAGCTGCATTTATGATCCCCTCCTAGATACACCTCCCCGTTTTTTTGGGTTTTTTTTTTTTTTTTTTTTTTTTTTTTTTTGGCCCAGCACCAAAAATCAAATGCCAAAAAGGCAACGGATCTCAGCTGTTTTGAAACAAGCTGTGTCGGTCCAAAGGTTATTTCATTTTGGACACTGTGTGACCCTGTGTTTGGGCCTCATTTTAAATTAATAAACGCATGAGGATAGTCAGTACTCTAACCCCAGAGACCAGCGTGCTGCCTGGCCCATGGCAGCCTCAGTAAATTTAGGAGGAAACCCACACCCTGGAGTTCTCTGACCTTGGTGAAAGGCAGTTGAGTAGACTTGGCAGAGAAACCTTGTCATTTATGGTTTTCCATTTTAAATCTAAGCATTTTCACATTGTCTTAAAATTTATAAATGAATGGGTGTGGTGAGTATTCCAACTGTTCCCAGTGCCTAGCACAGTGTGACTCAGAGTAAATAAAAAAAAATTTTGAATAAATGAACCAAATAGGTAATTAACATCTCAAAGTGGGCTTTCATGCATTGCGTTGTTTCCTGCAAACAAGTTCCGGAGGATACTTTCCATGTACTAAAGGGAACTCGTTGCAAATTGGATGACTGGGAGAGGCGAAGTGGCAGCTCTGGGGCCTGGAGGGACACCCCCCACCTCAGCTGTCCCACCTCTCCTGCCCTTGACTGCCGCCCCCATTCTAGCTGCTTGGGCTCCCATCTCTGCTTTTCCCCCTCCTCACCGCCCCTCCCTGCTGCTGCGCACAGCCTTCCATCTCCTCCCACCTATCCTTTGACCCAGAACCCACTCCATCCCTCCACCCAGCAGTCCTAGCCCCTGCCTTTAGCTTGGATGTCAGCCTGGTCTTGCTTTCTGAGAGAAGAGGTCTCCTGTGACTCCTCCTGTCCCCTATCATCACACCTGGTGCAGAGGAGGGGCAGGAGGGTCCAGGTGGGCCACCAGGATGGAGGAGTGGTGTACGTGGGGCTTTCAGCTCTAGGTACTTAGGAACCTGGCCCAGCCTGCCCACCTGGAAGTAGCCTGACCTGGTGCGGGTGCAGGGAGCCGATATCTGCAGGAAGGAGTTGATGGACAGAGTTTAAGGCTCTTCCTCTCCTTACCAAAGTATTTATTTAGCTCCCAACTTTACTCCCACCCTAGAGTTAACATTAATGATATTAACCATTTCTCTCATATGTTTAAAAGTTTTTTTATTTCACAGTAGTATTTATCTTTTAGTTTTATGATTTATTTTGCTCTATAGAAATTTTTTATTTTATGCAATTAAATCGTTCAATCTTTTCTTTATTTTTCTAAAGATTACTAAACTATTCAGTTGTGTTCTCTTTTATACTGTATGGATTTTTTTTTTTCTTTTTATCTTCCATTTTTCTGAAGTCTCTTTTGGAATAAGACTCAGGGACAGTTTCTAGCTTTTTTTTTTTTTAATCTAAATGACTAGCTAATTTAAATAAAATTTAATAAGTAATTCATTATTTCCTCCCCAAATGTGAAGTGTCAATTTCATTATCCGCTGAACAGCCGTGATGCTGGAGCCCAAGTCTGCACTCGGCGGCACCCTTATTCATCACTCCATGCGCCTGTGGTTTGGTTTCCATTAATTTACCTTTATTAGATGTTTTGGTAAACAAGTAGGGCAAGTTCCACTTCTTATGTTTACTTTTCAGGAAATTCAATTCTATTCTTGTATACCAATTGTCCCAGATTTATAATAACTTCGTTAAGTTCCTATCAGTTTGAGTAGGGTGTTTTTACTGGAATTACATTGAGTTAAACACTCATCTAAGAAGAACAGACATCCTTACTATACTAAAACTTCCTATCAAAGATGTGTCTTCTTTTATTGAAGTCCTATTTCATATCCTTCAGTGGAGATTCATTGCTTTTTTTCTGCTAGTAGACCTGTTACTGATCTTATTTCTAGGAATCTTCCTCCAGGCACGCTTTTATTTGCCTTCCAGAATACCACACGTTCCTGTTTTCCTCCTACCTCCCAGGTCACTTCTTTTTGGTGTCTTTTACTGGTTCTTTCTCTTCTCTCAGATCTCTTGTTTTGTTTGGTTTTGTTTTGAGATGGAGTCTCACTCTGCCATCCAGACTGGAATGCAGTGGTACAATCTTGGCTCACTGCAACCTCCGCGCCCCCAACCCCCAGGTTCAAGTGATTCTCCTGCCTCAGCCTGGGATTACAGGCATGCGCCACCATGCCCGGCTAATTTATGTTGTATTCTTAGTAGAGACAGGGGTTTCCTCATGTTGGCCAGGCTGGTCTCGAACTCCTGACTTCAGGTGATCCACCCGCCTCCGCCTCCCAAAGTGTTGGGATTACAGGTGTGAGCCACAGTACCCGGCCTCTTCTCCCAGACCTCTTAACATTGGGCTCTGGAGCTCAGACTTGTAATTCTCAAAGATTCTACTGAATAAACCAGCAATTCAGAGATAAATATCTTTTTTTTTTTTTTTTTTTTTGAGATGGAGTCTCGCTCTGTCGTCAGCTGGAGTGCAGTGGTGTGATCTTGGCTCATTGCAACCTCCGATTTCCTGGTTCAAGCATTTCTCCTGCCTCAGCCTCCCGAGTAGCTGGGATTACAGGCAAGCACCATCACGCCCAGCTAATTTTTGTATTTTTAGTAGAGACGGGGTTTCACCATGTTGGCCAGGATGGTCTCGATCTCCTGACCTCGTGATCCGCCCACCTTGGTCTCCCAAAGTGCTCCAATTACAAGCGTGAGCCACCGCACCCATCCCAGAGATAAATATCTTTGTGCAAACGATTCTTCCACTTTTCTCTTTAGGATTCCTCTCAAGTGGAAACAATGAGCAAAAAAGCCACAGAGAATTCAGTTCCTTTTCAGGTCCACACTGACTAGAGTTGCCTGGATTCCTGCAGAGTTGGCATGGCATAGCTCAGAGAGATTTGGGAGACTGGGATAAAAAAGCCTCTTGTCTAGGCCGGGTACGGTGGTTCAAGCCTGTAATCCCAGCACTTTGGGAGGCCAACGTGAGCAGATCACTTAAGGTCAGGAGTTCAAGACCAGCCTGGCCAACATGGTGAAACCCCATCTCTACTAAAAATACAAAAATTAGCCAGGCATGGTGGCGCACACCTGTATCCCAGCTACTCCGGAGGCTGAGGTGGAAGAATTGCTTGAACCCAGGAGGTGGAGGTTGCAGTGAGCTGAGATTGCACCACTGCACTCCAGCCTGGGCGACAGAGTAAGACACTGTCTCAAAAAATTAATTAAAATAAAATAAAAAGGCCGTACGCGGTGGCTCACGCCTGTAATCCCAGCACTTTAGGAGGCCGAGGCGGGTGGATCACGAGGTCAAGAGATCGAGACCATCCTGGCCAACATGGTGAAACCCCGTCTCTACTAAAAATACAAAAATTAGCTGGGCATGATGGCGCATGCCTGTAGTCCCAGCTACTCGAGAGGCTGAGGCAGGAGAATCGCTTGAACCCGGGAGGCAGAGGTTGCAGTGAGCCGAGATCACGCCACTGTACTCCAGCCTGGCGACAGAGCAAGACTTCGTCTCTAAAAAGAAAAAAAAAAAGCATCAGAGACATTGCCTTAATATGATGGCAATTATTCAGGAGAGAGGTGAAAGTGCCTTAGGATAGAGAGGTTGCCATGAGTATGATGAGAACTGTTTGGATTCCGCATGTTTTGCAAGGGTAGAGTCAGTGGAATTTGCTTAAGAATAGGATGTAGGGTGTGAGAGAAAGGGAACATTTAAGGATATATTCAAAATGCCCAATAAATCATAAGAATTTAATTGTCATTAAGTAAGTTGCCATTGAGGTTGAGACTGGAGCAGGTTTGGGGGGAATCAGAATTTCAGTTGGGACCAGCAACACTGGAGATGTTTATTCCCATCCAAGTGGAGAGATCAGGCAGGTAGCTGGATATATGGGTCTAGGGGCCTGGGGAGTAGCCCAGAGCAGCAATACAAATTTAGGATTAAATAAGATAATAAGTAAAGCTTGTTTAGCCCTTTGGAAATCTTAGAAAGGAGACAGACAGGTCTATGCTGGGTACTTGCCTGGGCTCACTCCCTGCTAACAAACTTGCTCTAACATTATCAGTGTACACAATTTAAATCAATGCCTCTGCAAAATCACACTTTTTTTTTTTTTTTTACCATGTCAAAGTCCTTCCAGGCCTCTCACAGATGAGTTTGAATAAAAGTATGCATTAGGAGGCCAGGCATGGTGGCTCACATCTGTAATCCCAGCAGTTTGGGAGGCCGAGGCAGGAGGATGAGTTGAGGACAGTTTGAGGCCAGCCTGGGCAACATAGCAAAACCCACTGTATTAGTTCATTTTCACACTGCTGATGAAGACATACCCGAAACTGGGAAGAAAAAGAGGTTTAATTGGACTTACGGTTCCGCATGGCTGGGGAGACCTCAGAATCATGGAGGGAGACTAAAGGCACTTCTCATGTAGTGGCAGCAAGAGAAAGTCGAGGAAGAAGTAGAAGTGGAAACCCCTGATAAACCCATCAGATCTCATGAGACTTACTCACTATCATGAGAATAGCAGGGGTAAGACCAGCCCCCATGATTCAATTACCTCCTCCTGGGTCCCTCCCACAACACATACGAATTCTGGGAGATACAATTCAAGTTGAGATTTGGGCAGGGACACGGCCAAACCGTATCACCCAGTCTCTACAAAAAAATGTTTAAAAAATTAGTTTGGCATGGTGGCACATGCCTGTAGACCTAGCTATTTGGGAGGCTGATACAGGAGGATCACTTGAGCCCTGGAGGTCAAAGCTGCAGTGAGCTGCGATTGCACCATTGCACTCTAGCCTGGGCAACAGAGTGAGGCCCTGTCTCTAAAAAAATAATAATGAATAATAAAAAAATTTAAAAATAAAAGATAAAAGTGTGCATTAGGAAGACCTGAAGAACTTTCTCCAAATACTCCATTCCTGAGTCATGCCCTTACAAATTCCAGCTCAATAGACTCCGTTCTTTATTTTGTAAAAGCTTTCCCCGGGGATTTTCATGAACACCCCTGGGATCACTTATTGGTCAGAACCTTGAATGCTAAACTCGTAATGCCAAGAATATGATAAAAGAAATAAAAAAAACATGGAAACAGTCTAAATACCCAAATACTAAGGGTGGGTGTTCTTGTCTTCATTTTATTGATGAGGAATCTGCAGCTCAGAGGTGAATCCACTTTCCTAAAATCATATAGCTGGTGAATGGCAGCCAGGATGTGACTGACCCAGGTTTTAGGGCCAGACGTGTATTCTTGTCACCACCTCCTGCTGCCTTCTGCTGCAGGGTCACTCGTACTCCCACTGAGAAGGCGGAAGGCTATTGTGATGGTTTGGGTGGCAGATGCATGTCAGGAGTAAGTCCTCCTGCCCTTTTAGACAACTTGTCAGCCTGAAAGAGGTAAAGATTTGGTCAGTGAGTCTCAAATCCTAGTAAAATCAGAATTACCAAGGGGGGTTCCTGCGCCTCAACCCTGTAAGTTATGCTTCGTTAGGTCTGAGTGAGAAACACAGCCTTAAATGCAAAGTGCTAGCTGCCCCCAGTACTCAGTCATTCCACATTTCTTTCTCCCACTTCCCTCTGGATGCCCGGCATCAGATCACGAACCTCCCCTACCTCAGCACTGGCCTGGGGGTGCTGGCAGGAAGAGGGTTAAAGTCCTGAGAACTAGGGGCTCTTCTCTCATGAGATTGGAATGTGGTGGAGGGGAGTGAGCTGAGGGAGGCTGGTGGTCCAGCACTGAGCCTGGCCATTGTTGCAGAACAATTGCCCCCCAAGAACAGAACAGCAGACGCTAATTATGAGACACTTGTGTCCTCCATGTAATTATGAGATCTGTGTGACCATTAGCATAAGAAACTAGCTCGCTGGCTTGTTTTGGTTATAACTTTCCCCAAACTGCTGTACTCAGGAATCTGAAGAAGTAAAACGATGAACTCGGGGCTTCATAAAAGACTCAGCCCAGAGATTGTCAAGTTTAGGTCACATGAGAATCACCCGGATGCTTGAAAAACATGCAGATTCTCAGGCCTTGATTCCAGAAATTTGGATTTAGTGCATCTGAGTGGAAATGAAGGTGGTTTAGCCATTGAGATTCATAGAAGTCCAAACTTAGTTCTCCCTTGGAAGCTGGCAGAAGTCCTGGCACCTATCTCAAAGTTTTCTAAGTACCTCCACTCCCTGAGCAACGGCTCTCACTGCCCTGCTGATGTTGCCTGAGCCTCAGGGGTTAAGCCCAAACACTGATTGAACCCCAAGCTGACTCAAAGGGAGGAGCAAGTCAAATGACTAATTCCCTGCCTAGACAGAGCCTCAGATCTCATGGGAAAGGTAAGAGTGGAGAATAAGAACACAAACCTGGAGCAACGAGGAGTCTGGGAAGGGTCCCCCAATCCCTCACTCCTGAGTTCATCAGTCATGCAAGGATCAGAAGCCTGTCTTAATCCAGCTTGGGTAAAAGGGTAATTGATGAGTGAATTTGCTTTACGTGGAAGGGGCTGCAGCTGGCTGCAGAAATAACCAGAACCCAAAATTAAATGCCGCCTGGACTCTCTCCATGCTTACACACTGGCTTTCTGGGCCACATGGGCACCACTGCCCCCCTACTTCACATCTTCCAGGCTCTTCCATCCTAAAGAGGCGATCCTTCTTTAATTCCAACTTGAAAGTTCCCAAAGAGATCCACTTCCTCACCTGTGTGTCCAGAGAAGTAAAAGTGGCAATGACTGGCCACCCACAGAACCAGAGGGAGGGAGTAGGAGAGGGGGCCTCTTCCTGCAGGAAGGGGATGCTAGACTAGGCCAAATTAGTTCTCTAAGGCTCTTCACATGCTCTATGTCTCTTAAACCTTGTGACCACCGACTGAGACAGGTAGACTCATTCCTCATTTTGACAAATAAGGAAACTAAACAGAAGGTAGAGTGACTTTCCCAAGGTTACCCAGCTAGTCTTTGGCAGAGCTGGACTTCCTGAGCAGGTCTCCCTATATCCCAAGTCCAGTTTCTCAATGGCATTGTGCCAAATGGCATGTTCAATGCATGATGGAGACGCCAGGTTTTCTGGAATGTTTGGTCAAGTGTCCTGCAGAAGAATGACAGCTACTGAGGGAATATTGCACAGGAGACTAGACAGGTGGACTGGGATAATATTCTAGAAAAGGGAATGTTAGACTAAACTTAGGCTCTTATTTAGAATGCAATGGGGAGTCGATGAAGGTTTTGAGCAGAATTGTAATATTATTAGATTTTTAATTCTAGTCTTTAAGAAAGCTGAGCATATTCTAGTCAATGCATAGAGGTTAGGGTCTCAGGAGCCAGGCACTGTTCAAAGAACCATAGATTCTCATTTTCTACATCTCAGGAGCTGTCGCCAGTCACCCTCACCAGGACATCCACAGTCCCTGGACTGGCCAGGTTCTGGGCTCAATATGTATCCCCTCATTAACCTCACAACAAGAAGGAAATAGAAGTGATGATTCTAGTCATGGAATCCTAGCTAGTTACTGGGAGTATAAAGAATAGAGCTCCCAAAGGGGACAGGAAGGAGCTTGTTGGGTGAACAGCTGGTCTTTCTATGTGTCTATATCTCTCCATATATCAATATTTTTGTCAATATAGATACTGGTGTCAACGCCAATATTGATGTTGATATCCTATTGGTTCTGTTTCTCTGAAGAAACCTGACTAATACAGGGACCAAGAGGGGTCAAGGTGATGGCAGGAGGGCCACTTAGACATGTCCAGGTGATAGAGGTAGGACATAGGAGGAAGTCCCTTGCACATTAGAGGTCTAGGTACAACTCCGTCCCATTTTTAAAACTGAGATATAATTCACACACTATAATATTTACCCTTAAACTGCAATTCAGTGGTTTTTCATACATCCACAGAGTAGTCCAACAGTCACCACTATCAAATTCCAGAACATTTTCATCACTCTAAAAAGAAACTCTGTAACCATTAGCAACCACTCTGCATTACCCCCTTCTCCAAGCCCCTGGCAACCACTAATCTTCTTTCTGTCTCTATGGATATGCCTTTTCCAGACATTTCACATAAATGGAATCATACAATATGTGACTCTTTGTGTCCGGCTTCTTTAACAAAATGTTTTCAAGGTTCATCTGTGTTTTGCATGCATCAGTAGTTCATCCCTTTTTAAGGCTGACTAATATTTCACTGTATGGATATACCATGTTTCGTTTATCCATTCATCAGTTAATGGACATTTGGGTTCTTTCTACTTTTTGGCTATTATGAATAAAGCTGCTATGAACATTTCTGTGCAAGTTTTTGTATGAACATAGATTTTCAATTCTGGGGATCATATACCTATGAATGGAATTGCTGGTTCATGTGGTAACTGTATGTCTGACTTCATGAGGAATTGCCAGAGTTTTTCAAAGCAGCTGCACCATTTTACATTCCCACCATCAGTGTAGGCATGTCCCAATTTCTCTACATCCTCGCCAACCTTTATTATTGTCCATCATTTTTATCATAGCCATTCTAGTGGTCTGAAGTACTATCTCATTGTTTTAAGCTGGGTGCAGTGGTGCATGTCTGTAGTCCCAGATACTTGAGAGGATGAAGTGGGAGCATCACTTGAGCCCAGGAGTTTGAGGCTACAGTATGCCATGAATGTGCCTGTGAGTAGCTACTGCACTCCAGTCTGGGCACCATAGTGAGACCACATCTCTTAAAAAGAACACAAACAAAAAATGTATTCATTGTTGGCTTTTTTTTTTTTTTTTTTGAGATAGAGTCTCGCTCTGTTGCCCAGGCTGGAGTGCAGTGGCGCGATCTCGGCTCACTGCAAGCTCCGCCTCCAGGGTTCACACCATTCTCCTGCCTCAGCCTCCCAAGTAGCTGGGACTACAAGCACCCGCCACCATGCCCGGCTAATTTTTTGTATTTTTAGTACAGACAGGGTTTCACCATGTTAGCCAGGATGGTCTCGATCTTCAGACCTAATGATCTGCCCACCTCAGCCTCCCAAAGTGCTGGGATTACAGGCATGAGCCACCTCACCCGGCCCATTGTTGGTTTAATTTGCATTTCTCTCCCTGCTGGCTAATGATGTTTGGCATCTTTTTATGTGCTTATTGTCTTTGTACATCTTCTTTGGAGATATGTATATTCAGATCCTTTGCACAATGTTTAAATTGGGTTATTTGTTTAGTTATTGTTGAACTGTAGGAGTTCTTTATATATTCTAGATATAAGTCCCTTATCAGATATATAATTTGAACTTTTCTCTCATTCTGAGTAGTCTTGCACTTTCTCAGTGGTGTCCAACAAAACATAAAAGTTTTATATTTTGATTATGTAGAGTAATTTCATATAATTGCTGATAAGGTAGGCTTTATGTCTGCCATTCTGATGTTTGTTTTTATATGTTTCTTTTTTTTGTTTCTTCTAGTCCTCCATTATTACCTTCTTTTGTACTAGATATTTTCTAGTATTCCTTTGTCATTTCTTTCACTATATATATTTTAGTTATTTTCTTAGTGGTTGCCCTGGAGATTATAATTAGCATCTTAATTTATAACAACCTAGTTATTACCTTCATTTCAATTGTATACATAAACCATTCTCCAATATAACTTCATTCCCTCTCCAACTTTTGTACTATTTTTGTCATACAGATTACATCTTTACACACTGTATGACCATCAACATAGATTCATAATTTTTGCTTCATATCGCTATCCTTTAAAACAAATAAGAGAAAAAAAGGGTTACAAAGAAAAAAATAAATTTATTTTTCCTTTTGTATGTATTTTGGCCTTTGTATTTACCTATGTAGTTACCTTTATTTCTTTATGTCGATTTGAGTTACTTCCTATTGTCCTATCATTTCAGCCTGAAGGACTGAACATTTCGTTAGTATTACTTGTAGAAAAGCTTCAGGCTGAAATACCTGACAAACTGCCTCC